>NC_000011.10:7635757-7938787 GCF_000001405.40 Homo sapiens | reverse complement strand
TCACATCTGTGACCCTGTTCTATGGCACAGCCAATATGACTTATTTACAACCCAAATCTGGCTACTCACCCGAAACCAAGAAACTGATCTCATTGGCTTACACGTTGCTTACCCCTCTGCTCAATCCGCTCATCTATAGCTTACGAAACAGTGAGATGAAGAGGACTTTGATAAAACTATGGCGAAGAAAAGTGATTTTACACACATTCTGATTGTGTTGAGAAGCTGAGTAAGATTTGGCCACTGCCTGAGTGAACTCTATTTAAATTTAATAAAGGGTGAAAACAGACTGCATTTTTTGTATGACTATGTAAGTTTGTTGAGTTTTTTTATTGGAAAACGTATCTCAATAAAGAACTGCTGTCACTTGTTTTTAGTAGATACATATGTTCTCATAACATGACACAACAGTTTATTCATCCATTTCTCTATTATGAACATCCAAGTAGCTACTGGATTACTGTCATTTTTTTTTTTTTTTTTTTTGAGATGGAGTTTCGCTCCAGCCCAGGCTGGAGTGCAATGGCACGATCTGGGCTCACTGCAACCTCCACCTCCTGGGTTCTAGCAATTCTCCTGCCTCAGCCTCCCGAGTAGTTGGGATTACAGGCATGCGCCACCACACCCAGCTAATTTTTGTATTTTTAGTAGAGACGGGGTTTCACCATGCTGGTCAGGCTGGTCTCAAACTCCCAACCTTAGATGATCCGCCCACCTCGGCCTCCCAAAGCGCTGTGATTACAGGTGTGAGCCACCACGCCTGGCCTGGATTACTGTCATTAAGACAGTGCTTCAATAAATGCCTTGTTCCATATGCTCATATGTACTGATGTCATTATACCTGTGTGATAGATTTGCTACAGTGCGGCTGATAGGATGAGGAGTATCTGTGTTTACAAATTTTATTAGCTATTGCAGAATTACTTTTCAAAATGATTATAGTTCTTCAGACTGGCCTGAAGGCTCACTGTGCTTTGGTAACAGGGTAGAGCTTCAAGAGACCAACAAATAAGGTGATGATGTTTCTATTTTTGGATTGAAAATTTGTTCCACGGATGAGTAAAAAAAAAGTGCATCTATTTTGGGGGGCCAAAAATGGTTCTACTTCATGACCTTACACAAATTATAATCCCAAACTGGATTTCTCTTGGTATCTTTCCAAATATTTATCCAATGTTGGTGACCAGAGAGCTACATGGGAAGTTTCTCAAATTCTCATTTGATAATATCAGTATCTTTTTCATTTACAGACCACTGATTTAGAAACTTTTATGAAGTTTCCTTTTGTAGTCTGTGACAGGAAAGTAAAATCTTGGAACCCCAAACTCACTATGCCAAAAGAAAAGTTAAGCTTGGAAACTGGCTCAGGCAAAAAAATTGCCTTTCCTTTTGTTCCTAAATAGATAGCTACAAGATATCCGGTCACCTATCTTCCCAGGTTACCTCCCTCAATTGTTCTTAAAAATAATTGGAATAAAACTGATACTGTGATGTTAAGATTAGATATACATATTCTGCTAAATGAAGGGGTGTCATTATAATTTGTGTATATTATTTGGGAATAGGCAATACATATATATATCTGTGTGTCTATTTAAACTGGTTTTAGGTTTATAATTGTTAAACAAATCCCTACTGATTGTTTACGTGGTCTCTATTACATATGAAATTTGACATAAATATCTGAATTGTTTACTGGTATTATTTCAATTCATATAGAGTTGACTGAATTTGTGTTTAAGGAATTACAATATGAAATCATATCACATTAATTCTAAATGTGTATGGGTATATTTGTATATGGTCTATGCACTGATTTGTAATTTTTTTGAGGAGTTACACATTATAACTAGTAAATCTGGTTGGTCTTGGTAAATGAGTTCCACGTTGCTTGGGCTTTTGCATAGCCTTTATCTCTGCTGCCAGGCCACTTTGTTCTTGTGGGCATCATGCCAGCACTGGGGTGGTTGCTGACAGAAGAAGTAGGCTAATTTGTCAACTGGGTGAGTCATTTTACCTACTGACCAGGTGTTAACACAAGATACAAAGACCTTCACACTTTATGCCCACTCCATATGCCTATCAATATGCCTCTACCCTAGACCTCCCTGCTGCCAAACTCCCTTTCTTTTCTTTCCAGATCAGGTCAATAAACTTTCACTTATCCAGCCTTGCCTACCAGCCTCCTGGTCCAGCACCCTCAGGACAAGTACCATGGTTCTCCCCTTGTTGGTGAAGGTCTGTTAGATCTTGCAGTTCTTTTGTGGTATTGTTCCATTCTTTCCTTATTTCCCTGGCTGAGCTGTGCTGTGACTTAACCATATTTATAGGCCTGGTGTTGAGGAAAAGAGGGGAAGGCAGTTTCTGATCGTGCGCCTCTTCGATAGTCTTCCTGCCCTGAATAGGGAGGGGTTGGTCACTTCTGCAGTGTTAGAAAGTTTAGTGATATCTTTGAAGTCCAGATCTTTGGAGGCATCCACCTAGAATTCTTATCCCATGTGTCAAAGCCTTAGATTTTTTCCAACTCTGGCTCCAGATTTGGCTTAACATAGCTACCTTGATTAAGCATGCAGGTATCATTGAAGTTCAGCCACTGTGACTACTGAACCCTGAAAATGATCTCCATTTTTTCTGCCTGCTTGTTGCAAGAGATGAGGACCTCTTTGTGAGTGACTGACACTCTGGTTCTCACATTTAATTTTCAATGGTTTGTCAATTGACTCATCTTTTGTTATCTATCTGAAGATCAATGCAATTGTAGTAATGTTTTAGTCTGTTAGCATTGCTGCAAAGAAATACCCGAGACTGGGTAATTTACAAAGAAGGGAGATTTATTTAGTTCATGGCTCTTCAGTCTGTACAAGAAGCATGGTGCCAGCATCTACATCTGATGAGGACCTCAAGCTGCTTCCACTTATGGCTGAAGGGGAAGGAGAGGCAGAGTATAGAGATCACACAGTGGGAGAGGAAGTGAAAAAAAGAGAAAGAGGGAAGGTGTCAAGCTATTTTTTGCAACCATCTCTAGCAGAACTAACAAACTAAGAACTCACTCACTCCCCTCATCACCCCAGGAAATCAGTCTATTAATAAGAGATCCACCACCATGACCCAAACATCTCCCACTAGGCCCCACCTTCAACATTGGGGATCAAATTTCTTTTTTTTAATTATTATACTTTAAGTTCTAGGGTACATGTGCACAATGTGCAGGTTTGTTACATATGTATACATGTGCCATGTTGGTGTGCTGCACCCATTAACTCGTCATTTACATTAGGTATATCTCCTAATGCTATCCCTCCCCCCACCTACCACCCCTCAACAGGCCCCAGTGTGTGATGTTCCCCTTCCTGTGTCCAAGTGTTCTCATTGTTCAATTCCCACCTATAAGTGAGAACATGTGGTGTTTGTATTTTTGTCCCTGAGATAGTTTGCTGAGAATGATGGTTTCCAGCTTCATCCATGTCCCTACAAAGGACATGAACTCATCCTTTTCCATGGCTGCATAGTATTCCGTGGTGTATATGTGCCACATTTGCTTAATCCAGTCTATCATTGATGGGCATTTGGGTTTCAAGACTTTGCTATTGTGAATAGTGCTGCAATAAACATATGTGTGCATATGTCTTTATAGTAGAATAATTTATAATCCTTTGGGTATATACACAGTAATGGGATTGCTGGGTCAAAAGGCATTTTTGATTCTAGATCCTCGCCACACTGTCTTCCACAATGGTAGAACTAATTTACACTCCCACCAACAGTGTAAAAGCGTTCCTATTTCTCCAGCACCTGTTGTTTCCTGACTTTTTAATGATCTGCATTCTAACTGGCATGAGATGGTATCTCATTGTGGTTTTGATTTGCATTTCTCTAATGACCAGTGATGATAAGCTTTTTTTCATATGTTTGTTGGCTGCATGTATGTCTTCTTTTGAGAAGTGTCTGTTCATATTCTTCACCTATTTTTTGATGGGGTTGTTTGCTTTTTTCTTGTAAATTTGTTTAAGTTCCTTGTAGATTCTGGATATTAGCCCGTTGTCAGATGGATAGATTGCAGGAATTTTCTCCCATTCTGTAGGTTGCCTGTTCACTCTGATGATAGTTTCTTTTGCTGTGCAGAAGCTCTTTAGTTTAATTAGATTCCATTTGTCAATTTTGGCTTTTGTTGCCATTGCTTTTGGTGTCATCCTGATACCAAAACCTGGCAGAGACACAACAAAAAAAGACAATTTCAGGCCAATATCCCTGATGAACATCGATGCAAAAATCCTCAATAAAATACTGGCAAACTGAATCCAGCAGCACATCAAAAAGCTTATCCAACACAATCAAGTCAGCTTCATCCCTGGGATGCAAAGTTGGTTTATCACATGCAAATCAATAAGCGCAATCCATCACATAAACAGAACCAATGACAAAAACCACATGATTATCTCAATAGATGCAGAAAAGTCCTTCAATAAAATTCAACACCACTTCATGCTAAAAACTCTCAATAAACTAGGTATTAATGGAATGTATCTAAAAATAATAAGAGCTATTTATGACAAACCCACAGCCAATATCATACTGAATGGGCAAAAGCTGGAAGCATTTCCTTTGAAAACTGGCAGAAGACAAGGATGCCCTCTCTCACCACTCCTATTCAACATAGTATTGGAAGTTCTGGCCAGGGAAATCAAGCAAGAGAAGGATATTCAAATAGGAAGACAGGAAGTCAAATTGTCTCTGCAGATGACATGATTATATATTTAGAAAACCCCATCGTCTCAGCCCCAAATTTCCTTAAGCTGATAAGCAACTTCAGCAAAGTCTCAGGATACAAAATCAATACACAAAAATTACAAGCATTCCTATACACCAATAATAGTCAAACAGAGAGCCAAATCATGAGTGAACTCCCATTCACAATTGCTTCAAAGAGAATAAAATACCTAGGAATCCAACTTACAAGGGATGTGAAGGACCTCTTCAAGGAGAACTACAAACCACTGCTCAAGGAAATAAGAGAGGACACAAACAAATGGAAAAACATTTACATGCTCATGGATAGGAAGAATCAATATCATGAAAATGGCCATGCTGCCCAAAGTAATTTATAGATTCCATGCTATCCCCATCAAGCTACCACTGACTTTCTTCACAGAATTAGAAAAAACTACTTTAAATTTCACATGGAACCAAAAAAGAGCTTGCATAGCCAAGACAATCCTAAGCAAAAAGATCAAAGCTGGAAGCATCATGCTACCTGACTTCAAACTATACTCTAAGCCTACAGTAACCAAAACAGCATGGTACTGGTACCAAAACAGATATATAGATCAATGGAACAGAACAGAGGCCTCAGAAATAATGCTACACATCTATAATCATCTGACCTTTGACAAATCTGACAAAAACAAGCAATGAGGAAAGGATTCCCTATTTAATAAATGGTGTTGGGAAAACTGGCTAGCCATATGCAGAAAACTGAAACTGGACCCCTTCCTTACACCTTATACAAAAATTAACTCAAGATGGATTAAAGACTTAAACGTAATATCTAAAACCATAAAAACTCTAGAAGAAAACCTAGTCAATACCATTCAAGACACAGGCATGGGCAAAGACCTCATGGCTGAACTTCACTTTCTATTTTTAAAAACCTTGCTTTTATTTATTACAAAATTATTTCTTTTAAATTCAAGCAGTAGATTTATAAAATAAAAATACAAAAGTGTCTCTCAAAAATACCTCTATTCTCATCCCCCAATTCCATCATTCCTAAAAGTAGCCAATGTAAATTATTTCATGTCTATTTTTTTGTGATTCTTCCTATGTACATAAAACACTTATATAAATAAATATAATTTTTATAAAATGAGCATAAGAGTTTTTACATCTAGTTTTTTAAGGTATGTTGTTAGTTTGTTTCTAAGACTAGTTTTTCTTTTCTATTTTGGGCTTTTTTTGCAGTTTTATTACACGGAATGCTGTATATATATGATTGCCAGGATTTTGGAATTTATTGAGATTTTCTTTTTGACAAAACACATATTCAATTTTTGTAAATATTATATAGATATTTTGGGATAAAAATATAGAGTTAATGAGATGAAAGTGTTCTATATCTTATTTATTCTCATTACCACCTGTTAAATCAACATTTTATTATTCAAATCTTTCCATTTTGTATTTTTTGTTGTCTGTTTGCTCTCTCAAACTTTGAGAAAGTGTGTTAAAAATCTCCACATTTTGATTATTGTTATATCCATGACATATTGGCTTTAAATTGGAGATTAACATTACTATTATTCCCCACTTACCCTTTTAAATATGTGCCTGAAATGTTTTTTATACACTTTGTTGAAATCCAATGTATGTAAAGTGTACAATTCATGACTCTACATCTTGATGACTTCTCACAATTTGTACATCACCTGTGATACAGTCACTGACATCAGGTTATAGAGCATATTAGTACAACAGAAGCCTGCATGGGATGTCATGGGGTAGGAATTATGAAAAGTACCTATTAGACAGCTTTTCCCATCTTTGGGGCACCGGACTAGTTCATGAATGGGCATGTAATCCCACCATGGGGACTAATATGGGAGGCGTCCCTGGACTGCTTCTTTCAGAACCCCCTTTCCTCAGCATCACTGGGACATTTCCCACTGGAGACGGATTAGGGAGAATATCCCTATGTGTTGTTGGCAGCCTTACTGCTGCAAGGACAAGAGGGCTTTCTTGAGAATAGAACCTACCCCACAAAACCATAGATGAGAAGAAGAGAAGTGGAGCCTCGGCGTGAGCACATCATCTGCCTTCTGGATAAAGCCAAGCCTGCAGATTCATTCATCTCTGTCTCCTGGGACAGAGCCTATGGCTTCCTTTATTGCTCAAGCCAGTTTAAACTAAACCCTGAGTCCTCATTCCTATATACATCCTATGAGATTAATATCATTATCTTTATTTTACAGAGAAAGTAATAGAACCAGAAAGTTGAGTGATGTGCTCAAAGTTATACAAGCCAGTCAGGATATTTTGACTCCATGTTAAAAAGTTCTTGAGTCAGAGGGAGCATCCAGGCTTTCTACAAAGCACCTTTAATCTACCTGCCATGTCTCCCTCCATTGCACAAACTGTGCATTGTGTCCATGTGAATCCTCTAGCCCTAGGTCACCTGCCTTTGCTCACACCTTCACTCCACCCCTCCCTTCTTTCCCTATTGACAATGTTCATTCAGCCTCTGCTCTCACCTCCTACTGGGAGGTGTCACGGTGGAATTGAGTCTCTTGTGGGAAGAGGTGCTCATTCCCCATAGACATAAGAAGGAGTGCTGCTCCATGTTTGTGCTCTTGAGCTTTCTCACCCGAGGGGCCAAGTTTAAGCCTCGTTAGTTATCACACAAAAATACAGGAAGGTCTCTATGAAGTGATTTCACGTTCTTCAGGGAGGAATTCTCCAGGGCATATAATTCTATGCCATATAACATTATGGAATCAATGCTCTGAATCAGTCAGTTGTGTTTGTGAATAGGTGGCTTTTGACTACAGGTGAATCTTCTGATAAAGTAGTATGAAAATTAAAGAGACAGAGTCAACAGGTAAAAAAGTGCATATTCTGCTCCTGTGCGTTTTGGTGGGACTTCTGTTTATAGTTGTCCTCTTTGATAGTTGGAGATGTTGTTGAAGTGATGGCTCAGTGCTCAGGAGTCACTAGGCTCAGCTGAAACATTGAGTCAGTAGACTTTTTGGTTTGATGCCAGTCAATTTCTTTTTCTTTTCAGAGAAAGGTTCGGGCAATAAGTAGAAGTGTAAGTGCTTTGCATGCATAAATCATCATATTCTGGAGTTTGCAACTAGAAGAGAACTTGGTTAGTAAGTTCAACACTTACCTCTTTCCATTGGCAGGCTGAAGCCTTGGGGAGGAAGTGATCTGCGTAAGTATTACTTGTCAGTGATCTATCCAAGACACCATGAAGATCTTCTAAGGTATAAAGATTTTCTATTTTGTATAACATTCTGTAAATATTCTAATTTTTAAAACCAATCTACTTTTACATAGTTGGAACTGAATACATGTTGTTCTTTTTTTTGCCATTAGAAATGCATTTTAAATATTTGGCCTCACAGAGTCTGGTTTTAATAATTGTAGGAGGTTTTTTGACATCCAAAATACAGTACAATTTTTGTGGTTAAATACAGTCATTTGATTTTAATACATGACTATGGACAAATTCAGAAATAAAGTAACTTGTCTTCTCCTGTCTGCTAATGTCCTACAGGTCTGCACTCAAGACAGCACTGTATGCCTTCAACTTGCTGTGTCCATCTGTCTTCCTGGCTTCCTCATCTCTCACAGTGAATTTCTTTTGGTTTTCAAAACATCACACAAAAGGCAGTAGGCTTCCATTCTAGTTTTATGGTGTCACCAAGTGCCTCCTGACTTGAGCAAGTCAGTTTTCCTCCTCCTGCCATCCTCCTCCGACCTAATGGCCTTCCATTCATGACATCCTGTGATTGTGTTTGTTCATCCTCCACCCCCTTCAAATGTCATCATTCCCTTACTTAAATTTCTACAGCACGTGTTATTAATTTCCAATTGTGTTGTGTGCTGACTTCTCTTAGGCACTCTATTCCTTAAAAATAGAGTCTAGGTTTTTCTTATTTTAAAATTCATTTATTCAAAAATGTTGGTTTAAAACCTATTATGAGCCAGGGAGGGTTGTAGTGTAGGCAGTGTGTGTAGAGCAAAGAAGCAAACAAAATCTTTGCCCTCTGGGAGCTAAGCTCTAGTGAGGGATTTTATATATATATATATATATATATATATACATACACATACACATACCTTACTAGAGCTTATATATATATAATATATATAAAATATTAATCTGTTTATATTTATATAAATATTTAAAATATATTTTACACATATTTCTTAAAAAAAGGATAGAGGATATATTATATTCTATGCCATATAATGTTATAAAATCAATGAACTGAATCACTCAGTTGTGTATATATATGTGTGCATGTGTGTGTATATATATATATATATATATATATATATATATGTACACATAGAAAGAGAGAGAGAAAGAAAGAGAAAGTCCTGGGGTATGCGGTACGGGGAGGTACTAGTTTATGCAGCATACTGGTTAAGGGGTTAGAAGCTATTTTATGTAGTGTGCTTAGCTCTCTGTTGAGCTCTGGATTCATGTGTATTCCTAAGGGTGCAGAGCCTAGAAAATGGTAGCTGGTTAATCAGTGCTTGTTGAATAATTAATGATTAAATGAATTTTTTGATGACGAGTATAGTGGGAAGAGAGAAGAGAGAAAAGGAGAGAGAGAGTGAAATCTTTTAAATTACACAATGATCCCCCAAATGGTTTTTTTCTTAAGTCATCATGGTCAGAAGGATAGACCTTGGAGATCTGGCCCCAAAAACTTCACATCCAGGTAAATCCCAATATAATTGGCCAGATCCAGGATGGGCAGAAATCTGCAAGCTTGAAGCCAATTCACATAGTCTATAGGTCACCTAATATGGTTGTGTTGAAAATTCAAATCCCCTCTATGTTTCTACAGAATGTTGTTTTCTTTCTCCAAGTCATATATAGGTACTTTGAATCTAATTAATATTTTAAATAAGTTTATATCAAATATGCTGTAACATTGGATTATTAGGCTATTATCACATTTGTTGAGATATCTTTTTCAATCTATCTGCTTTTTTATATTTTATTTTTTGTAGTCTTAAGTTTTGCATTTATGTAAAATTCAGTTAAATAAAGAACACTTGCACCAATGTTATGGGATTGGAACCTAAGGTATAAAGTATTTATATTTCCATTAAGGCTATGTTTAATTTTCAAATAATATCAAATAAATTTTGATATTATTTGACAAGATCTCTGAGCCAGAATTCTTCATTTCTATTTTTTATATTTGGAATATAATCCAAGTATTTGGTCATTGTCTAAAATTGCCAAAGAAAATTTCTGTCAGGATAGGCTCCTCATCTTCTGCCAGAATTTCTGGGGTGAATGCAGACTGGAACTCTTAGCTAATGGACTGTGGCTTTATTCTGTATATACTATGTCCATAAAATCAATGCACGACTTCATTACTGAAAATGGAAAGACAAAATCAAAGCTGTGTGGTTGAATTCATCCTCTTGGGCTTTTCTAACTATCCTGAGCTCCAGGGGCAGCTCTTTGTGGCTTTCCTGGTTATTTATCTGGTGACCCTGATAGGAAATGCCATTATTATAGTCATCGTCTCCCTAGACCAGAGCCTCCACGTTCCCATGTACCTGTTTCTCCTGAACTTATCTGTGGTGGACCTGAGTTTCAGTGCAGTTATTATGCCTGAAATGCTGGTGGTCCTCTCTACTGAAAAAACTACAATTTCTTTTGGGGGCTGTTTTGCACAGATGTATTTCATCCTTCTTTTTGGTGGGGCTGAATGTTTTCTTCTGGGAGCAATGGCTTATGACCGATTTGCTGCAATTTGCCATCCTCTCAACTACCAAATGATTATGAATAAAGGAGTTTTTATGAAATTAATTATATTTTCATGGGCCTTAGGTTTTATGTTAGGTACTGTTCAAACATCATGGGTATCTAGTTTTCCCTTTTGTGGCCTTAATGAAATTAACCATATATCTTGTGAAACCCCAGCAGTGTTAGAACTTGCATGTGCAGACACGTTTTTGTTTGAAATCTATGCATTCACAGGCACCTTTTTGATTATTTTGGTTCCTTTCTTGTTGATACTCTTGTCTTACATTCGAGTTCTGTTTGCCATCCTGAAGATGCCATCAACCACTGGGAGACAAAAGGCCTTTTCCACCTGTGCCGCTCACCTCACATCTGTGACCCTATTCTATGGCACAGCCAGTATGACTTATTTACAACCCAAATCTGGCTACTCACCGGAAACCAAGAAAGTGATGTCATTGTCTTACTCACTTCTGACACCACTGCTGAATCTGCTTATCTACAGTTTGCGAAATAGTGAGATGAAGAGGGCTTTGATGAAATTATGGCGAAGGCGAGTGGTTTTACACACAATCTGACTGTGTTGAGAAGCCATGTAAGATTTAGTCACTGCATGACTGTATTCAATCTAAATTTAATAAATTTAGATTCATTAAGTTTGCATTTTTTGGCATGAGTATGACTAATTTATTGTGTTCTCCAAGTTTGATTGTATATCAGGAGCATCTTTATATGTTAATGTTTTTAGTTTTTTCACCAGTGCATAATATTCCTTAATATTGAATATAACACAATTTCAACAATTTGTTTAGTAGTAGCCCTACTGATGGTTATTTTTTTGTCACAATAGATAATACTAAAACAACCAGTTTTTATATATTCATAAATTCTGGTGCTTTAATTTTTACAGAATAGCTTTCACAAAGTAGGTTTGAAGGGTCAAAACAAATGTGAGTTTGCAAGTTTTCATAGATATTACTGAGTTACTTTTTTAAATGATTTTAACAACTTCAGACTGACCTGAGCACCCATCCTATCCCTCTACTATGTTGTATGCCAAGAAGCCTACAATAACGAGATGAGATTTTCTGCTTCTGTAGTGAAAATCTGTTCCATACATAAGTAGGAAAGAACAGTTATTTATTGAGAGGAACACAATGTCTCTACTCAGGGACCCAGAGAGTCTATAATTCAAAACTAGATATCTTCTGGTTATTTTAGAATATATATTCCTCCAGTGTTTTGAGTAGAGAACATCATGTGATCATTTTTGAAGGTCATTTAAAGTACGGCTGTCCTTTCCACTTATAAACTATATTTTTTGAAACTTGGTCAAATTTCTTTCATAAGGCAAAAATGCACCTCATACAGGCCAAACAATGTATGATTGTGTTTTTTTGTTGTGGGACATAAATATGATTACCTCATTGTGCCTATTTTCTATTATCCTTGGGTCATATCAATATTTATGTGCATCTTTCCAACATAAAATAATCACATAATAGTCTTTCTAGTTATATATAAAGATGAATAATTAGACACATTGCAACATTGAAATATAACATTTCATTCTTGCTTCCTATTTTAATATTGCTATAATAAATAGAAAGGGTTCTTCTCATTAAATCTATATCAAAGGAGTTGACAACACCCTTCATTTCTGCTCTGGGGGTGGAGGTGGGGTAATAAAGCGGTTAGAACACTTCTACAAAACAATCATTCATTGGATGGAAAACCCTTCTTTTCTTCACTACTCCTTCTGCCAAAAATAAAGGTGAAGTTGCAAATCTATTTGAATTTCAAAAAAAGAGAGAAATTTCATGAGAAGAAGGCTGGAACCTTGTGGGTAATGATGCAGGACTTTTCTTCTCAGTCACTTTGGAAGCTGGGGACCCCTGACCGGCAACAGCCCACCTGGCATGCCCCAGCTCACCTCTGTTATAGCTTGTACCTGCATTCAGCAGTTCCCAAGCTTTTGTACCACACCCAAGAAGAATGAGGATATGCTGGGCATTGAAGGGTAAGGATGGTGGAGAAGAATTTTACTGAAGGACAGAACAACTGTCAGCAGAGAGGGGATATGGGGGGTGGTTCCCCTACTGGAAGGCAGGAAAGCCCCACCATGGTGGCTGGGTCCAGGACCTTTTAGGGACTCAAAATGGGAAGTACATGCTGGTTTGTGAGGTATGCAAAAAGGTTAAAGTGAAGACACCACTCAAAGGTGGGCATGACAGTGTAGAAAAACCAATTAGGAAAGGGTAGGTATATGTAAAATAGGTGAAGAGCGGGGAACAATCAGAGGAAAGTATGTGAAATGGGAAGATAAGTTCTCAATCCGGTCCCAGAGTTTAACTTGCAGTTTGGCTTTCAGGCTTTAAACTGTCTTTTGTTTAGAGGTGGGGTTTCACCAGGAACCCACCCCATCTGCCTAGGCATTTGGCTGCCTCCTGTCGCTATCAGTGATATCTGAATGTTGTATAATACTGTTTTCATTTGGGCACCAAACAGCCCTCAGCAAAAGCCTTTGATTGGATCCCATCTCTTGATATCCTGAAATTTCCTTCTGATAGCTTTTAAAAGAACCAATTAAGTAAGACTTATGTAAAACGAACAAATCAGCAAAGAAACAAACAAAGGAAGCTAAATACAGAAAGTCTTTTTAGCCATTCTTTAGTTCATTTTGTTCATTGATTCTGTAAACCAATTTTTTTCTTAAAAAAAATTCTTTATAAAAATGTCTTAAGAGAGCTAAATCTAATGAAATAGTCTCTGCTCTTGAAGGATTTACAGTGTACTGGTCATTAGATGCTGGAAGGTTACTATATTTGACGCTTTCCTCTTTCATTGCCTTTGTGATAAATAAAGCCTGGATTGGCAAGATGTTCATGAAATTACAATAAGAAATTAGGTCACTCTAATTCTAAATTTGTATGTGTGTGTGTATATGCGTGTGTGAATCCAAGTATGTGCTGGGAATTTATACATTTGTGATGTTATGTGAGGAGATAGAAATAATCGCTAGTAAATTTAGTCATAGTTTAAAATTTTTATGTTATTCTGATGAATAGAAATTGTTAGTATGCTTCACACATAATAGCCTAATCATATCATTTCTGCATACTATTCTTCATGGTGATTTTTAGTTATAGTCACCGTGGCTGCTACTGCTGCTAGTTTTCTAGTTTATGCCCATTCTCCTTTTTCTTTAATAGAGAAAACCCCATTTTTGTTCTTTAAGTAGAAAAAAAAAACAAGTTTCTTAAGGGCAGTAATGTATCCAGTTAATAACCAATTTCCCAGTTTCTCTTTTGAACAAGGGTGGTTTGTGACACAGTTCTGACTAGTGATATATAGGTGGACATCCTTGAGTAGGGTGTCTATGAAAACTCTTTAAAAATGTGACTTAGTTAATAAGGACTTTTTGCTCTTCAACCTCCTCCTTCCTTCTACCTGAAACAAGCCATGAGGCTAGAGATAGTGCAGCTATCTTGCAATGAGAGTTAAAGCATGACTAGAAAAGCCAGGCCCTACAGAGGCCAAGTGGAAAGCTAGAGGGCCCCTGGGTCTGTGACGGCATTGCGTAGTGACCTTATCATTCCTCTCCTGCCTATTTGTTTACTGACTGTTACTTCAGAGAAATAAACCTTGTCTTTGTTTAATCCAGTATTTGCTAGGTTTTCTGTTACAGCATAACCCAATCCAGACTGTTATTGTTACAAAAAAAAAAAAAAATAAATTTAAGAAAACTTACATGTAGTGGATAATTTGGCATCTTTCTCCACAATATATTTAAGCTTAAGGTTAGAAAATTTTAAATTATATTTTTTTCTGTTTAGATCTGAAAAAGAAATTATGGAGCTGTAATACTGGTAGTCATGAATAAAGTTTGACAAGAAAAATAATATCCTAGAAGTGAAATAGAGTTACAGTTTTCTTCCAGAAAATCCAGGCAAATAGCAACCCATAATATGGACAGATTTAAAGGTTTTATAACCCCCTTCACCAAAGATGCTTAGAGGTGGCTGATGTTCCAAGTAAACTTGAAACAGAAAGCAAATCACGCAAGCTTGTTTCAAATATAAAAGTTAATACTTTTTTCCAATACATGCTTCTCAAAGAAAATAAGCAGAAAAAAAAATTTCTACCATGAAAAGCTGCACATAATTTGAGTTCCAAGTGTTTTTTTTTCTTGAAGATAAATCTTGCTTTTTATATAACTTGGATCATAAGATTATTCAAGTGTGTATTTTATTTAAGTTAGTGACTTACACATTGTTTATGTTACCACAAAATTTTCATAAACATAGTTTTTCATCAGAACATGGAAAATTATTTATTTGCTCATTCCCTATTTTTGGATGTTTAAGGTGTTTTGAATTTTATCAAGTCATAAAAAGCACTGCTAATTATATGCACAGCATTTTCCCTGCAAAAAAAATTTTAAAAAATTTTTCTAGATCAACGAGACAGAAAGTCAACAAGGATACACAGGAATTGAACTCAGCTCTGCACCAAGCGGACCTAATAGATGTCTGCAGAACTCTCCACCCCAAATCAACAGAATATACATTTTTTTCAGCACCACACCACACCTATTCCAAAATTGACCACATACATGGAAGTAAAACTCTCCTCAGCAAATGTAAAAGAACAGAAATTATAACAAAATATCTCTCAGACCACAGTGCAATCAAACTAGAACTCAGAATTAAGAATCTCACTCAAAACCGCTCAACTACATGGAAACTGAACAACCTGCTCCTGAATGACTAGTTGGTACATAACGAAATGAAGGCAGAAATAAAGATGTTCTTTGAAACCAACGAGAACAAAGACACAACATACCAGGATCTCTGGGACACATTCAAAGCAGTGTGTAGAGGGAAATTTATAGCACTAAATGCCCACAAGAGAAAGCAGGAAAGATCCAAAATTGACACCCTAACATCACAATTAAAAGAACTAGAAAAGCAAGAGCAAACACATTCAAAAGCTAGCAGAAGGCAAGAAATAACTAAAATCAGAGCAGAACTGAAGGAAATAGAGACACAAAAAACCCTTCAAAAAATTAATGAATCCAAGAGCTGGTTTTTTGAAAGGATCAACAAAATTGATAGACCGCTAGCAAGACTAATAAAGAAAAAAAGAGAGAAGAATCAAATAGACACAATAAAAAATGATAAAGGGGATATGACCACTGATCCCACAGAAATACAAACTACCATCAGAGAATACTACAAACACCTCTATGCAAAAAAACTAGAAAATCTAGAAGAAATGGATAAATTCCTCAACACATACATTCTCCCAAGACTAAACCAGGAAGAAGTTGAATCTCTGAATAGACCAATAACAGGAGCTGAAATTGTGGCAATAATCAATAGCTTACCAATCAAAAAGAGTCCAGGACCAGATGGATTCACAGCCAAATTCTCCCAGAGGTACAAGGAGGAACTGGTACCATTCCTTCTGGAACTATTCCAATCAATAGAAAAAGGGGGAATTCTCCCTAACTCATTTTATGAGGCCAGCATCATTCTGATACCAAAGCCAGGCAGAGATACAACCAAAAAAGAGAATTTTAGACCAATATCCTTGATGAACATTGATGCAAAAATCCTCAATAAAATACTGGCAAAATGAATCCAGCAGCACATCAAAAAGCTTATCCACCATGATCAAGTGGGCTTCATCCCTGGGATGCAAGGCTGGTTCAATATACACAAATCAATAAATGTAATCCAGCATATAAACAGACCCAAAGACAAAAACCACATAATTATCTCAATAGATGCAGAAAAGGCCTTTGACAAAATTCAACCACCCTTCATGCTAAAAACTCTCAATAAATTAGGTATTGATGGGACATATCTCAAAATAATAAGAGCTATCTATGACAAACCCACAGCCAATATCATACTGAATGGGCAAAAACTGGAAGCATTCCCTTTGAAAACTGGCACAAGACAGGGATGCCCTCTCTCACCATTCCTATTCAACATAGTGTTGGAAGTTCTAGCCAGGGCAATTAGGCAGGAGAAGGAAATAAAGGGTATTCAATTAGGAAAGGAGGAAGTCAAACTGTCCCTCTTTGCAGACGACATGATTGTATATCTGAAAAACCCCATTGTCTCAGCCCAAAATCTCCTTAAGCTGATAAGCAACTTCAGCAAAGTTTCAGGATACAAAAATCAATGTACAAAAATCACAAGCATTCTTATACACCAACAACAGACAAACAGAGAAGCAAATCATGAGTGAACTCCCATTCACAATTGCTTCAAAGAGAATAAAATACCTAGGAATCCAACTTACAAGGGATGTGAAGGACCTCTTCAATGAGAACTACAAACCACTGCTCAAGGAAATAAAAGAGGATACAAACAAATGGAAGAACATTCCATGCTCATGGGTAGGAAGAATCAATATCGTGAAAATGGCCTTACTGCCCAAGGTAATTTATAGATTCAATGCCATCCCCATCAAGCTACCAATGACTTTCTTCACAGAATTGGAAAAAACTACCTTAAAGTTCATATGGAACCAAAAAAGAGCCCACTTTGCCAAGTCAATCCTAAGCCAAAAGAACAAAGCTGGAGGCATCACGCTACCTGACTTCAAACTATACTACAAGGCTACAGTAACCAAAACAGCATGGTACTGGTACCAAAACAGAGATATAGATCAGAACAGAGCCCTCGGAAATAACACCGCATATCTACAACTATCTGATCTTTGACAAACCTGAGAAAAACAAGCAATGGGGAAAGGATTCCCTATTTAATAAATGGTGCTGGGAAAACTGGCTAGCCATATGTAAAAAGCTGAAACTGGATCCCTTCCTTACACCTTATACAAAAATCAATTCAAGATGGATTAAAGACTTAAATGTTAGGCCTAAAACCATAAAAACCCTAGAAGAAAACCTAGGCAATACCATTCAGGACATAGGCATGGGCAAGGACTTCATGTCTAAAACACCAAAAGCAATGGCAACAAAAGACAAAATTGACAAATGGGGTCTAATTAAACTAAAGAGCTTCTGCACAGCAAAAGAAACTACCATCAGAGTGAATAGGCAACCTACAAAACGGGAGAAAATTTTTGCAACCTACTCATCTGACAAAGAGCTAATATCCAGAATCTACAATGAACTCAAACAAATTTACAAGAAAAAAACAAACAACCCCATCAAAAAGTGGGTGAAGGACATGAACAGACACTTCTCAAAAGAAGACATTTATGCAGCCAAAAAGCACATGAAAAAATGCTCATCATCACTGGCCATCAGAGAAATGGAAATCAAAACCACAATGAGATACCATCTCACACCAGTTAGAATGGCAATCATTAAAAAGTCAGGAAACAACAGGTGCTGGAGAGGATGTGGAGAAATAGGAACACTTTTACACTGTTGGTGGGACTGTAAACTAGTTCAACCATTGTGGAAGTCAGTGTGGTGATTCCTCAGGGATCTAGAACTAGAAATACCATTTGACCCAGCCATCCCATTACTGGGTATATACCGAAAGGACTATAAATCATGCTGCTATAAAGACACATGCACATGTATGTTTATTGCGGCATTATTCACAATAGCAAAGACTTGGAACCAACCCAAATGTCCAACAATGATAGACTGGATTAAGAAAATGTGGCACATATACACCATGGAATACTATGCAGCCATAAAAAATGATGAGTTCATGTCCTTTGTAGGGACATGGATGAAATTGGAAATCATCACTCTCAGTAAACTATCGCAAGAACAAAAAACCAAACACTGCATATTCTCACTCATAGGTGGGAATTGAACAATGAGATCACATGGACACAGGAAGGGGAACATCACACTCTGGGGACTGTTGTGGGGTGGGGGGAGGGGGGAAGGATAGCATTGGGAGATATACATAATGCTAGATGACGAGTTAGTGGGTGCAGTGCACCAACATGGCACATATATACATATGTAACTAACCTGCACAATGTGCACATGTACCCTAAAACTTAAAGTATAATAAAGAAAAAAAAGAAAAAAAAAAGAATCTTAAAAAAAAATTTTTTCTCCAGTGAAATTATTTAACTGTTTAAAATTAATTCCTTTAGACTAGATTTTGGAAAAAGGATTGTTGGGTTGAAGGTTTTGAACATTGTTTAGATGTTTGATGCATATTGTCAAATTGCCAATAAGGAAGGTTGTATTGTTTGACCTACTATACTATAGCATTCCAGAGTGTCTGTTTTGTGACCTGTGATCTAGTATTATTTACTTTTTCTTTTTTTAAATTTGCATTTTTTCATTTTTCACTAATCAAAAGAAAGCTAGAAATATTATTTATTTTTAAAGAAAATATTGCTAATTATATTATGCTATATTACTTTACTATTTATTTTAATTTACTTTAAATATTTATGATAAGTTTTAATCACAAAAGTAATACATGCTTATTTTAAAATTTTACATAAATACAGAAGTAAGTAAAAGAACTATTTTTCCAAACACCAGACTTCAGTGCAATCAAAAGGATAAACAATATTCAAAACTGTTCAATTTATGGCACACAGAGATAAGAAAACAAGAAGACATTTGGGGACATCTTTATGATGAAAAAAGTATTTTATTTTATATGCCATAATTATAAGATTAACAAAGTATTAGATAAGACATTAAATATTAAATTTGTATACTTCTAATAAAGTGTTTTCAGAAATTAGGAGAAGGAATTTGAGGTTGTTTCCGCAAGTAAAGTTTTCTAATATCAGTTTCTATGCTTGAAACTGCAACATGCAATTTCTGATCAAGACATCTTAGGGATGTTTCCTTTACAGTTTTGATAGTTGTCATGAATATAAAAATGGCCAGGCATGGTGGCTCATGCCTGTAATCCCAGCACTTTGGGAGGCTGGGCTGGAAGGGTCACTTAAGCCAAGGAGTATGAGACCAGCCTGGGCAACATAGGGAGACCCCGTTTCTACAAAAATAAAAATAAAAAACTAGCCAGGCATGGTGGCATGTGCCTGTGGTCCCAGCTACTTGTGAGGCTGAGGCAGGAGGATCACTTGAGCCTGGGAGGCCAAGGTAGTGGGTGAGCTGTGATCATGCCCCTGTACTCCAGCTTGGGTGACAGAGTGAGAGAGACCCTGTCTCTGAAACAAAACAAAACAAACCATTCTGACAAGGTAGTTGATAAAAATTGTTGACGAAAAGAGTCAAACTGTAAAATATTTGCAGAGATTTATTGTGAGCCAAATGTGATGACCATGACCTATAACACAGCCCCAGAAGGTCCTGAGAACATGTGCCCAAGGTAGTTGGTTTATGGCTTGATTTTATACATTAAAGTTACAGGCAAACATCAATCAATATGTATAAGGAGGTGTACAGTGTTTCTCTGCAGAAACATGGGATAACTTGAAGTGGGAGCTTTCAGGTCACAGGTAGATTCAAAGATTTTCTGATTAGCAATTGATTGGAAGAGTTATTATCTAAAGCCTGGAATCAATAGAAAGGAGTGTTTGGGTTAAGATAAGAAGTTGTGGACACCAAGATTTTTATTATGCAGATGGAGACCCCAGGTACCAGGCTTCAAAGCTCTTATCAGACCTAAAAAGGTTCCATACTTTTAATTAATTCTCTCCTGGATCAGGGAAAAGACATGGAAAGGGAAGACGATTCTCTACAGAATGTGGATTTTCCACACAAGAGACAGCTTTGCAGGGCCATGCCATTTAAGAACATGTCAAAGAAATATATTTTGGGGAAAATAATTTCAATTTCTTTCAGGACCTACTATCTGTCATGAATCACCATACTAGAATCAGGTTTGAATTTGGTATCTTACTGTTACAAAGGGTCTGTTTCTGTGTTAAGATCTCTGTTTTAATGGTAGTGCTGGTCAATTGCATCTGAATTCCAAAGGGAGGAAGTTATAATGACACATGTCTAACCTACCTCTTCCGGTCATGGTCTGAACTAGTTTTTCAGGTTTACTTTGGAATGCCAGTGGCCGAGAGGGGAGTCCATCAGTAGGTTGGGGGCCTTAGAATTTTATTTTTGGTTTATGAAACTTAAAAATCTAACAGTTTCTTTTTTTTTCATTGACAAGTGTAATGTTACAATTTATTGTGATAATGAGCATGGATTTCATAACTATTTCAATGTTTTTCATGTTGAATATTTCAAAATGATAATTGTTAAAAGAATCTAATTGGGAGGCCATTAGACCAAGGTGGCTTTGGCACTCTAAATTCCTATGTGAACCAACCAGAGTCCAGTGTAATCAGTAAATCGAAACTAGAAACAGCACCAATCAGAAACCACCAACTAATTTCTAACCCATCAAAATTATTTTCTTTGTCTTGCTTCTGCAAAAACTTTATAAAGTTTCTGTCAGGCCTCTGAGCCCAAGCCAAGCCATCGCATCCCCTGTGACTTGCACGTATATGCACAGATGGCCTGAAGTAACTGAAGAATCACAAAAGAAGTGAATATGCCCTGCCCCACCTTAACTGATGACATTCCACCACAAAAGAAGGGTAAATGGCCGGTCCTTGCCTTAAGTGATGACATTACCTTGTGAAAGTCCTTTTCCTGGCTCAAAAAGCACCCCCACTGAGCAACTTTCGACCCCCACTCCTGCCCACCAGAGAACAAACCCCCTTTGACTGTAATTTTCCTTTACCTACCCAAATCCTATAAAACAGCCCCACCCTTATCTCCCTTTGTTGACTCTCTTTTCGGACTCAGCCGCCTGCACCCAGGTGAAATAAACAGCCATGTTGCTCACACAAACCCTGTTTGGTGGTCTCTTCACACAGACGCACATGAAATTTGGTGCCGTGACTCGGATCGGGGGACCTCCCTTGGGAGATCAATCCCCAGTCCTCCTGTTCTTTGCTCCATGAGAAAGATCCACCTAGGACCTCAGGTCCTCAGACCGACCAGCCCAAGAAACATCTCACCAATTTCAAATCAGGTAAGCGGCCTCTTCTTACTCTCTTCTCCAACCTCTCTCACTGTCCCTCAACCACTTTCTCCTTTCCACTCTTCAATCTCTCCCTTCTCTTAATTTCAATTCCTTTCATTTTCTGGGAGAGACAAAGGAGACACATTTTATCCGGGGACCCAAAACTCCGGGGCCAGTCACGGACTGGGAAGGCAGCCTTCCCTTGGTGTTTAATGATTGCAGGGATGCCTCTCTGATTATACACTCACGTTTCAAGGGTGTCAGACCACGCAGGGATGCCTGCCTTGGTCCTTCACCCTTAGCGGCAAGTCCCGCTTTTCTGGGGCAGGGGCAAGTACCCCTCAACCCCTTCTCCTTCACCCTTAGTGGCAAGTCCCACTTTTCTATGGGGCAAGAACCCTCAATCCCTTATTTCCACACCCCAACCTCTTATCTCTGTGCCCCAATCCCTTATTTCCACACCCCAACCTCATATCTCTGTGCCCCAATCCCTTATTTCCGTGCCCCAACCTCATATCTCTGTGCCCCAATCCCTCATTTCTGCACCCCAATCCCTTATTTCCATGCTCCGACCTCTTATCTCTGTGCCCCAACCCCTTTTCCCACTTTTTTGGAAGGTAAGAACCCCCAAACCCCTTCCCTCCGTTTCTCTACTCTCTCTTTTCTCTAGGCTTGCTTCCTTCACTATGGGCAACCTTCCACCCTCCATTCCTCCTTCTACTCCCTTGGCCTGTGTTCTCAAAAACTTATAACCTCTTCAACTCACACCTGACCTAAAACCTAAATGCCTTATTTTCTTCTGCAATGCCGCCTGACCCCAATACAAACTCGACAGTAGTTCCAAATAGCCAGAAAATGGCACTTTGAATTTTTCCATCCTACAAGATCTAAATAATTCTTGTCATAAAATAGGCAAACGGTCTGAGGTGCCTGACATCCAGGCATTCTTTTACACAACAGGGCCTTCCTAGTCTCTGTGCCCAGTGCAACTCATCCCAAATCTTCCTTCTTTCCCTCCTGCCTGTCCCCTCAGTACCAACCCCAAGTGTCTCTGAGTCTTTCTAATCTTCCTTTTCTACAGACCCATCTGACCTCTCCCTTCCTCCCCAGGCTGCTCCTCGCCAGGCCGAGCTAGGTCCCTATTCTTCCTCAGCCTCTGCTCCTCCACCCTAGAATCTTTTTATCATTGCCCCTTCTCACACCTGGTCCGGCTTACAGTTTCGTTCCATGACTAGCCCTCCCCCTCCTGCCCAGCAATTTACTCTTAAAAAGGTGGCTAGAGCTAAAGGCACAGTCAAGGTTAATGCTCCTTTTTCTTTATCCCAAACCAGATAGCGTTTAGGCTCTTTTTCATCAAATATAAAAATCCAGCCCAGTTCATGACTTGTTTGGCAGCAACCCTGAGACACTTTACAGCCCTAGACCCTAAAAGGTCAAAAGGCCGTCTTATTCTCAAAACACATTTTATTACCCAATCTGCTCCCGACATTAAATAAAACTCCAAAAATTAAATTCCGGCCCTCAAACCCCACAACAGGATTTAATTAACCTCACCTTCAAGGTGTACAATAACAGAAAAAAGTTGCAACTCCTTGCCTCCACTGTGAGACAAACCCCAGCCACATCTCCAGCACACAAGAACTTCCAAACACCTGAACCGCAGTGGCCAGGCATTCCTCCAGAACCTCCTCCCACAGGAGCTTGCTACACGTGCCAGAAATCTGGCCACTGGGCCAGGGAATGCCCGCAGCCTGAGATTCCTCCTAAGCTGCGTCCCATCTGTGTGGGACCCCACTGAAAATGGACTGTTCAACTCACCTGGCAGCCACTCCCAGAGCCCTGGAACTCTCGCCCAAGGCTCTCTGACTGACTCCTTCCCAGATCTTCTCGGCTTAGCGGCTGAAGACTGACACTGCCTGATCACCTCAGAAGCCCCCAGACCATCACGGACGCTGAGCTTCAGGTAACTCTCACAGTGGAAGATAAGCCCATCCCCTTCTTAATCAGTACGGAGGCTACCCACTCCACATTACCTTCTTTTCAAGGGCCTGTTTCCCTTGCCTCCATAACTGTTGTGAGTGTTGACGGCCAGGCTTCTAAACCTCTTAAAACTCCCCAACTCTGGTGCCAGCTTAGACAATACTCTTTTAAGCACTCCTTTTTAGTTATCCCCACCTGCCCAGTTCCCTTATTAGGCTGAGACACTTTAACTAAATTATCTGCTTCCCTGACTATTCCTGGACTACAGCTATATCTCATTGCCACCCTTCTTCCCAATCCAAAGCCTCTTTGCGTCCTCCTCTTGTATCCCCCTACCTTAACCCACAAGTATAAGATACCTCTACTCCCTCCTTGGTGACCGATCATGCACCCCTTACCATCTCATTGAAACCTAATCACCCTTACCCCACTCAACACCAATATCCCATCCCACAGCATGCTTTAAAAAGATTGAAGCCTGTTATCACTCGCCTGCTACAGCATGGCCTTTTAAAGCCTATAAACTCTCCTTACAATTCCCCCATTTTACCTGTCCTAAAACCAGACACGCCTTAGAAGTTAGTTCAGGATCTGCGCCTTATCAACCAAATTGTTTTGCCTATCCACCCTGTGGTGCCAAACCCATATACTCTCCTATCCTCAATACCTGCCTCTACAACCCATTATTCTGTTCTGGATCTCAAACATGCTTTCTTTACTATTCCTTTTCACCCTTCATCCCAGCCTCTCTTCGCTTTCACTTGGACTGACCCCGACACTCATCAAGCTCAGCAAATTACCTAGGCTGTACTGCAGCAAAGCTTCACAGACAGCCCCCATTGCTTCAATCAAGCCCAAATTTCTTCCTCATCTGTTACCTATCTCGGCATAATTCTCATAAAAACACACGTGCTGTCCCTGCCAATCGTGTCCGACTGATCTCTCAAATCCAAGCTCCTTCTACAAAACAACAACTTCTTTCCTTCGTAGGCATGGTTAGTGCGGTCAGAATTCTTACACAAGAGCCAGGACCATACCCTGTAGCCTTTCTGTCCAACTTGACCTTACTGTTTTAGCCTAGCCCTCATGTCTGCGTGCAGCGGCTGCCGCTGCTTTAATACTTTTAGAGGCCCTCAAAATCACAAACTATGCTCAACTCACTCTCTACAGTTCTCATAACTTCAAAAATCTATTTTCTTCCTCATACCTGATGCATATACTTTCTGCTTCCCGGCTCCTTCAGCTGTACTCACTCTTTGTTGAGTCTCCCACAATTACCGTTGTTCCTGGCCCAGACTTCAATCCAGCCTCCCACATTATTCCTGATACCACACCTGACCCCCATGACTGTATCTCTCTGATCCACCTGACATTCACCCCATTTCCCCAGATTTCCTTCTTTCCTGTTCCTCACCCTGATCACGCTTGATTTATTGATGATGGTTCCACCGAGCCTAATCGCTGCACACCAGCAAAGGCAGGTTATGCTATAGTACAAGCCACTAGCCTGCCGCTTAGAACCTCTCATTTCCTTTCCATCATGGAAATCTATCCTCAAGGAAATAACTTCTCAGTGTTCCATCTGCTATTCTGCTACTCCTCAGGGATTATTCAGGCCCCCTCCCTTCCCTACACATCAAGTTCAAGGATTTGCCCCCACCCAGGACTGGCAAATTAGCTTTACTCAACATGCCCGAGTCTGGAAACTAAAATACCTCTTAGTCTAAATAGACACTTTCACTGAATAAGTAAAGGCCTTTCCTACAGGGTCTGAGAAGGCCACCGCAGTCATTTCTTCCCTTCTGTCAGACATAATTCCTCAGTTTAGCCTTCCCACCTCAATACAGTCTGATAACAGATGAGCCTTTATTAGTCAAATCAGCCAAGCAGTTTTTCAGGCTCTTAGTATTCAGTGAAACCTTTATATCCCTTACAGTCCTCCATCTTCAAGAAAAGTAGAATGGACTAAAGGTCTTTTAAAAACACACCTCACCAAGCTCAGCCACCAACTTAAAAAGGACTGAACAATACTTTTACCACTTTTCCTTCTCAGAATTCAGGCCTGTCCTCGGAATGCTACAGGGTACAGCCCATTTAAGCTCCTGTATAGACTCTCCTTTTTGTTAGGCCCCAGTCTCATTCCAGACACCAGACCAACTTAGACTGTGCCCCCAAAAAAACTTGTCATCCCTACTATCTTCTGTCTAGTCATACTCCTATTCACCATTCTCAACTACTCATACATGTCCTGCTCTTGTTTACACTGCCGGTTTACACTGTTTTTCCAAGCCATCACAGCTGATATCTCCTGGTGCTATCCCCAAACTGCCACTCTTAACTCTTGAAGTAAATAAATAATCTTTGCTGGCAGGACTATGCTGAATCTCCTTAGGCACTCTCTAGTCAGCTATCCTGAGTCGTCCCAATTCTTAGACCTTTTATACCTGTTTTTCTCCTTCTGTTATTCCATTTAGTTTTTCAATTCATACAAAACTGTATCCAGGCCATCACCAATCATTCTATACGACAAATGTTTCTTCTAACATCCCCGCAATATCACCCCTTACCACAAGACCTCCCTTCAGCTTAATCTCTCCCACTCTAGGTTCCCACGCCGCCCCAATCCCGCTTGAAGCAGCCCTGAGAAACATCGCCCACTCTCTCTCCATACCACCCCCCAAAAAATTTTCACCGCCCCAGCACTTCAACACTATTTTATTTTTCTTATTAATATAAGAAGGCAGGAATGTCAAGCCTCTGAGCCCAAGCCAAGCCATCGCATCCCCTGTGACTTGCACGTATATGCCCAGATGGCCTGAAGTAACTGAAGAATCACAAAAGAAGTGAATATGCCCTGCCCCACCTTAACTGATGACATCCCACCACAAAAGAAGGGTAAATGGCCAGTCCTTGCCTTAAGTGATGACATTACTTTGTGAAAGTCCTTTTCCTGGCTCATCCTGGCTCAAAAAGCACCCCCACTGAGCACCTTTCGACCCCCACTCCTGCCCGCCAGAGAACAAACCCCCTTTGACTGTAATTTTCCTTTACCTACCCAAATCCTATAAAACGGCCCCACCCTTATCTCCCTTTGTTGACTCTCTTTTCGGACTCAGCCCGCCTGCACCCAGGTGAAATAAACAGCCATGTTGCTCACACAAACCCTGTTTGGTGGTCTCTTCACACGGACGCGCATGAAAGTTTCCCCTCTTGCCTTTCTTGATGGAGTGATAGCCCCTTGTGGTCTGGTGCTGCCCCAATTCTTGAATCTCTGAATGCTCCGATAAACTCTCTAAAATTGAAATGTACTTAAGTTTTTCTTTCATCATAAGGAAGTGCTATTCTGCAGCACGCACATGCAAAGCAAGAACAGTTGCTACCAGGTAGTTAAGACGGAAATGAGCATAAGACTATGTAAAGGCAGAGATTTGGGGCCACCTTCTAGAGCTGTGCCCACAAGAGGCCCCTAACTGATAACTGCCCACTCTGATTCTCTGAATGAGCTACATTATTGCGTGTATGCTGCACTCCTCTGGGCACCTGGAACCTCTTAGCCACCAAGGCAGCAGCACATTGTTTAAAGCATCTCCTAGCCTTCACTCAGTGGCTTCCGGCAGAGTGGTGATGCCAGACATCACTTACAGTGCTCACTGTCTGTGGGGAACAGAGGGTCCCATCAGACACACGTCTGTTTCAGCCAGTTTCTGAGAAGCCCACAGAGAGGACAGTGACAATGTTCTGGGACTCTGGTTGCTTCAGGTGTTGCCTGGGCTCTCAGAAGTCTAAGAAGATCATTATTTCCTGGTAAACTTTTAATGCATTTGAAATATACCAGTTCATCCTAGCACGTTAACTGAGGAGATGTGTGCTTCTCAAATTTTAGGGTGCAAAAGCATCACCTGGAGAGCTGATTAAAACAGATTCATGGACACCTCCCCAGAGATTTGGATTCAGTTGGTCTGGGGTGGGGCCCAAAAACTTGCATTTCTAACAAGCTCTTAGTCCTTGCTGATCCAGAATTACACTTGCAGTAGCCCTGTCCTACAGGATAGTTTAAATATTTGAGACTTATTAAAGGAGTTATTTAATAATAAATGTAAAGTACTTAGAGCTATGCCTGGCATATGATAATCACTTAACAGATGTTGAGTTTCAACATTTGCTATTTTGTGGTTTGTCTGGGTTGGAGAGCAGAACCTTTATGTAATTCCTTTAATTGGTAAGGCTTTAAGCAAGCATTTTCTTGTTTTCCCCAGCTATCATTCCCAGGTTTGTGAAAATAATCAGATATTTTAGTATAATACTGTTGTTATTTTTTCTATTATACCTCTTTTCATAGCCTTTCATTTATTATTACATTATATGTTGTTATACATGACAAATTATTTTAAAATTGAACTATAAGATTTTCTGATTTAAAAATGGCTTATCACTTTTGTATCCTACATGTTCCCTTTTCTTCAGCTGTTTTTTTCAGAAGAACTTTTATTTGGTTTCAGTTTCTCCAACAGTTATTTTTTTCAAATGTTGTATAATTGTTATACATTCTGCATCCTTGCATGTCTAAAACAGTTTTCCATTTGCCTTTGTTAAATAAAATTTACAGGAGGCTATTGATTTAGACTGAGCTCCTGCATTGTGCCCTAATAGATCAAACCAAAATGGAGTTGTCAGAGGCATTTAAACCAGAGTGACTCCATCTTGTATAGAGGTTGGGTAAAATAAGGATGGAACTTACTGAGCTGCATTCCCAGGAGGTTAAGGCATTCTTAGTCACAGCATGAGATAAGAGGTTGGCAGGAGATACAGGTCATAAAGACCTGGCAGATAAAATAGGTTACAGTAAAGAAGCTGGTCAAAACTCACCAAAACCAAGATGGCAAGGAGTGTGACTTCTGGGCATCCTCACAGCTCATTATATGCTAATTATAATTCATTAGCATGCTGAAAGACACTCCCACTAGTGCCATGAAAGTTTACAAACGTCATGGCAATGTCAGGAAATTACACTATTTGGTCTAAAAAGGGGATGAACCCGTAGTTCCAGGAATTGTCCACTCCTTTCCCAGAAAACTCATGAATAATCCATCCCTTGCTTAGCATATAATCAAGAAATAACCATAAAAATGGGCAACCAGTAGCCCTCTCTGAAGGTTTGCTGAAAATCAACTCACAAGGCAGATCAATAGGAGAAAAGGCATGCAAAAGTTATTTTAACGTGTATAGCCTGGGGGAACTGCAGGAGAATGATTACCCAATAACCCAATGGGACACAGAAACTTATATACCCTTTTCATAGGAGGGGAGGGAGATGGGGAATGTAGACAATTCTTTTGAGGGGTAGCAAATGATTATTAGGGGAAGCAAATGGACAGAACTTAACTTGTAAATGATTCTTTTTGGAATTTGAATGAACCTGAGAGATTGTTATTTTCTTATGAAAAAGTCCTTCCAGGTGAGGTTGCATTCCTGTCTCCTTTTTTTGTGATCTGTAATGAGATTTCAGGAAGGAGAAGAAAGGCAATTGCATTGTTTTTGGAAAGAAGCTTTCCGGGACAGATAAGAAAATCCCAGAGACAGCCCCTTCCTGCAATGCAGGTGTGTGTCTGGGGGTAAGACAAGGTTGGAGGGACCTTGATTCTGAGGCAGCTTCTAGGCCACTCAGCATATCAAAGTGCCAGTCTTTGGGGCAACACTTCCTGACCCCCAATACTTGATTCATGAATTGTTCTTTGCTAAAATAAATTCTATTAAATTTATTTTGCCTAAAGCTTTTATTTTAAAATAATTTTTCTATATGCCACAGGTTTGGTTGGCTATACAATTCCTGGGTTTCAATAGTTATGCTTTAAGAAACTCTAAACAGGCTGGGATCGGTGGCTCACTCCTGTAATCCCAGCACTTTGGGAGGCCGAGGTGGGTGGATCACCCGAGTTCAGGAGTTCTAGACCAGCCTGGCCAACATGGTGAAACACCGTCTCTACTAAAAATAAAAAAATTAGCTGGGTGTGGTGGCAGGCACCTGTAATCCCAGCTACTCAGGGGGCCAAGGCAGGAGAATCACTTGAACCCAGGACACAGAGGTTGCAGTGAGCTGAGATCGCACCATTGCACTACAGCCTAGGGGACAAGAGGGAGACTTTGTCAAAAAAAAAAAAGAAGAAGAAGAAAGAAACTCTAAACATTATTTCACTGTTTTCTAGTTCCAGTGTAGCAAAAATGAGATTTGCTTTTATTTCTGCTCTTTTTTATTTTGGGGTATAGCTTCCACCCCACTTCTGCTTTTTAATCTAAACTCCTATGAGTATTGGAGCTATCAGATCAATTCTCCATGTTTCCTATCTTTTTCATGATAATTTTTACTTCTCATTAATTTTACGTGAATTTCAATCAAATTCATTCTGTGAATTTCTAACTCATCATTTGGTATTCAGTGTTATCTATTTTGTTACTCCATTTCTCCACAGAGTTATTTTTAAAACCATTTTAAGATTTCCCCTATATTGTTTTAAAATTGATCTCTTTTTTTTTGAGAATATGCTCTTTTAAAAATCATTGAGTCTCTCTACAATGATAATGCATATTTTCAAGTTTTCTTCTCTTTCTTGCATTTAATCTGTTTCAGTCTAGGAATATTTGCTCCGGTCCCTTGCATTGATATGTCAACGGAAAGAAGAAAAAAAATCGAGGCAAACAATGTAAGTAGAGAGTTCATTTGGACTAAGCTTGAACACTGCAACGCAAGAGCGTAGATGCAAGTTAACCTGAATATACACCCCTATGAGCAGCAGTTACAAGTGGGTTTTAAAGGAAACAAAGAGGCAGTTCCCAAGTTGTTTACCAAGAATTTACATTAAAATAACATAAGCTATTGATTGGTTATACACTGTTCTTTGTATCACAAACTCCAGGAACATGAAGATAATGGGCAAAGCAGCTAGTCAGGAACAAAATGTCTTTAAACAGTTGGCCCTGGGTATGGGTGTGAGAGGTGTGATTGAGGTCCCATAACCATACTCATGTCTCTCTGGGCCTGACAAATTTTGTATGCTTCACATAACTTAGATGGCTCTGAGCAATTTTTTTTCTCATTTCCCACCTGTTGATCAAAAATCTTTCCATGGAAACATTAATGATCAATTTCTGCTTAGGTTAGAGTGATCAATATCCTTCCTCCTTCAGTTTGAGAAGGCTCATGATGGTGCTGTCTCACATGGGAAGGAGAGGTGAGGAAATGTTACAATGAGGAATTTTAAGACTGTCAAAAGCCAAATTGAGATGGCATCACAGGTGGCAAAAATGGCACCTCAGTCAAGTATGTAGTTGCTGTTGCTTGTTGAATCATTGTTAGTCTTCAGAATATCATGAGTTTAGTCTTTGTGGAAGAAGTAAAACAAGAGATATATGTAATGCATATAGGAATTATAATCAAAAAAAGAATTTGTATATCAGAACAACAACAACAAAACCTATTCTACTGGGGAGTCAACTAAAAATATCATGAAGGAAATTAAATCCAATTTCTTCTTTGGAGGATTGTTAGAGCTGGGACATTATTCAGAATTCAGTCCAAATTGTAGACAAATAGTAAAAACTAAAAAACAACTAAAAAACAATGGTCAGGGCTAGAATCTTATAAGAAGGATGGTATAGTTTCCTTCTAAAACAATTTTTTTCTCTCCCCAGTTCCCCATTCCTACCAAATATAAATGTTAGTAGGACAAATTTATTGGCTAAATAAGTTTTAGTATTATACTTGGCCTGATTATTTGCAAAATGTGCAACAAGAAGAATGATTGGCCATATAGGCTCTTTTCCATTGACTTTGCAGAATTTTTAATAAGAAATCTCAGATTACACTTTTAAAACCTCTAAAGACTAGTAAGCCAAGCCAGGGATTCACTGTGGGACTGCTTGTAACATATGTAAAAATTGAGTGAATTCCTATCTTCTCAATGACCCAAAATATCTTGTGGTTCCTGGGTGCATCAGAAAATGACAGTCTTTACTTACCGCAAGCTGAGGAACCTTGTAAGAGAACCGTGTGGGCAAGGCATGAGGCCAGTCTTTCCCATGTCTATTGGCTTTATAAAGTCAGCCTCAATTCCTCAAAGCAGTTTGGTCACATTCAAAAATGTAACATTCCAGCCAAAGCCTTGGTAAAATAACCGGTGTATCCAATGTGTTCTGTTACAAAAGAAAACAGATTCTTATTGATCTTATGCAAATAACTATATTGCCACAAAATACAAATACTCATGAATAGTTTCCAAATTTTAGAGAAATCAGGTAGGGAGAAATGCAGATGTTTTAATTTTGCTCACAAAAGGTTACCCAGTTGCTGTAAGCTATAATTAGCTAAAAAGAGACATTTTCTTGACTCTGGAAAACAAAACATAAAATAATCAGCAATGTTTCAAAGAGAAAAGTTAAAGAAAGCATTTCCACCCTCTGTCAGGCTAGCCCCATGTATTTAATTATTATTCAGCTGGATGTTAGGTTAGTAATATTCATGAATGCATTCATTTTTTAAATTAGAGTTCTGAAAGTTTTCACTCAGTCCAATGATATGATGGGTGGAATCTAGCCACTGGGAGTATTTCCTTTCTGTGTGTGCTGCCAGTAGATGGAAGTGCAACAAAAGCCTGGCTGCCTCCCCGCACCCCCAGCAGAGCTGCCTACCTGCACCCCCAGGAGAGCTGCCTCCCTGCACTCCCGGCAGAGCTGCCCGGGCTTCTGAGTGTAAAAATAAAATAGAGGTTCCTCTTCAAAGAGACTTTCCTCCCCGTCTAATTAGGAATAAATAGTAACTTCTCTCAGAAACAAAATTTATTCAAAGACCTGTGCTAACATTCTTAGATATCTGCTAGCTATAATAAAGAAATCAATGTACTTTGTGTTCTTAGCTCCCACAATTTAGCCTAAATATTTGCCCTGGCATGCTTACACTGGTCCAAGCAAGTATTAAGTCATAGTCTGTTCCTCTTCCTTATTTGGAGGTGTTTTTACCTTTCTCAGCATTCCACAAGTTACTTCCTCCTTTGTTCTCCTCTGCCTTTGCCTCTTTTAAAAAGTTCTAAGTTGCTGGCTAATCAGGACAAATACAGAATGTGAGGTGCAGGGAGCTGAAGGCCCCTGGGAAGTGACCAACTCAGCATTTCGCTGGAGGCTATAGGATCAAACAGCAAACTGTTTATCATGAATGCAGGATGTGGGCAAACTCACACTGCCCTGCCACCAAAAGGTTTGTTGAGGGCCTCACTCCCTGGCGCTGGGCTCCTTGAAGTTATCTATTGAGAAGTCTAGCACCTAAGAATGCAGTCTTGCAAGCCTGCTGCGAATCAAGCTGCTGGCCAACAACCACTCCCCACCTTCTCACTATCTCTATTGCCTAATAAATATGGAGGGCAGTGTAAAGCTCAGGGCCCTTGTCCACTAGAGACAAGGTGCCCTCCGACCCCTTCTTCCAAATATACTCTTTTGCCTCTTGTCTTTTATTCCCGTGTTTGCCCCCTTTGTTCAGTCCCCCTAGGTCCATGCAGGTTACATAGTGGTGCCCCAAACAGTGACACAATTGGGTTCTCAACAAGTGGTGACTCAGAACAGGGACGCCAAGGATGCCAACAAGTGGCGTCTGAACACGGGACTTCGACGATGTGAACAAAAAAGATCTGCTGGAGCAGAGAAGCTGAAATTGACAAGGCAAACGGGGACCCCAGGATGAGTCTGCCGGCAGCATATATAAGGTCAGTGCTCTAAAGAGGTACTGGGAGCAGTGCTTTATAGAAGTGCTGGGAATGGGAAGCTTTCTGAATCAGGGTAGCAGGGGGAATAACTTGTCTGTTGAAGAAAAACATTATGTGCAGTTGCTTAAAGTTCTGTTGAGACAGTCTGGAGCTCAGGTTAATTCTCAGACACTAACCTCCTGCAGAAGCCACACAAAGTTATTATGCATAACTCATGGTTTCCACAGGCAGGCACTCTTGATGTGGAAAACTGGGATAGAGCAGGAGAAGGATTAAAACAGGCTCATCAAAAAGGTCTTGAAGTTGATTCTTCTGTTTTCTCCACTTGGAGTTTAGTTTGTACTGTACTTCTGCTATTATCTCATTATTCTGCGGGACAGCAGGCTGAATCTAAAAATCTAAAAGAATCTGTTGTCCCACCCACAGCTCCAACTGAAAATAAAAAACAGGAGAGGGAGGATAAAAGTTGGCCTATACTGCCTCCTCCAGTTGCAGAAACATTTGTACCGCCTCCTTTGGTGGCAGAAATAGAGACTCCAATACAAAGAATTTTATGCTCTGCTGCAATAGCTGGAGAGCCCTTAGGACCTCACGCTTTTCCTATTTCCATAAGGCCTAATCCTAACAATGCACAGCAGGTTATTCATGAACACACTCCACTAGATTTTAACTTGTTAAAGGAATTAAAAGCGAGTGTGGTAAACAATGGCGTACAGAACCCATTCACCTTAGGATTGCTAGAATCTGTGTTTGGTGCTATGCGTCTTTTACCATTTGATGTGAAACACTTGGCGTGAATTTGCTTGTCGGCTACTGCATATCTGACATGGAATTTAAATTGGCAAGAAATGTGTGCAGACCAGGCTAGACAGAACTGTGCTGCTGGAAATGGAGACATTACAGAGGATATGCTATTAGGTAATGGCCCTTATTCAGACCTGGAACCTCAAATGGGACTCCCAGATGTTGCTTATCAGCAGTGTGCACAGGCCACTAAATGCACCTGGGCCACTATTCCTGAAGGAGTCCCAGTACAATCCTTTTTATGTATCATACAAGGGTTGCAGGAACCCTATGTGCAATTTCTTGCATGATTACAAGAGGCAGTGAAGTGTCAGATTTCTCATACTGCGGCTGCAGAAATGCTAACCTTAACACTAGCTTTTGAGGATGCAAACACGGATTGTAAATGTGCACTGGCACTGGTGAGGTGTACAAAAAACTTGGGAAATTTTCTCAGAGCTTGTCAAGATGTAGGAACTGAGCTTCATCACTCTGCAATGTTAGCACAAGCAATAGCTAATTTATCAGTTGACAAATCTAAAAGGAGCCAAGGGTCAAACCCCAAAACGGGAAAATATTATAAATGTGGAAAAACTGGACATTTTAAAAAGGAATGCTGCCAGATCTCAGGACAGAAAGGACCTTACAATGCAGTGCCCCACCCAGCAGAATAAACACCAGGATTCTGTCCTCACTGTATGAAAGGAAATCACTGGGCTAATCAGTGCCACTCAAAATTTCATCAGAATGGCACCCCCCTGCTGGGAAACGAGATGGGGGCCTGGACCCAGGCCCCACAAACAATAAGGGCATTCCCAGTCCAGACCTCAACCCCATTTCAGAGGTCAGTTCCCAGAGGCACATTGATCCCCTCACCCCAGGAACACCAGGAAGTGCAGGATTAGATCTACCCGCCAGAGAAAGAATCACTTTAGTTGGTGGAGACAAACCTATGAAAGTTCCCACTGGCATTTGGGGACCTTTACCAGCAGGATATATGAGACTAATTTTAGCCAAAAGCTGCCTTAACTTGCAAGGCATTACTGTAGTGACTGGCTCTGATTATGAAGGAGAAATTCAAGTAGTTTTAATGTCACAAGATCTTTGGGTTTTTGAACCAGGAGAATATATTGCTCAATTATTGCTTATTCCCTGCAAATTACACCCTTCTCCATGAAAGGAGAAATGAGGAAATAAAGGGTTTGGGAGCACAACTACTTGGGAAATCTATCTATCCCAACCCATAGCCTCTAATAGAGCCACCTGTGTAGTACAAATTAAAGGACAGACATTTTATGGGCTTATGGATATGGGAGCTGATGTTTCAGTAATATGTAAAGACAATTGGCCCCCCATCCTGGCCCTTGCAATTAACTTCTATGTCCCTAATGGGAGTAGGAACAGCTCAAAGTGTTCAACAGTATGCTGAAATTTTATCTTGTCTTGGTGTGGATGGACAGTCATGTACTTTTCAGCCTCATGTTGCAAGTATAGCCATCAAATTATGGGGTTGAGACTTACAGCATGGGATATGAGACTTACAAATGAAACTTTTGATAACCCAGAACTTAAAATGTTAAAGAACATGGGATATCAGCAGGGAAAACCTTTAGGAAAATTTCTTCAGGGAAATCCTAACCCAATAGCAGTAACTGGAAAAACAGATAGCTAAGGGCTAGGACGTCAGGATTTCTGATGGAGGTCATTGATATTTCTCCTCTGCCCACTGCCTTACCATTAGAATGGCTCAGTGACAAACCCATGTGGGTGGATCAATGGCCCCTATCTCAGGAGAAGCCGACACAACTTCAACAGCCAGTAAAAGATCAGTGGGATGCTGGACACATAGAGGAGTCAGTTAGCTCCTGGAATTCTCCAGTGTTTGTTATTCTAAAAAAGTCCAGAAGATGGTGACTGCTACAAGATTTAAGAGCTATTAATACACATATAAAATGGATGGATGCCTTACAAAAAGGTATACCATCTTCAGTGGCTATTCCAAGAGTCTGGCCTCTTGTATTAATAGATCTTAAGGATTGTTTCTTTACTATATTCTTACATGAGAAGGATAAGCCTTGATTCGCCTTCTCTGTGCCTTCTATTAACCAAAGAGAACCTGTTTCTTGTTATCAATGGAGAGTTTTACCCCCAAGTCATGCTATGTCAACATTTTGTAGGACAGGCATTAAAGGAGTCTCGGAATATGTTTCCTACTGCTTACATCATTCATTTTATGGATGATATTCTTTTGGCCCCTCCTATAGATCAAATCCTACAGCAGTTATTCAGAGAAACGAAGCAAGCTTTGACTAAATGGAATCTCAAAATAGCTCTGAAAAAGGTACAAACAACTTCCCCATACCAATACTTAGGAATTATTGTTATGGAGAGAAGTGTACGGCCTCAGAAAGTAGTTCTCTGTAAAGACAGGTTACAGACTTTAAATGATTTTCTACAATTATTAGGAGATATTAATTGGCTACAGCCAATGTTAGGTATTGCTACCTATCAACTTACACATCTTTACCAAACCCTGCAAGGAGATTCTACTTTAAATTCCCCATGGCAACTAACTAAAGAGGCAGAAGCCGAATTACGGCTTGTAGAGAAAATGTTACAGCAGAGACATGCCTCACAGCTACAACTGCAAAAACCTTTGCTTTTGTTTATTCCTCCTACCCCCCACTCTCCAACAGGACTATTGGGCCAGTTCATAGACAAGTCTGCAACAGTAATAGAATGGCTCTTTCTACCTAATCAAACAGTCAAAACCTTGCAAGTTTATCTTTCTTTAATTACACAAATTGTGACTATGGGCAGGCATAGGTCAAAAATGCTTATGGGATATGACCCTGACAAAATTATTGTTCCTTTAGACTCCCAGCAACAAGCCACAGCTTGGGAAATGTCAACTGCCTGGCAAATTGCTTTTGCAGATTTCATGGGTGCTATAGATAATCACTACCCCTCAGACAAAATTTTACAGTTTTATAAAATCCATTCTTTCATTCTTTCTGTGATTACTCATCACAAGCCTATTGCAGGTGGACAGACTTACTTTACTGATGGCTCTTCCAGAGGTCATGCTGCTATCTATGGACGTAAACATACTCAAATAATAATGACATCTGGGGCTTCAGCTCAAGGCTCAGAGCTAATTGCAGTCATTCAGGTTTTACAGCTCGCAGCTTCAGATCCTATCAACATTGTCTGTGATTCAGCTTATGTTGTAAATGTAACCAGTCACATAGAAACTGCTACAATTAAAAGTACACTAGACCCAGAACTGTTTAATTTATTTTTAAGACATCATGTTCACACATATAAGTGGGAGCCAAACATTGAGTACACATGGACACAAAGGAACAGCAGACACTGGGGCGTGCTTGAGGATAGAGGGAGGGAAGAGGATGAGGATCCAAAAATTACCTATCAGTTTCTATGCTTATTATGTGGGTGGCAAAATAATCTGTACACCAAACTTCTGTGACATGCAATTTATTTATATAACAAACCTACATATGTTCACCGAACCTAAAAGTTAAAAAAATAAAAATTTCTACCAACATCTAATGTGAAAAACAAAACAAAACAAAACAAAAAAAGACTTCAGCGAGTTACTCGTTCTCATGCAGATCCTTTTCATATTTCTGATATTTGTTCTCATACACAACTTCCAGGACCATTATCCCTAGGGAATGATAAAGTAGATATAAATTGATTTGTTCTGTGTTTCAGCAAGCTCAAGCATCTCATGCGCTTCTGCATCAAAATACTTCCACCCTTACTTGCGTGTTCCATTTATCTTGCAGCCAAGCTAGGGCTATAATACAAGCCTGTCCTACTTGTCAGCATGTCCCTGGAGCCACACCTGTAGAAGGCTGTAACTCATGAGGTTTGGCTCCAAATGAAGTTTGGCAAATGGATGTTACACAATAGTTACCTTTGGTAAGCTTAGCTATGTTCATGTGACTATAGATGCTGCATGCTACATGCCAAGCAGGTGAGACAGCTGGTCATGTATGGCGACATTGTCATCATTTGCTCATATGGGGATACTTAAACAATTAAAAACTGATAATGGAACCGCTTATACTAGTCATGCTTTTCAAAATTTCTTACAGCTTTGGGCTATAACCCATAAAACAGGAATTCCTTATGATGCTAGAGGACAAGTCATTATAGAATGGGCCCATCAAACATTACAATGCATGTTGAAAAAACAAAAAGGGGGTATAGGAGGCCAACTACCACCTCAATCGAAACTACCTTTAGCCTTAGTTACTTTAAGTTTTTTTTTTTTTTTAGATGGGGTCTTGCTCTGTCATCCAGGCTGGAGTGCAGTGGCACGATCTCTGCTCACTGCAAGCTCTGCCCCCTGGGTCCATGCCATTCTCCTGTCTCAGCCACCTGAGTAGCTGGGACTACAGGTGCCCGCCACCACGCCTGACTAATATTTTTGTATTTTTAGTAGAGATGGGGTTTCACCGTGTTTGCCAGGATGGTCTTGATCTCCTGACCTTGTGATCTGCCCGCCTTGGCCTCCCAAAGTGCTGGGATTACAGGCGTGAGCCACCGCGCCCGGCCTCTACTTTAAATTTTTTGACTCCTAGTATGGATGGTAAGACTCCAGTAGAAAGACATTGGCAAATGTTAAAGGAAAAGAGGAAAGTTTATCCAAAAGTGTTATGGAAATCCCCGGAAGAAGGACAATGTAAAGGTTCGGTGGATTTACTGACGTGGGGAAGAGGATATACTTGTGTTTTTACAGATGGACAAACCCTGTGGGTGCCCTCAAGACATGTGTGACCATGGAATGGGAGACTGGAGGAACCCAGGGTGGCCAACCATGAGCCCGGTCCTTCTGGTACGAACCATGAGACAGCTGAGCCTGAGTGTAAAGACAGACAGAATGCCGGCCAGAGTCACAACACTGTTCTAATGCTATGTTTTCTGTAAAATTGGATGGACCACCAATCAGAGAATGAGAGCTACCCAGTCTGGCCTTACATTCTTTCAATTAATACATAAACAAAAAGTGGGATATGCAGGGAGCCGAAAGCCTGTGGGACATGACCAACTTAGTATTCTGCTGGAGGCTATATGATCAAACGGCAAACTGTTTATCATGAATGCAGGATGTGGCCAAACTCACACTGCCCTGCTACCAAAACGTTTGCTGAGGGCCTCACTCCATGGTGCCAGGCTCCTTGAAGTTATCTATTGAGAGATCTAGCTCCTATTGTTCTAAGAATGCAGTCTTGCCAGCCTGCTGTGAATAAAATGCCAGCCAACAACCACTCCCCTCCTTCTTGCTATCTCTATTGCCTAATAAATACGGAGGGCTGTGTAAAGCTCAGGGCCCTTGTCCACTAGAGGCAAGGTGCCCTCTGACCCCTTCTTCCAAATATACTCTTTCATCTCTTGTGTTTTATTCCCACATTTGCCCCCTTTGTTCAGTCCCCCTAGGTCCATGTGGGTTACAGTGAGGTCCCATTCCAGCCAATGGAAACCAGACACAGCAGTAGGGTGGATGCGTCAGGTTATAAATAACCCTGTCTCCTTTGTTCGGTGTACTCTTGTGGCAAAACTGCTGGTGAATGTACCCTTTCTGTAGAGAATAAAAATGGCCTTGCTGAGAAAATTAAATGTATGTTCAAGTGCTATTTCTTTGTGGCACCAGGGAACAAGCATTTCAAACATGAGTGACAGTCAAGTCTCACTTTTAGTCATGTTCTGCATTATGGGCTGAACTGTGTCCCCTGACATTCATATGTTGAAGTCCTGACTTTCAGAATGTGACTATATTTAGAGCTAGCACCTTTAAAGTGGTAATTAAGATAAAATAAGGTCACTAGGGCTGGCCTTAATCCAAAAAATCTGGTATCCTCATAAGAAGAGGAGATTAGAATGCAGACATTACACAGACTGAAGGACGGCCACGTAAGGACACAGTGAGAAGATGGCCATCTGCTAGCCGAGAAAAGTAGCTCATAGCAGTTTGAAGAATGGGATGTATGCAAAGTTTATCAGGCCCAGACAGACATGAGTGAGTCTTCAGTCATGCCCCTCACACCCATGTCAGGAATTAATCATTTAAAGGCAAGGTTATCATCAATAGCAATAAATGTCTTTGCCACACTGCTATTAATTGCAGATGAGGAAATGGGGTCACTCAAGTAAATTCTTCAGGGCCACATTTTTTTTTTTTTTTTTTTTTTTGAGATGGAGTCTCGCTCTGTTGCCCAGGCTGGAGTGCAGTGGTGCAATCTTGGCTCACTGCAAGCTCTGCCTCCTGGGTTCATGCCATTCTCCTGCCTCAGCCTCCCCAGTACCTGGGACTACAGGTGCCCACCACCATGCCCAGCTAATTTTTTTGTATTTTCAGTAGAGACAGGGTTTCACCGTGTTAGCCAGGATGGTCTCGATCTCCTGACCTCATGATCCACCTGCCTCGGCCTCCCAAAGTGCTGGGATTACAGGCGTGAGCCACCACACCTGGCCCAGGACCACATAATTTATTAATGGTATGTGAAACTTATTGTCTGTCATAATTATTTCCAAAGAATATAATAAAAAACCTATACTTTGTTTGAATGTCTCATGTGGTAAAAAGCCAGCAAAGATGTCTCAAATGCTTATCCTAATGAAATGTAACCAGAATGGAGGATTAACAAGGTGGCTCCCAAGAACTTGTTAAGAAGGGAAAGACTGTCATTTGGGAGTTTAACTAATTAAATCCATACTTTGTGGATTAATAACTTGACCATAGATTATACATTGGTGTGATTTTCATTGCCACTGACCTAACATCTCTATCAAAGCCCCCCACCCTTCCCTGTGCCTACGATTACACTCTGTAGGTCACGTCTTTATTTTTATTTTGAAAATATAGCATACATACAAAAAAGTATATGAAAACATGTATGTATAACTTAAGGAGCAATAATTAATATTCATGTACCTACTAATGGACCAAGTGTTTGAACTTTACATACCCCAGAATCTCTGGATATATTCTTGCTGGATTGCATGCCAATCATTCATTTCCAGAAGAAATTACTATCCAGAACTTATGTTAATAACTCCCTTAGTTTTCTTTATTGTTTTTACCACCTAGTAACATGTCCCTAAATAATAGAGTGCTTAGTTTTGCCTGTTTTTAATCTTTATATAAAGGCATTTATTCTGCATATGCTCTTCCTTGGCTTGTTTTTTAGTTTAGCATTGTTTTTGAAATTCATCCATATGGATGTAGGTAGCTGTAGTTTAATTTTCATTGCTTTGTAGTATTCCATTTTATGAATGTACCATAACTTATTAATAAATTCTACCTTGAGGGAAAAAAAATTAAGGCAGGGTTATATGCTCATCAATGAAATAACCCCAGAGGAGTGATTGATAATGCCACCACAAGTTGAACAATGTGACCCCGACCCATTATCTTCATGTTTCTGGAATTTGTGATGCAAAGAACAATGTATAGTCAATTAGTAGCTTATAGTATTTTAACACAAATTTTTAGTAAACAACTTAGGAACTGCCCCTTCTTCTTTCCTTTAAAAACCCATGTATAGTCAAGCATGGTGGCTCATGCCTGTAATCCCAGCACTTTGGGAGGCCAAAGTGGGAGGATCCCTTCAGGCCAAGAGTTTGAGATGAGACTGGGTAACATAGGGAGACCTCGTTTCCACAAAAACAAACAAGAAGCAAACCAACAAAAAACTCCACATTTGAATGCTGTTAGCCAGAACACATATACAAGGCAACTTGAATCTGTGTTTTCTGGGTTACAGTCCTCAAACTTGGCCCCAAATAAACTCTCTGCTTATATTTACTTTGCCTCAGTTTCTTCCTTTAGGTCAACAAAGCCAATGAAAAAGGCCTCAGGAGAAACAAAATCTATTGATACTTTAATCTTGGGCTTCTAGCATCCAGAACTATGAGAAATAAATTTCTGTTTAAGCCACCAGTCTGTGATATTTTGCTATGACAGCCATAGCAAACTAATTTAGCCTGTGACATGTGAAGGCTGGGGTTAAATTCTGCAGCCAACTTCTTCACATAAGGAGCCTTTTGGGTTTCTGAAGTCCCTTGATTTGCTCACTGCTAACAGCTAACAGGCGTGTCCTTTCCCTTGCATAGTTACAACTGGCCATGCTCCCAGTATCTATTTTCTTTTTCTTTTTTTTTTGAGACAGAGTCTGACCCTGTTGCCCAGGCTGGAGTGCAGTGGCACCATCCCAGCTCACTGCAGCCTTGACCTCCCAGGCTCAAGCAATCCTCCTCCTGCATAGCTGGAACTACAGGCATGCATCACCACACCCAGTTGATTTTTTAATTTTTTGTAGAGACAGAGTCTCTCTATGTTGCCCAAGTTGGTCTTGAACTCCTGGGCTCAAGCAGTCCTCCCACCTTGGCTTCCTAAAGTGCTAGTATTATAGGTATGAGCCACCATGCCCAGCCCTAATGCCTATTACTATACTTTTATATCTTCTTGGGAAAAGGGGCATCTGAAAGAGGTCAGAATTAATTAAGTGAAGGCATTACTTGACATTTCTTCACTGGGCTGTTTCCACCTATTTCCCAACTCAAATTACATATAGACACATTATTCAAACTAACTCACCAAAAGCTTGTGCAATAAGGACAACAGCACAATGTAGCCCAAATAATACAGTGCAGAAATAGAGAAATTCCTTCAATTTAAATAACAGGAATGCTTTGATTGAGATGGCCTTCAACATTCCCCTCAGCTTAAGTAAAATTAAGACAGGTGTTTTTTTTTTTTTTTTTCCTGACTCTAGGTCCCTGACCTCCCTTTTCTTAAATCACTGGAGAAAACTTGTAATTGCAAATTTTTTCTCTGCCTCCTTTGAAATGTATGTAAATCTGCTTAGAAGCCTCTTACTAGTTTTAAATGTAAACATCAAAAGAAATAGCTCCTTATCTTCCAGTCTCCATGGGAGGGTAGGAGCCTAACTTCAGTAGACATTTTGCTCCAAGTTATACAAGTACCTCCTGTTATAAGCAGAGAAAGTTTGCTTTGGGTTCAGCCAATTAGTGAACACCACTGTCTTATGATTCCCTCTACTCCAGCTGTTAAACTCTCGCCAGGCTTTTGTTTCAGCTGAGTTGAGTTTAATCTCTGTCCCTTGTTGCAATAGTCTTGAATAAAGTATCTCTTCCTGTTCAACTTTGCCCAGTGCAACTTTTATTTTGACAGCTCTTTCAATATCAATTCATATAGAATGAAAACTCTAGGGACCCAAACTACCAAACCCATATAACTTACCATCTACATTAAGATGACTTTATCATTTCACTGTTTTCATTAACATAACTTTGCTATTTCAGGAGACTCCTGACCAGGCTCAAGGCAAATAACTTGGTTGTTCATTACAGTAATGAACTGTTGAGAAGACCTAGCAAGTCTTTAGTGGGGATCATCAACAGAAAATTTACACACAAACTCTCCCAACCCCTCCTTTTAAAAATGACACATACCATGGTGAGTGTTTGAGTATTCTGGAATCTGCCAGTCACTCAAGGTCTGATCCAAGAAACTGGAGCAATGTGACTTCCACAGTATTCTGTTGATCAGGCAGGATGGAGTTCTTTTTTGTTAAAGGTTTTTCTAAGGTTTTAACAAAGGGTCTTACAAACCACTCCCTGAATTTGATCTTTGCCCCCAAACCATTTCTTTCTTTCAAAATCATTCACTGGAAGAGACTGGGAATGACGGACATATTTATTTTGAATATAGCAAGTTCCGGATCCTTTACATTTTCTCCATATTCTGTTAAAAAACTGAATAGTTTGTTCTTTAGCTTATTTTTCTCTACTAGTATTTTATTATATGCAGCTAAAAGAAATCAGCTCTTATGATATTCTGCCTGGGAATATCCTTAGTCAGATCTGCCATTTTATTGATATATTTTTTTATTTTCTACATTGCTGCAGTGATGATTTTGTTAACTGTTTGGCCAAGGCATCTTTTGGGTGTTCTTTAATCCAGCATCTGATAACATTTTCCTCACTGTCTGCAAGTTCTATATCAACCGTCTCCTTGAAGCTCTTCAAACTTTCATCAGCAATATCCTCAAGATGCTTGCTGATTCTGTCCTTTCTCCCATCCCAAAGCCAATGTCTACTTTTAGTTTTTTCTTATGGTTGCATTGTTGACGTGACATTTGAATTAAGTAGTGAAGGATGAGTGTTATTTGTATAGAGACTATATTTGGTGCATGTCTCTCTTTCTTTCTCTGTGTGCGTGTGTGTGTGTGTGTGTGTATGTGTGTGTGTGTGTTGGGCTGTTACTTTCTAGCAGTTTCTGCCAAGACACTGTGAGAGTGAGAATGGCCAGTTTGAGGAAAAAAAGCCATTTAATCTTTAACCAACAATGTTTGTTGAATGATTTTTATGTACTAGGCACTGTGCCAGGTGCTGGGAACACAAAGATAAGCAAGATAGTCTAATGAGAGAGAGGATTATTAGATAAATACATAACGAAACATAATTATAATTGTGATAACTGTTATAAAGAAAAAACACAAAATACCTTGAGATTATAATAGGAAGAACTTATCTAACCTGGAGGGGTGGCAGGGAGAGGAGTGGTGCTGAGGACAGAGAAGGCCTCCCTGAGAAAGTAACACTTAAATGGAGTCTTAAAGGATGATGGGAGTTAGCCAGGCCCAGCTGTGGAGGAGGGAGCAGTTCATCTGGAAGGAATAAAGTGTTTGAAGGTATGAATATGAAGGAGCTTGATGCCACTTCAGGAACGGGAGAGGGCTGGAGAGGGAGAGGGAGGAGTAGGGTGGAGCGATAAGCTGAAGGCAGACTGTGCAAAGCCTTGTAGGTACAATAAGAACTTTGAACTTCACCTACTAGCAATAGGTGGCCAGGGAAAGGTTTAACACTGAGTAGTCACATGGCCAAATTTGTATTTTAAAACATCATTCTGGCTGCTGAGAAGATAATAGACAAGGCAGTGGCAATTGCTGTGGCCCAGCTGAGAGTAGGACTTTCACCTTAGCTTAGCTTGGACTAAGCCTTCCCTTCCAGTGTTCCTTACCTCGACAAATGGAACCCCCATCCACTCTCTGCTCCAACAAGAAAGGTGGGCTTATCCCTGACACCTCTGCAGTGGAAAGGCAGCAATGTGAAAGTTTATACCCATATTTAAGAAATCAAATTGACAGGACTTGGTAAGGATTATATGTGGGGAGAGGGTAGGAGAAAGGTGTCAGGGATAAGCCTACCTTTCTGGTTGGAGGAGAGAGTGGATGGGGGTTCCATTTGTTGAGATATGGATTGCTGGAAGAGAGGGCTTTTGGGGGTGAAATCCAGTTTTGAATGACTAAGGTGTCAGATGCCTGCATGAAATCAGTCAAATAGATAGCTGGGGTATATAGGTCAGGCTCAAAACGGAGGTCTGAATTGTGGGGACAGAGTTAGAAAGCAATACCTAGAGAGGGCTGCCTGATCCAGGGAGGATCTTCTTAAGCTGGAGAGATTGCAGAATGTTTGAAGTCCCATGAAAAAAATCCAATAGAGGAGAGAGATTGAATCAGTGTGGCACAGGCCCTGTGCTGATGTGGTTTGTATCTGAGGAAGAGACAGACACAAATGGATGTAGTATGTGCAAACCAGAGGGAAGAGTAGAGACCCATGATGTTACAGGGCTTCCAGAGACCAAGCAGTTCAAATTAAGAGACCAGGGGACAGGGTAGCAAGGACAAAGGAAGTGGATCTAAGAAGAAGCTTGAGGGTGAAGCCTCCAAGCCCTAGATGAATAAAAACTCCAGGAAATAGTTGGCGCTTTATGCCAAAAGATAGACTAAATTCTTACTGCCATCTAATGGCTACAGTGTGTAATTGCTATACTCTCACGGCTGAAAGTCCAGGGAATTAAACTTGCTTATGGTTTACCAACATTTATCTCTATAGGCATGGTGGCTCATGCCTATGATCCCAGCACTTTTGGAGGTTGAGGCAGGAGGATCTCTTGAGCCCAGGAGTTCCAGACCAGCTTGGGCAACATAGGGAGACCCCGTCCCTTAAAAAAATAGCCAGTATTTATTGAATACTCTATACCTTACTAAGTCCCTTACGTGTATGAACTCATTTAATCTTCACAACAATACCATTTGACAAAGGAGCTGAAAGATACTAAATAATTTGTCCAAATATTCAAAATTATTTTGTGACAGGGTAGGACTAGAACACAGATTTCTTGGACTTCAGAGTTTGTGCTTTTGACTAGTAGGTGTATTCTACTGTCTCTCATGTGATAAAAGAACAGGAACTGAAAGTACCCCCATGTTGGGCTTAAGTGCCCCAGGCATTGCGTTAGTGACTGTGCACTAAGATCTTGTCTCCAATATGTAGCTCAGGCTCAAACAGCCTTACAGAGGTGGCCAGATTGGGTAGACTGTATGCCTGGAATAATAGGTCTTAAGCAGAGATTGTGGGCAGAGTTGTTCAAATCAATACTGGATGTTCTTGGAGGTCTGACACACTGCCTGAGATCATCACGTGTCCTTGTGCAACTCTTTTGGCATCCAAAGAATCCATCCCATCAGCGTATGCAATTTGGGCATAAGATACAACCACTTCTGGGAAGTACATAAGGGCAATTCTTTTTAGAAAGTTCGTGTTTCCCCTATCTTTTGGCTTCTCAGACAGGCCTTTATAAAGGTGGGGAAAATCAGGCGTTTATTACGAATGAAAATTTGTTCAGTCTCTGTGATTATTGTTGCCAAATATTACCTGCTTTTTGCTAACATTGTAGCCTTTGCTAAAAAACTCTATGGACTGCTGATACTTGGTAGTTTATAGAATTTCAAGTCACTGTTTCAAAAGAAAATTGTAGTAAATCTATTTTTGGTGTTAGGGCCAGATGTCATTATAAGGATGTCTGGACAAGAGGCTGGAAGTCCTTGTAGGTCAGGATGGCCGAAAGTAGCAGAAATATGAAGAGCAGAGCACAGATGCTCCCACTTTCATAATTGTAAACTTGTCTCTTGGTCTATTGCTTTGCTTTGTGTTTCATTCAGATAAAGCTATTCAATGACCATCTTTTAGTGCGGTTTTGTTTAGAATAGTTGTCCTGAGAGTTGGTTTTGGGGCCTCTGGGAGACCCTGAGACACTTTTATGAGTACTGTGAGATCAAAATTATTTTCATAGTAATTTAAAAATATTATTTGCCTTTTATCTCTCATTTGCCCAAGAATGTACAGTAGTCTTCCAGAAGCTACATGATGCATTATATCACAACAGATTGAATGCAGAAACAGAATTCAGCTGTGTTCTAAGCCAGATATTAAAGAGATTTGCAAAAATGTAAAACAATAACATCCTTTTAAATATCTTTGATCAAAATTGTTATTTCTGTCAACATGTAACGGAGTTATTATTATTTTTGAATGAGTTAAATAAATGTTTTTAAATGTCTTAGTTTTAATATTGAATATAGTAAATATGAATTGCTATAATCTTCATAAACAAAAACTCTTTGGGGTTTTCTAGAAATTTTAGAAGTATAAAGGAGTCTTGAGACCAAAAAGTTTCAGAATGTTGGCTGGGAGAATTCACTATAGTCAATTTCTCAATGACTTTGAGAGGAAGGATGTATGTCCTGATTCCCCCCACCTCAGGAAACAAGAGGCAGCAGGAAATACATGTATTTACGGGTCCCTGGTCTCCTTGTGTCAAACATCGCTCTCTGCATGGTTGATCTGTTTCCTTGGTAACCTAACTGTAGCTGTCACCTGTGGCCTATTAACAGCCTCCCCTGGCCAGTTGGATTCTACAGGGCAATGACTGGGAATAATTAGGAAACTTGGTAAGGAAGTTTCCTCCAGCAGGAAATTGGTTCCTCTGGAACTTGTTAGGCATTAACTCTACAGCCAAGACCGTGAAAACATTTACTGAAATTAGCGATAGTGTGCAGATCCTGTGGGAGCACTTACTCAGGGCAAATACAGTCAGGAATCAGGGACTATGAGTTTATTCTTAAAGGCTTAGGTGTTAGCTTTAAGCTATAAGGGAGCAATTAGGTTAAAATGACTCCTGAGTTTCAAACGGAGTCACACTTTTAAGCTTCTCCCTGGGGTTTTAAACATTGGTCTAGAGCAGGGGTGTGAGATGTAATTAAAGTCTACTTTAAATCCAGATGTTTCCCTTCACGGAGCCCCTTTGCCACCACAGACTTCAGTAATAGTTACAAAATCTTGCTGAACCTAGAGAAGTTGACCAAACTTAAGACAGCCTCAGCCAAGTGTGAATTTTTGATAGCTTGATCAGTCTCAACTCAATAAAAAGCAATACATTTTTCCCTGGATAACATGTGGAAGCTTTAAGATTTGTCCAATATAAGCACATGAATCTGAAGTAAAAATAAAACAAAACAAATCTACAAGAAAAACACCGTCATGTTTTCCCTGAAGAAAAATAAAAGCCAAGGATTCGACAGAGTGAAAGGAAAGAACAAGGGGCCCAGCCCAGAGGTCTCTACCTCGGGTGGGTTCCCTGCAGCCCGTGGAACCCCAGGTCTGTGAGAGGCCAGCCCCTCACAGAGAGTGACACATCTGACAGATAAATGGCAGCGCCATCATCTCCTCCTCCTATCATTCAAATGCTCTGCAGATGACCTGAAATGGAAAGCAGTTTCAGTTTGACACAAAAGATCAACACATCACAGTAGGAAGAGCATGAGCAGAGAGGGAGAACATTTCAGTGTGAAAATTTTGTAACAAAAGAAGAAAAATATAGAAGCATGAAAATATAATGAATAATGATTTGAGTGTCTACTATGAGCTGGGCACTCTGCTGAGCTCTTTGTGCTTTCTCATTTAATGCTCTTAACAGCCCTGTAGCAGAGGCACTACTATTACCTTCATTTTACTCATGAAGAAACCTAGCTGGGAAGGCTCAAATGCATTGTCCAAAGCTAAGTGGCAGAAGAGGCAATAGACTACCTTTCCCTTTAACTCCAGGTTCTAAGTTTTGACCGTATCCCAGGCACAGCATGTCCCTTTTCTTCTTCATTCAACTCACACTTACCAAGGGGTCACTCCATGCTAGACTTGAAAATAAGGAACCAAAACAGACATTGTTCCTGCCCATATGGGGCTTATAGTAGACGGCAAAATACATACATAAAATAATTACATAAATCAGCGCATCATCACAAGCCAATAAGTGTTTGGAGGAATATGTAAAGCAAACCAATAAGACTATCTATCTATCTATCTATCTATCTATCTATCTATCTATCATCTATCTATTGATCTATCTACCTTGATCTAGGCTGGACAGGTTAAGAAATACATCTCCAAGAAAGTGATATTTACATTTAAATCTGAATTTTAAATAGGAATTAACCAGGGAGTTTGTAGAGAGTAGGTGGCAGAGAGAGCCATGGGCAGAAACAACAAAGCCTCTGTAGCAAAAAGAAATCTCAGACAAAGAACTCAAAGAAGTATGAGAAGTATTAATATCATAACTGAGGAGGTGTTAAGTTTAGACATATAGTGCTCACTTCGGGAGCACATGTACTAAAATTGGATACAGAGAAGATCAGCATGGCCCATGTGCAAGGATTGGATATAGAAAACTTTAATACTTCATTAAGGATGCAATTGAAAAATCTCTTGCTATATTTTGATTTTGATTTTTTGTTTGTTTTGAACTTTTTGGCTGTTTTTCTCATGTGAGAAATGTTTCATATATAGATGACAGAGGATAATGTAATACATTTCCATGTAACTACTACTAACTTAAATATAATACTATAATTGGATAATGCTTTTAAATAATATGAACTTGATTATAATTGAAGTCTCTCGTATACATCTAATGACATCAAAAAGTTTTAAGCCAAGAGCAGACATGAACAGATTTGCATTTTGAAAAGATCTTTGAGAAGTTGCAGTGTAGGCAATGGGAAACAGACATTGATACGGGGATTCCAGTTAGCTGACTATTGAGGCTGTCCAGGTAAGAGGTATGATGGGCTGAACTGTGGTGGTTACAAAAGAGACAGATAGACTGGGGAGGTATTGGGATGAAACTGGCATGACCATTAGTGATGGATTGGTTAAGGGGAGTGAGAGGGTGCCATGGGGGCTGAAGATAACTTCTGAAATAATCTCTTATGGAGTGAAACAGTATTTCTAGGGGTAAAAGTATCTATCCTTAGTGATTATCTCAAGAATTAAGAAAAAAGTACAACCAAATTAAAATAGAAACACAATTTCAAAGAATTTTAAAATTACAATTAAGGAATTTTAATTTTAAGAATGTTAAATGTTAAATATTTTAGATTGATTTATATAATTAATCAATACATCTATTCACTATATCCTTTTCCCTCAACAAGATTAAAACTTCAGGTCAGGCCTGGTGGCTCACGCCTGTAATCCCAACACTTTGGAAGGCCAAGGCGGGCGGGTCATCTGAGATGAGGAGTTCGAAACCAGCCTGGTCAACATGGTGAAACCCCGTCTCTACTAAAAATACGAAAATTAGCTGGGTGTGGTGGCTCGCGTCTGTAGTCCCAGCTACTCCGGAGGCTGAGGCATGAGAATTTCTTGAACTCGGGAGGCGGGGGTTGCAGTGAACTGAGATTACGCTACTGCAGTCCAGCCTGGACAACAAAGTGAGACTCAGTCTCAAAAAAAAAAAAAAAAAAAAAAAAAAAAAAAGGTAAAACTTCAGTACACTTTTATTTCCTTCTCCCCCAAACCCACTCTCTTGCCTTGTATTATAATCTCTCTTGTTGACGCTGAGATTTCTTTCCAAACTCATTTTTTTGCAGCCTGCGTCAATAATTGTTTGAGGTTAATTATATGATTTCCTTGAGTTTTACTTCACTTGTGTCTGCGTGTGTGATTTCCCTTTGACTTGAAATCCCCCTTTTTTTTTTTTTTTTTTTGCTGGATTATATCCTGGAATAGTTCTTTCTTTTCTTTTCTTTTTTCTTTTTCTTTCTTTCTTTCTTTTTTTTTTTTGAGACGGAGTCTCACTCTGTTGCCCTGGCTGGAGTGCAATGGCGTGATCTTGGCTCACTACAAGCTCTGCCTCCCAGGTTAAAGCGATTCTCCTGCCTCAGCCTCCCGAGTAGCTGGGACTACAGGCACCTGCCACCATGCCCGGCTAATTTCTTGAATTTTTAGTAGAGATGGGGTTTCTTTCAGAGAGAGCCTGAGAGCAATAAACTTCCTGAAATCTTGCATGTTTGAAATGCTTTGTTTTGTACTTCATCTCAATGCTAGTTTGACTAGATGTAGTTTAGGCTCAAAATAAACTTTTCTTAGAACTTTGAGGAAAGCCTATTGCATTCTATCACAAACTGTTGCTAAAGAAAAGCATGGGATTAATCTTTTTATTTCTTTAGAGTCAAATTATGTTCTCCTCCCGCGCCCAAAGTTTGTAATATTACACTCCATTCTTGGTGCTCTGAAACTTACCATGGGAGGAATCTGGATTTGTGCCTCTGTAACATTCACCATGCTTGTCACTCAATGGGACTTTTAAATCTGAAGACTTTTGTGTTTCTTAAGCTGTGTGAAATGTTCTTAAAGTTATCTTTGACTGTTTTCTCTCCTCATTCTATTTTCTCCTTTTGGAACTCTATTTAAATAAATAGGGCTTGAGTTTCTGAATATATCTTCTGCATGTCCACTTTTTTATTTTCCAAATCTTTTCTTTCTGTTCTGCTTTTAGGTGGTGAAAACAAAGTTTAGTTTTCTAGTCCATCAGTCCCTTCTTCAATCATGTCTATTCCCTTTTTCAGCCCATTCTTTTATCTAATAAGTTTCAAATATTTTTCAGTCATCACAATTTCAAGTATTTAAAGTACATAATTAAATAATCTTCTTAGTAATGTATGTTTCTATTAATTGAAGTAATTTTAACTTTTTTTGTTTATGATCTGTTTTATTAGGTATTATTTCTTGTTAATGAAATTAAGTTTCTCTCTTTCTTTCTTTTTTTTTGAGACAGGGTCTCACTCTGTCACCCAGGCTAGAGTGCAGTGGTGCAATCATGGTTCACTGCAGCCTCAACCTGCTGGGCCAAGAGATCCTCCTGCCTCAGCCTCCTGAGTAGCCGAGGCTCATACCACCATGCTTGGCTAATTAAAAATTTTTTTGCTGTAGAGATAGAGTCTCATCATGTTTCCCAGGCTGGTCTGGAACTCGTGGGCTCAAGTGATGCTCCTGCCTTGGCCTCCCAGAGTGTTGTGATTACAGGCATGAGCCATTGCACCTGTCTGGTTTCTCTCTTTTAAGGCGTAAAATTTCCTCAAATGCCTGGTGGTTTTTGATTGCCATCTCACCTTTGGACTGATAATTTCTCTGTATTTACCTATGTATGTGGTTTCTGATGAGCTTCCCTTTATCATTTGGAGGAGTAGAACATGCCATGTGAGTATGTCAATAATTAAAAAAATTTTTTTTGATTGTTGGCGCAATCCATTCATCTTGGTTTGCCCACCCTACCTGGAAAATTGCCCTGAGTCTCTGTTCCTAGGGGCCACACTCACTACTTTAATTTCACAGGGAATGAGCTTGTGCTCAGCATAAGCAGAGGAAAAGGGATTGGTCAACTATTGGCAATACCTTATTTAATCATTCTGATGACTATCTCCATTGCTTCTTCCTGTTGCTTGTATCCACTGATTCTGAACTTAGAGTTCCACTCCTAACTCTTCTGTTTATGATTTTATGTTGAGGTTTTCCCTATTTTTTCTTCTATCAATTTAATTACATAATAGTATCTGCAAAAAATCATAATTTTGATGATTGTGTTTCTTCATTTTAGCATTTTCTTCCTCATTGTCTCCCCCTAATCTTGGCATATTGTCTTGACTAGGACTTTTACAATACAACTTCCAACCAGCCTGCCATAAGTGGGTAACAGATGTGCTGAGATGGCCAGAATTTTAATGGCTATTGCTTCTAGGCACAAGTAAAATTTTTCTTTCACACTACTGTGCCATGCAACATTATCATTTTCCAAGAATTCTATGGTGTGAAAAATATTGGGAAGTATTACTCTATAACAGTTGGGAAAACAATTCCTTCATTTAGCTTTTTCAAATTATTTGTTATAAAATGGTTATAGTATCAAGCTGAACCTAGCAAATTATTTTAATTTGTGGTTATACATCTTTTCCTTATTTTAATTTTATGTTTTTTTCCTTTCTTTTCTTACATCTCTTTCTTTTTCTTTTCTCCCTTTGGTAGACTTATCCAGGATGTGCCAATTATTGGTTATTGCAAAGAAGTAGATATTTCCTCATTAAATCAAGTATACTGGTTTTCTGTAATTTATTTAATTCATGCTTTTATATGTATTAATTCATTTCCACCACTTTTTGCATTATGATTAGTGGTATTTTTCTAGCCCCCTTGATTGAATATTTCATTTTATAAATCACCCTAATTTTAAATTAAATAGTGTTAAGGCTACAAGTTTTCTTCAGTTTACCACTTTGGACAAATAGTGATATACAATGCATTCCTTTGATGATAGTGATCCATTTCTAGTTATGCCATAAAAGGAATATATTTAAAAACTCAAGATATTTATAAGAGGTATTCATTTTTAAGTGCTTAGAATTTTTTTTTCTATTTTCTGTTATCATTTTCAGTTTTAATTTATTTCGATAAACACTGTACTCTATATGACTTCTATCTTTGGAAATCTATTAAAAACTTCTTTGCAGCTGAATCTATGGCCAATTTGTGTGTGTCATAAGCATTTGAAAAGCACGTGTCCCTATTGGGATCTAAAGTTAAGCACACACTCACCCACATGCATTCACACACACACACACATCTAGTGTTTTCTGCTTCATTTTAATGTTCATGAATCAGTTCACTTGATCATTTACCTGCTGCCACCTTGATCATTTACCTGCTCCACTTCTGAGTGGAGCTCAGAAGCCCCTGTCCCGGTGGGCTCTTCAGGCAGCCTGTCTGCTCATCTTGGCTGACTCATGGGTTGCTGCCATGGCAAAGAGGCCTTGACTGCTGTTGACCCTGGATAGTCTGGGCAGTCAAAATAAAAATGGAGTCAGATGGAGAATTTCAAGAAATATCACATAGAATTGCTCACTTAGTGACTGATAGGTCATGGTGATGGCAGCAGCAGGGAGGCATTGCCAGGGCTGCATGCTCCATGGAGCTGGCGGGATCCTTGGACAAGCGGGAGCCCTGCCTGTTCCGAGTTGGGGTTGGAGCTCCCAGGGTGCCCTGCAGCTACCCACACTGCAGCTGTAGACCTGGGCCTCCTGCTTCATGGAACAGGCAGGAGCCCCACCCTCCCAGGTGCAGCTGCAACAACCGGATCAGTGGCTACAGATCCGGGCCTCCCACTTCGTGCAGCAGGAGCAGGAGCAGGAGCCAGACCCTCCCCCTTTCCCTGCATCCCTGAACTCTTGGGGGCTGAGAAGGACCCCTGCCCTTGTAGACTCAGAAGTGCCTGCTCCCACTGCCTGCCTGGCTTCTCCCCTGCTGTTGGTACCTGCTCAGATCTTAGAGAAGTCTGGGTGAGCTTTGGCACCATGAATGGCAGCAGGAGGCAAACAGGTTCCTGGGCAGAAGAGGGCAGTCCCAGTAAGGCCCCACCTTCAGGCCAGGGAGGGCCTGAATTCTGGGGGCTGGGCCGCCAGTCCCGCAAACTGGAGTGGGGGCTTCTGGTGCCTTTTCCAGGACCTGCCACCCATGGCCGCCATGGACCAATCAACACACACTTCCTCCCCTCTGAGGTCCATAAAAGCCACGGGCTCAGCAAGAGCCAGCAGAGGATGGAGAGAGGACTGGATGATCAGCCGCAGAGAGGAGATACTGTCTCTGCTGAGAGTTGGAGATAATGAGATGACCAGCTGCAGAGAGGAGCTACCCTCTCTGCTGAGAGCTGTAGAGATCACAGGATGACCTGCCAGCAGAGAGGAGCCACCCTCTCCAGGGCCTCCTCTGCTGAGAGCTGCAGATATCAGGATGACCAGTTGCAGAGAGGAGCTACCTTCTCCAGGCCCTCCTCTCTGCTGAGAGCTGAACACTTGACAGGACTACCTGCCTGCAGAGAGGAGCTACCTTCTCCAGGCCCTCCTCTCTGCTGAGAGCTGAACACTTGACAGGACTACCTGCCTACAGAGAGGAGCTACCCTCTGTGGGTCTCCTCTGAGCTGTCATAACACTCAATAAAGCTCCTCTTCATCTTGTTCAACTTCCACTTGTTTGCATACCTCATTCTTTCTGGACATAGGACAAGAACTTGGGCAAAGGTGTCACCAGCCAGCCACAGAGGTTTCTGGCCAGAAGAGTGACACCCCAAAGATCCCATTACAATGGGACATTAGGAAGAGGGAAAAATCAAGAATAAAAAATAATTTATGACAAATATGGAACTAGTCAGCTATGGAAAAATTATTTATACATAGTATTCTTTTTAGTTGATTTTCTTGGGCTTCATGAGCATCATCAGGAAGTAATGATAATTTACCTGTTTTGTTCCAATATTTATAGTCTCATAAGTCTGATGTTGGCTAAAATTTCAGAGACTTTTCTAGGTCTCAAGGAGTTAGAAAAGCCTGTTGAAATCTGGGTTATAACAACAAGCCCCCTATGACTCCCAGGGCTTCCAGTGCATTGGCATCATAGAGAGTTACAAGAGTTTAGGGTCATCCAGATACAGCTGGAACTCAGTGACCCACTTCCTCTGAGTTCACCTAAAGGAGATATAAATAGGGAGATGCGTCATCTTAATGGGGATCATTCTGATTAGGTATACAATCTTACTAAGCCAACTCAGAGGAGGTTGCAGTTCCTTGCCAATTTTTGATAGCATTGCGTTCATCCACTTTCTCAGGCAGGGACTATAGGAAATGAAGGTGAACTCGTGGAGATTTTGGAGAGAATTTAATGAAGAGGCTGTTTACCAAGGTATGGGCAGAATTAAGGGGAATCATGAGGGATGTTGAGGCACTCAGAGACTAGTAACAACATTAACTAAAAATAAAGCCATTAAGACCCTAGGCTTGAAATGGTGATAAGGAATTAGTGTCACCTGAGTGGCGGACGTGTGGCAGGGGGTTGCCTGGTTAGAGCACTAATGGTAGAGGCACTAGACACTGCCAGAACCACAGTGCAAGGGGGAGCAGGGAGGAAACCAGAGACTACATCCCCTAACCTCTCTTCCCACACTTCCAACCTTTCGCTGGTGCTTTCAATCGGCTAGACCCAACCAGAATGCAGAGATCTAAGAGCCTGGGTGGTGCAGTGTGTGTGGTGTGTGTGTGTGTGTGCGCATGCGTGTGTGCAGCCCACTGGGGCACAGAGCAGAGTTGATCAGCGAAGGGCAAGAAAAGATTGTTACCAGGTCAGAAAAAGGATAACCAGAGCACACACTGGTGCTTGTTCCACTCAGTTGGGGCCGGGATACAGGGTGTGTTTTATATGCAATATATTGAAAATTATAGTACCTGAGGCAGAAGAATCAACCCAGGATTGCTGTTTTCTGATGTGGACTGTGGATGTGAAAAACACTAGGCAATAGAGATATAATCATAGCTACATTTTTATTCTGTGAAAACTATATATTATGAGCATTTGTCTTTTTCATTTCTTAACAAATATTTTTCAAAACTTTCATTTTATTTTTGATTTGGGTATACTTTAAGTACATAGAACATGTTATTTATTTATTTATTTGTTTATTTACTGAGACAGGATCTCTCTCTGTCTCCGAGGCTGGAGTGCAATGTTGCAATCAGGGCTCACTGCAGCCTCGACCTCCTGGGCTCAACTGATCTTCGTACCACAGCCTCATGAGTAACTGGGACTACAGGTGTGTGCCACTATGACTTTTGACTGGCCAATTATTTACTTTTTGTAGAGATAGGTCTTGCTATATTGCCAAGCTGGTCTCAAACTCTTGGGCTCAAGCAATCCTCCCGCCTTGGCCTCCCAAAGTACTGGAATTGCACAGTGAGCCACTGTGTCTGGCCACAGAACTTTTAAATTGTGCATTAAATCTGTTTTACCTTCATGATTCTGCCTTTGATACCATGCTTAGAAAGAATTTTCCTACCCTTAAGGGTTTATAAATTTCACCTACATTTCTGGTACTTTGTGACTTTTCCAAAAAAACCCTATATTTATTGCACAATTTATTGAAATATCCACATATTTTAAAAATATATTCATCTATATGTGTTTATAAATATTTATATCATATTTCTTTTCCTTTATGTGCTTATTATTTTCCTGGGCCAGTGCACTACACTGTTTTAGTTATTACTTTGTTATTGTTAGGATACATTTTAAATCTAGCAAAGAAAAGTTTCTTTCTTTGTTCTTTTTCCTATTTAAAATTTTTATTTTGGAAAATTAACAGAGAAATAAATGCTTTAAAAGGCTAGAAAATACAGACAAGCAATAAAAACAAGGAGAATATCCATACTCCCATCAGCTTAGAGATATAATATCTAGTTGTACACTTTCCCAGTTTCCTTTTTTTGTTTATAGTCCCTGCAAATTTTATGCATACATATTTTTACTTATAGAAATTAAATTATCTTATATATACTGTTTTGAATCCTTTTATTTGTAATTTAATAGACGACCATGGGCATTTTTTCTATGCAACTACAGATAGTATCTCATGATATGAATGGTCCTGGATTTACTTACACATCCTCCTTTGGATGAGCAAGTAAGTGGTTTCCAATTTTTTCCACTATTATACAGAATACGCAAATGAATATCCTTGCACTTACATGATTTATTTCTTAAAATAAATTCTTATGAGTGCAATTCTTTTTATAAAAGAAAATTATATTTTTAACTTCTCTAAATGTTGCCAGGTTTCCCTCCAGAAACATTTTACTCCTACTATGTATGAAATTTCCCTTTCCTCCTTAGCCTTGCTAGCAATGGGGGGGGGGTTTATGCTTACATTTTAAATCTTGGCTAACCTGATAGGTAAAAATTAATATATCGCTATTATTTTGTTTGCATTATTTTGATCATGAATAAAGTTGAGCCCTTTATCCTATATGTATTTTATTTTAAATGAATTTATGTATGTATACAGCCCATTAAAATATATATCCTATATTTATATATTTATATTATATAATATGTAATATTTATATATATTTTAAATTGGATTTTTTTGTTTGTGAGTACTTTTTATATAATATAAATACTAGATTGAATTGAATAGATTTCAAGTATTTTTTAGTTACCTTACAGTTTCTTTCCAATATCTCATACAAATATTTAAAACATGTATGGGATCAAATATGTCACCATTTTCATTTTGAATCGTGTTCTTGGTGTCATCTGCAGAAAAATCTATCCAACCTAAAGTTCATTAAAACACATTTTCCAATTTTTCCCACGGACACATTTACATTTGGCTGTGGTATAAGCTAGATATCCAGTATTTTTTTTTACCAAAAGAATAGTCTAGTCTTACACCACTTTTGAATAACATCTTTTCTGCAATAACTTGAAATACTTCTTTTATCTTATTTTTAGCTCCTAGATATACTTTGGTCTGTTGTCTGGGTCTGTTCTGTTTCATTGATCTATACTTTTATTTCTAGGTGACTTCCACAAAAAGTTAATTTTTGAGGCAGTTCATTGGCTAGGCAGAAATCCTAAAATACAAACCCATTCTGATTGGTTAATTAGGATACTCCCAGCTGAGAGATGTTGAAGGGCTGCAGACACTGAATTCAGTTGTTATCCAAGTCAGCTGGAACATTCTGTAATCCTTTAGCAGGTGTGAGTGCAATCCCCTTGCAATCTCCTGTCTCCACTTTAAAGCCTTAGCCTTAATTACTTCATTTTCTTTCACACGGTGAGAAGCTTGTACCGCTTTTTCCTAGCTCCTGTAATACTTTTGTTTTTCCTGTAAAGAAACCTCTTGGCAATGGTGGAGATTTGCACAGGCCCTAAGAGCCATTGATAACGATATCATTATTCGACACTGTCGTTACAAATCTATGTACCTTCCTGACTTTCATCTCCACAGAAAGTAAATTTTTCACAGTGATAGACATTTGTAGTGCTTTTTAAAGGCACTGGTTCTGGTGGACACTGAGAGACAATTTTTATTTGCTGCACGTGGAAAGGACAACAACATACCTGGACAGAAATGCCTCGAGGATGTACTGAAGGCCCCTCTCACTTTTCACAGGTACTGAAGACAGATTTAACGGACATTTATTTTCCCCAAGGGTCAACTCTCAGTAGGTTGATAACCTTTGTTTTCCTTGTAAAGAGGCTTGTGAACATGATAGCGTTTATATCCTTAAAATTCTAGCAGACAAAGGCCATAAAGTTTCCAGAGAAAATTCCAATTTACCAAGGAATGTCAAATATTTCAGATACTTGATACTAAACTAGGGACCTCTCTTGGATCCTGATAGACTTAAAAGCTTGTATGGTTTGGATCCGTGTTCCCACCAAGTCTCATGTCAAATTGTAATCCCCAGTGTTGGTGGTAGGGCCTGGTGGGAGGTGATTGGATAACGGGGGTGGGATTTTTCATGACTGATTTAGCACCATCCTCTTGATACTGTCCTCGGGATAGTGAGTGAGTCTTCATAAGATATGGTTGTTTAAAAAAGTGTGTAGCACCTTCCTGTCCCCCACCCTCTTCCTCCTGCTCTGCCCAAGTGACATGTCTGCTCCCTCTTTGCCTTCAGCCATAACTGTAAGTTTCCTGGGGCCTCTCCAGAAGACAAGCAGATGCCGCTATGCTTCCTGAACAGCCCACAGAACTGTGAGTCAATTAAGCCTCTTTTCTTTGTAAATTACTCAGTCTCAGGTATTTCTTTGTAGCAATGTGAGAATGGACTAATACGAAAGCATTTTAAACTTTCCTCAACCTCAGACTAAAAGACAGTCACAAGGGTTTTTGGGCCTGGCAGAGTACTGTTGAAACTGGGTATCTAATTTTTCTTAATAGCTCTATCATTATATATCCTTCTGAAACTTAACAAGCTGGAGCCTCCGGACTGGGAAGAGAATGCTTGTAGAGTCTCCTTTCAATTAAAATAAGGACTTCTAAGTCATCCTGCCTTAGGGCACCCCTTATCAGCTCCCCTTCCTCCTTTCTAGTGAATGAAAGAGAAGAAAGTGCATTAGGGGTTCTTAACTGAAAACATGGAGATTAACACACACACCCCTTGGATGTTACAGCCAGCAATTAGATTCAGTAGCTAAGGGACTCCCTTCCTGCATGGGAGCTGTATCAGGCACTGTGGCTTTAACTAAATCTATGTTCCTCATGTTATAGAAGCTTTAATCAATTCTCATAATACTCAATATCTTTCTGCAAGCAGAGTCACTTTTTATGAGATCTTGCTGTTGACTTCTCATATTATTCTTTCTCATTTCAATAATCATAATCCAGCAAATTGCCTTCTCTTATTCAATGACGAGACACCTCATAACTGACTAAATTTAACTGACCAGCTACTAAAACCTAGAGCTGATTTACAAGAAACCCGTATACCAGATGCAGAATTTTCATAGTTTACTGATGGATCATACATGTCCGTTAATGAAGAAAAGTATCTTGCTGGATGTACTGTTATCATTCTTTTTAAGTAACTGAAGCAGCCCTGTTGTCAATGGCTACTTCAGCCCAGCAAGCAGAACTTTATCCCCTAACTGGGGCTTGTATCCTGGTGAAAGGTAAACCTGCAAATCTTCACAGAAACATATTATATGATTAAATGTATATGAAATGTCCAGAATAGCAATTGCTAATGTATTTTCTGTTTCTATGGACTTGTCTATTCTGGACATTTCATATATATAGGTAGTCATATAATATATTGGCTTTTTGTCTCTGTTTTCTTTCACTTAGCATAATGTTTTCAGGGTTCATCCATGTTGTAGCATGTGTCAATACTTCATTCCATTTTATGCCTGAATAATTGTCTACTATATATAGATATACTACATTTTTAAATATACAGGTTGAACATTTAGGTTGTTTCCATTTTTGGCTATTATGAATTATGCTGCTATGAATGTGCACACTTTTTGTGTGTGTGAACATGTATTTTTTAGTTGTTTTTGGTACAGTTCTATGGGTGGACCTGCTGGATCATATGGTAACTGTATGTTTAACTTTTTGAAGAATCGTCAAACTCTTTTCTAAAGTAACTACTTTAGCTATACCTCATAAATTTTGACAGCTATATTTTAATTTTAATTTATTTAAAATTATTTTCTAATTTCCCTTTGATTTCTTCTTTTACCCTTTGGTTATTTATGGGTGTGTTATTTACCACATATTTGTGAAATTCCAAATTTTTTTTCTGTTATTGGTTTCTCATAGTGTTCCATCGTGGTTATAGAACATATCTTGTAATTTCTATCTTTTTAAATTTACTGAGGTTTGTTTTTTGGTAAACCTATGGTCTTTCCTGGAGAATATTTTATGTCCACTTGAGGATAATGTATACTCTGTTATTGTTGGGTAGAATATTCTATAGATTTCTATTAGGTCTATTTGGTTGATAGTGTTGTTCAAGTCTTCTATTTCCTTGTTGATCTTCTGCCTAGATGTTTCATCCATTACTAAAAGTGGGGTATTAATATTTTCAACTATTATTATTGAATTGTCTATTTCTCCCTTCATTCTGTCAGTTTTTTCTTCATGTATTTTGGTGTCCTGCTGTTAGATGCATATATATTTGTAATTGCTTTATTTTCATCGTGGAATGACCCTTTTATTATAAAATATCCCTGTAGTCACATGCTTTGTTTTAGTCTGTGTCATCTGATATTAGTGTAGCCATTCCAATTTTATTGTGGTTACTGTTTGAATGATACATCCTTTTACTTTTAACGTATTTGAATTTTTGAATTTAAAGTGTATATCCTGTATATACACTGATATTTCTATATTATGGAATAATATATTTATTATATAAAGAACTGTTATAACAGAATAATAAAGGCAAATAACGCAATATAAAGATTGGCAAAGGATTTGAATAGTCATTTCTCTGAAGAAAGTATGCAAATGACCATTGGTCATTTGAAAAGCACATGAAAAGATACTAAACATCATTAAACATTAAGGAAATGGAAACCAAAACCACAATTAAAAGAGTTCCACTTCCATGACAGCATGGTGAGCTCTGAAGTCCCACCTTAAAGAACTAAAAATATATGTTCACACAAAAACTTGTACATAAACATTCATAGCAGCATCATCCATAATAGCCAAAAATGGAAACAATCCAAATGTTCAACTTAAAGATATATAAAGAAAATGTAGTATATCTATATAGTAGACAATTATTCAGGCATACAATGGAATGAAGTGCTGACACAAGCTACAACATGGATGAACTTTGAAAACATATATATCCTGTATATACATTTAAAGTATATACCCTGTAGATAGCATAGAGTTAGATCTTGTGTGTGTGTTTTTTTAAATGCAGTCTGTGATTTCCTGCCTTTTGATTGGATTGTTCAATACATTCACATTTAATGTTATTATTGACATAGTTGGATTTATGTCTGCCATTTTAGTTTTTGTATCCTGTATGTCTTGCATGTTTTTATCCTTCAATTTCTTCTTTACTGACTTATTTGTTAGGGCAAGAGTGATCAGGGCCTCATAATTCACGATAATAATATGCCTAAGGTAGATCCTCCATCCCACAAGTAGGGGCTTGGTGGAACAAGGGAGCCCTGACCTCTCAGCTGTAACTGACCTCTCACCTGAAACTTAGCTTCAGAACTAGGCATAGGATAAGAAATGCTGAAATCCCCCCTCTTCTAGGAGGTTAGCTCTCCAACTGGAAGCTGGGAGGAAAGAGAGCCCTGAGTTCTTGACCTCATCAGTTTGGAGTAGAGTTTGTCTCTTGATGAACTGGGATAGGGGAGGGAGGGAGCAGGTCTTGTTTTGAATACCACAGAATCTTACTGTTCTTATTAAGTTTTAGTAGATTTTCTTGAATAAATTTTTTAAAAAAACTTGTTGTATACCCTTAGAAGCATTTCCAGAGACTAAATCATTGTGTTTCCAAATACAATTTTCACTTGTTTTGCTCGGGGGTTGGACTTTGGAGCTCACCATGCTGTCATGCAGGAAGTGGAACTCTTTTCACTGTGGTTTTGATTTGCGTTTCCTTGATATTTAATGATGTTTAGTATATTTTCATGTGCTTTTCAAAGGACCAATGGTCATTTGCATGCTTTCTTCAGAGAAATGTCTATTCAAATCCTTTGCCCATTTTTAAATTGTGTTGTCTTTATTCTTCTGTTGTAATGGTTCTTTATATTTTCTAGATACTAAGCTCATCAGATATATGATTTGTAAATATTTTCTCCCTTTCTTTGGGTTGTATTTTCATTTTCTTGATAGTGTCCTTCAAACCACAAAAGTTTTTAGTTTTGATGCATTCCTATGTATATATTTGATTGTTTGTGCTGTAGGTATTATAGCTAAAAACCTGTTGTCTAATGCAAGATCACAAAGATTTACACCTATGCTTTCTTTTAAGATTTTATAGTGTTAGCTCTTACATTCAGATCTTTGATCCATTTTGAATTAATGTTTATATATAGTGTGAGGTAGAAGTCCCAGTTCATTATTTTGCATATGGACATTCAGTTATCTCAGCATCATTTGTTAAAATGTTGTAAAATTTTAATGAGAAATTATTTAAATATATAAGTGAAATAGATGATAATTATATTTGTAATATTGAATTTTCTCATGTGAAACACATTTCTATTTATTTAGGTACTTACATTTGTGTGTAAAGTGATATCATTTGTTTGCTTGCTTGTTTTAACAGAAGTTTTGAATATTTCTTTTGATGCTGCATTTGTTGTTATCATTAATGGGATCATTATGCATTATATTAAAATTTTCAAAATGTTTGTCTTTACCAAAGTCAAAATTGCACATTTTAATATTAATTTAATTTTAAAAGTTAAAAATTAGTGTATTCAGTCTCCTTTCTCCCTTTTTTCTCCTACCCCACAGTTGAGCATTTTAAATTATTTTTTAGTTGGATAATTTGTTTATCATTATATCTTTAAAAATCAAGCTTGCATTATTATTTCTTTTTTTTTTTTTTTTTTGGTTTAAGCACTATCCATTGACTTCCTGTTATAAAAGATGAGTATTTACCTCTCATTCCTCTCTCTTTCCCACTCTACACAGCTAATTTCTTGTTATTTCACTCCTAATATTGCTACTCTTTAATATAAATTAGATCAATATTTAGTTTTAAATTATCATGACAATGTATGTAATTCAGAACCGAGATATGTAGTAAATAATGACTCTTTTTTACCTGAGCCAACTTAACTAAATAACTTTCTATTTTTTCTATAGTTAAGTAGGAAACTATACTGCTAATTCAATCTCCAAATTCTTCTCCTCTGGTTGTTTAAAAATTCTCTCAGTATGTTACTTCATATCAGATATTCTATGAATTTCATCATTTTGGAGAGTCCCTGGTGTTTCCTTACTGGTGTTTCCTAACATGCTTCCACACCTATTTGATGCATAGCTATTATCTTGGAGTCTTCTTTACCTTTATCTTGGGAGTGTCTCTGGTATTTAATGTCTTTATTGCTTCACTCTCCTATTTTGATGAAGCACATTTTCAAGTTGTTTCCTGAGAAAGGGTGTGTGGGAGGTAAACATTTTCAGATCTTGTTCATCTAAAAAGCTCTGCATTCTACCCTGGCCCTTGGATGGTTATAAAATTCTAAGTTGGAAATCACTTTTTAAAAAAGCATTTTGAATTATTGTTCCATTGTCTTTCAGCTTCCCATATTGCTACTGAAAGTCTTAAAGCCATTCTCATTGCTAATAAAGCTTGTGGTATTTATTTTCCTCTCTCTGGAATCTAGCAAAATCCATTTTCTGCCTCCTTTGTCAGAAGTTTCACAATGATAAGCCTTGATATGCATTTGTTTCTAGACAGTCTGTTGGGCATTTACATAACCTTTAGTATCACATCCTTTATATACTTCAGAGAGAGATATTGAGAATGGATTTTGGCTTTGGTGTGAGAGAAGATGGATCATAGTTTAAATGTACTGCCTTTTTATCTTTTATAGCTGGGAGGCAGCAACTAAGATCTTAGATTGATAAATCAGGAAAATAGTGGTATAATAAATGTTGGAGTTTTTATGGTGGCCAATAGAAATTTTAAAGGGAGATAATGGTTTTCAATTTTTCTACTCTGCTGTACTTTTGGAACTTTTAAAGCCATATTCATGTTTTGGTTTTAGAATTAAAATATAAAACAATATATAAAAATAAAAGTGTATATGCTCTGTGATCCAGCAATTCTACTTTTAGCAGTCTTATTCCAGAAGCATTCATTATCCTACTGTTTATTATGGCAATATTTGTAACAAAAAATGTTAATAGGCAAATGATTAAATAAATTGTAGTACTTCTGTGCTATATTCTATGTCCCGTGTGGTTGGAATTATCTTAGTTCCTCTCCCTACCTTCCTGCTTTGGCCCTAGAAACAGAAATATTCACCCTTTAAGAAGTAGGGGAAAATGGTTTCCACACTTCTCTTCATCTCACAATGACATGTGAAGACATGAAAAGAGTGATGACTTATCTGATTGGTGAGATCAGAAGAGACTGGACTAGTCATTTATTTATTCTCTCTTCGAACCAGATAATGTATTCTGTGTTCTCTATAGTAAGACCTGCAGGGGAAGCCTTTGCACTGTCAAAAGACCTGCTAGGTCATAAATCCAGCTGGGCTTCTCTAATTCAGCTGCATAAAGAGTTCAGATTTAAATTTAAGTGAAAAAAGCAAGGCAGAGAAATATATATACATATAATATGTGTGCATATATATGTTATTTGTATATGTATATATACATATTTATAGATCATAGATCTCAAATATTTAAGAAAGATAATATTTGCATATCCTATATATGAAATGCAGAAGAGTTTCAGAAGTATGCATATCAAATTGTGAACTCTTGTTTCCATGAGGTAAGTAATAGCAGGGAGGAGTAAGAGGGATTTTTACTTTTTATCTCAATGTATTGTTAAAATATTTTAGTTTCTATAACCACATATTTATTGATGCAATTAAAAGTTTGAGGAACAAAAATACCCTGGAAGAGAATACATGAATATTTTCATGTATAGTGGTTCAATAGTGGTTATCTCCAGAAAGTGAGTTGTGGAAGTCTATATCATTTATTTGTTTAATATTTTAAAACAATAACCTTGTATTACTTGTTATGATTCATAAAAATAAGATAATATTAGTTTTTCATCATAGGCAATAGCTAGCCTCTCCCAGATCATGTTGCTTGATGGCTGTGATCATGGTCACAGCCTTTCTTTTTTTCTTACATTTTGAGAATGCTTTTATTGCTTCAAGTCTAAAATTAACATGTTTTCTCGTTTTTCTTCCTTAGTAGAATTAATTAATTGACATAGTTTCTATTCATATCTGACCCTCTGAAATAAACCTTACCTGGTCATGGTGTGGACTGTTTAATACATAATGTATTGAATTCAAATGGCACGTGTTGGACTTAGAACTTTTGGCTTTATCTTCACAACTGATATTGGGTTATAGTTTTTGTGTGTGTGTGTTTCTGGCTGTGACATCAAGGCTATGTTAGTCTCAAAGAACGAATTTGGAAATCTTGTAAATAAAACTTCCACATCTCCCACACTTCTGCTATTTTTAATAGTGATTATGCACAGTGCAAGTGCTAAGTACTGTGTTCTTATATACTTCTTAAAGTTTCAGTAGCTGCTATACAGCTTTTTTCTTATTTCTAATATTGTGTCTTTAAATTTTTGCATTTTTCTTAATTAGATTTTTTGGAGATTTTCCTGTTTAATGAGTTTTAAAATAGAAGGCCCAGCCTTTAGAACTAGTTGTATATCCTATTATACTCCTGTTTTTCTAACTAGTTTTCTTCTTCTTATCATAACTTCTTACTTTGACTTTTATATATTTTGTTCTTCTTGCTTTCTGAGTTGAATGTGCAGTTTGTTTTTCATTTCCTAGGTTTAATAATAAATATGCATAATAATAATAGCATTAATAATTATGCAGTTTTTCTGAGGACAGCTCTGATTGGAGAGGGCCCTTATTTCCATACTTATCTCCATGATACTTTGACTTAACCCTGGTAGGGCACAGGAATGGAGTGCAAGTTTCAGATACAACTTGTGTGACTTTTATGTTCATGGAAGAATTATTGTTAAGTGTGCTTTTTTCCTTTTCTTCTTATTGGAAATCTATGTGACATTTTTATTTTAAAAATAGGGTTTTTCTGCTTAAAAAGGCTTAACACTGTTGACTGTGTTTATATTTACTCTATTTAACTTTATTTTCTTCACACTGCATTGACTTTCTGTGAGGAGATGAGTCACATAAAATTCTATCATTCCTGTCTGCTTCTGCCTAGAGCACTCTAAATGCATGGTGGCTACCATCATTATTACTGCACCCCTTCCTAGCCTCACCTCTTGCTCAATTCTGTTCAAGAGGATTTCAAAGGAAGTCAGAAATAAGAATAGTATTCAGCATGACTCACAGAGCAGTGCTGCAGAAATAGAGGTGGATGGACACATTCTATTTTTTCATTGGTACAGGGACTAGGTAAGGCTAATTACTGAAGACACAGAAATATAAATACTAAATTTTATGATAAGAAAATAAAACATACTAGAAACAACATACATTTTATTTATAAAAATCCAAAACATTGTTAAATGAAACAATACATGAAAGATAAAAATAAAAAATCTTGGCCGGGTGTGGTGGCTCAAGCCTGTAATCCCAGCACTTTGGGAGGCCGAGGTGGGCAGATCACGAGGTCAGGAGATCGAGACCATCCTGGCTAATACTGTGAAACCCCGTCTCTACTAAAAATACAAAATAATTAGCTGGGCGTGGTGGCAGGCGCCTGTAGTCCTAGCTACTCGGGAGGCCAAGGCAGGAGAATGGTGTGAACCCAGGAGGTGGAACTTGCAGTGAGCCAAGATCACACCACTGCACTCCAGCCTGGGCAACAGAGCAAGACTCTGTCTCAAAAAAAAAAAAAAAAAAAAAAAAAAAAAATCTTAGTGGGGAGATGGTAGATGAAATGAAATGGTGAAATGACTGGTTGACTAAAACAGAGAAAGAATAATAAAAGCAATCTAAAAAGATCATAATTAAACTTATTTAATTATGTGAAAGTGAAACATGGGTATTGCATATTATTGAATTAGTGCTAGATACACAAAGTTGAGAGACTCTTCCACAATGCAGAAAGTAATATGAGCAAAAAATGATGAAAGAGAGATGATGAAAAATAAGGAGTACAGAGTCTGAAGATCCAACATACAGATAATAGGCATCTCTGAGGAAGCATTTATTTACTGTGAATCAGAAGCCATAATAGATTAAAGAAAATTTCATAAACTAAAAAAATGTGATTCTATAGAATGAGAATATTCCCTGTATTTCAGGCAAAAATAATAATGAGAAGAGACCCACATGGAGGCAGATTGGTGAAGTTTTTGAATTTCACAAGGGACAGAAATCAAATAGTTTCAAGAAGTCTAAAGAACTTTGTGGGAAATGTTTATGAGCCAGCAATTTATGTGATAAGAGAATAGATATAGTCTCACTTAAATACGGCCTCTGAAAATGAATTATTTATGCACATTTCATTGAAAGTTATTCAAAGACATAATTATTTTGGCAAGAAATGAACCAAATATTAAATCAAGAATGAGGAGATACAGAGTTGAAAAAACTGAACTTGAACACTGATAGTTAAATTATACTGAGGTCTCTCATTTAATGCATATTTGTACCACGTTTTACAGAATGGGACCTTAAAATAATGTACATCTATTTTTTTCACATGTAATGACTTCATATATTTTTAAGCACAAAGAAGAAACTAAACAAAGAACAACTAACAAAGAAGAAATAAAATCTTAGTCTTAACCCCTCACCACAAGGCTTTTGGGTTCATGGCCTCTTGCAGAAGAATACACAACAATAACAGCTGTGCTATTGTCCATGTAGTGTTGAAATCTGCACACACATATTATGCTTGTTCCTTCTGAAACAAATAGATGGGCCAAAAGGTCCTGTGACTCATCCAACTGCTGGACCAAAGATTTCCACCTCCATTGATTCTCTTCTCCAAACATCTTTGTGGGAAACCACACTGGATGCGGAATGGGAGTGAGGCTCACATGATAAGAGAATTTGTAGATGGTTTGTTCTTTTTTGAATAAATTGTCCCTTGACCTAAATTGTCATAGAGGTTCTCAAGACAGTAATAAATGTTGGAGCAAAATTGAAATCTAGAGTAAATGTTCCTGAAATTTTTTTTCTTTTAGAAGGAAAGAACAGAACAGTTAGGGGAATCAATGATACAAATAAATAAAATAAATGTTTCCTGAGCTAATGAAAACTTCGTATCTTCAGGTTAGAAAGGCTCATTGAATGTCAGACAAAAACAAAATTAAAGAAAATATTTAGAAAAAAGGATTGACTCAAGAAAGTGAAAGATGTGGTAGAAAGAAAAGGTGATAAATAATAACTCCTCTGAAATAATTGTTTAAATAATTCCTGTTCATGTGATTTTGAAATAACATATAGGTTCATAAGTGATTTTTGTCATTGTTGTTGGGATGGAGTCTCATTCTGTCACCCAGGCTGGAGTGCAGTGGTGCAGTCTTGGCTCACTGCAACCTCTGCCTCCCAGGTTCAAACAATTCTCCTGCCTCAGCCTCCTGAGTAACTTGGACTACAGGTGCGCAGCACAACACCTGGCTAAGTTTTGTATTTTTAGTAGAGATGGGGTTTCACCTCATTAGCCAGGCTGGTCTTGAACTCCTGACTTCAGGTAATCCACCCACCTAGGCCTCCCAAACTGCTGGGATTACAAGCGTGAGCCACTGTGCCCAGCCCATCTGTGATTTTTAAAAGAGAAGATGCATTGTTAAAAAAAATTGTGATATGAATCTAAAATATTCAGATCATTGGGACTTGGGGTTATAGGGAGATAAGTGAGGAGGCAAACGTGTGATAAACTGTTTCTTTTATAGGGTGTATGTAAAAATCATGATGTATTCTGGAAAGTGATTCAAATTCAAATGCAATGTTTAAAATCACAGGCTGGGTGAGGTGTCTTACGCCTGTAACCCCAGCACTTTAGGAGGCTGAGGCAGGAGGATCGCTGGAACCCAGAAGTTCAAGACCAGGCAGGGTGACATAGTGAGACCCTATCTCTAAAAATTTTTTTGTTTGTTTGTTTTTTTGAGACAGAGTCTCACTCTGTCACCCAGGCTGGAGTGCAGTGGCGCGATCTCGGCTCACTGCAAGCTCCGCCTCCCGGGTTCAGGCCATTCTCCTGCCTCAGCCTCCCGAGTAGCTGGGACTACAGGTGCCCGCCACCACATCCGGCTAATTTTTTTTTGTATTTTTAGTAGAGACGAGGTTTCACCATGCTAGCCAGGATGTTCTTGATCTCCTGACCTCATGATCTGCCCGCCTCGGCCTCCCAGTGTGCTGGGATTACAGGCGTGAGCCACCGTGCCCAGCCAAAAATTTTTAAAATTACCTAGGAGTGGTGGCGCGCGTCTGTAGTCCCAGCTACTCAGGAGGCTGAGGTGAGAGGATCACTTGAACCTGTGAGGTTGAATCTGCAGTGAGCCATGATTATACCACTGCACTCTAGCCTGGGTGACACCCTTTTTCAAAAAAAATCACAGATAACCAGTAACTAGCAAGTAAAATATGAAGGAAAGATAATCACTAGCGCAAAGTTAGAAAAAAGAAAAAGCAAAAAAGTGTAAAATTAGGAAAATGAAAACATACTAATAGAAAAATATGATGATAAAGTTTGACCAAATGCCATATTTATAAAAATAAATGTGAATAATTTAGATTTGAATTAAAAGATGAATATTCTCAAATTATATCAAAAGTAAAATTTAAATATAAGGTGTTTACAAGGGACTCAACTAAAGCAAAATAACTGATAAATTTTAGCAATAAAGTGATGGCAAAAATATAGCATGTAAGTAATTCATAATTTTTTTTAAAACCTGGCTGGGCGCGCTGGCTCACGCCTGTAATCCCAGCACTTTGGGAGGCTGAGGCGGGCGGGTCATGAGGTCAGGAGATCGAGTCTGTCCTGGCTAACATGGTGAAACCCCATCTCTACTAAAAATACAAAATATTAGCTGGGCGTGGTGGCAGGGGCCTGTAGTCCTAGCTACTCGGGAGGTTGAGGCAGGAGAATCCCTTGAACCCGGGAGGCGGAGGTTGCAGCAAGCTATATTGCACCACTGCACTCGAGCCTGGCGACAGAGCAAGACTGTCTCCAAAAAAAAAAAAAAAAAAAAAAAAATCCATGTCTCTCCATCCCATCATTATTGTTCATCCCATCATCTTGCTCTTGTATGACTGCTACGTGAGCATAACTGTAATAATTCTTTTTGCCTTTAGTCTTATCTCTGTCTTGTTCACCTCCCACACTGGTCAGACTAACCTTTCTAAAATGCATTTTTGTCTGTTAGTCCTCTGCTTGAAAGTCTAGTAAATTCACATTGCTTTTAGGATAAAGTCCAAACTCCTTAATATGGCCTTGCATCATCTGTCCTTCACAGCATCTATAGCCTCAATTCCTGCCATTCCCTAGTTTGTACTTTCTTTTTTTTTTTTTATTATACTTTAAGTTTTAGGGTACATGTGCACATTGTGCAGGTTAGTTACATATGTATACATGTGCCATGCTGGTGCACTGCACCCACTAACTCGTCATCTAGCATTAGGTATATCTCCCAATGCTATCCCTCCCCCCTCCCCCCACCCCACAACAGTCCCCAGAGTGTGATATTCCCCTTCCTGTGTCCATGTGATCTCATTGTTCAATTCCCACCTATGAGTGAGAATATGCGGTGTTTGGTTTTTTGTTCTTGCGATAGTTTACTGAGAATGATGGTTTCCAATTTCATCCATGTCCCTACAAAGGACATGAACTCATCCTTTTTTATGGCTGCATAGTGTTCCATGGTGTATATGTGCCACATTTTCTTAATCCAGTCTATCATTGTTGGATATTTGGGTTGGTTCCAAGTCTTTGCTATTGTGAATAATGCCACAATAAACATACGTGTGCATGTGTCTTTATAGCAGCATGATTTATAGTCCTTTGGGTATATACCCAGTAATGGGATGGCTGGGTCAAATGGTATTTCCAGTTCTAGATCCCTGAGGAATCGCCACACTGACTTCCACAATGGTTGAACTAGTTTACAGTCCCACCAACAGTGTAAAAGTGTTCCTATTTCTCCACATCCTCTCCAGCACCTGTTGTTTCCTGATTTTTTAATGATTGCCATTCTAACTGGTGTGAGATGGTATCTCATTGTGGTTTTGATTTGCATTTATCTGATGGCCAGTGATGATGAGCATTTTTTCATGTGTTTTTTGGCTGCATAAATGTCTTCCTTTGAGAAGTGTCTGTTCACGTCCTTCACCCACTTTTTGATGGGGTTGTTTGTTTTTTTCTTGTAAATTTGTTTGAGTTCATTGTAGATTCTGGATATTAGCCCTTTGTCAGATGAGTAGGTTGCGAAAATTTTCTCCCATTTTGTAGGTTGCCTGTTCACTCTGATGGTAGTTTCTTTTGCTGTGCAGAAGCTCTTTAGTTTAATTAGATCCCATTTGTCAATTTTGTCTTTTGTTGCCATTGCTTTTGGTGTTTTAGACATGAAGTCCTTGCCCATGCCTATGTCCTGAATGGTAATGCCTAGGTTTTCTTCTAGGGTTTTTATGGTTTTAGGTCTAACCTTTAAGTCTTTAATCCATCTTGAATTGATTTTTGTATAAGGTGTAAGGAAGGGATCCAGTTTCAGCTTTCTACATATGTATGGCTAGCCAGTTTTCCCAGCACCATTTATTAAATAGGGAATCCTTTCCCCATTGCTTGTTTTTCTCAGGTTTGTCAAAGATCAGATAGTTGTAGATATGTGGCGTTATTTCTGAGGGCTCTGTTCTGTTCCATTGATCTATATCTCTGTTTTGGTACCAGTACCATGCTGTTTTGGTTACTGTAGCCTTGTAGTATAGTTTGAAGTCAGGTAGTGTGATGCCTCCAGCATTGTTCTTTTGGCTTAGGATTGACTTGGTGATGCGGTCTCTTTTTTTGGTTCCATATGAACTTTAAAGTAGTTTTTTCCAATTCTGTGAAGAAAGTCATTGGTAGCTTGATGGGGATGGCATTGAATCTATAAATTACCTTGGGCAGTATGACCATTTTCATCATATTGATTCTTCCTACCCATGCGCATGGAATGTTCTTCCGTTTGTTTATATCCTCTTTTATTTCCTTGAGCAGTGGTTTGTAGTTCTCCTTGAAGAGGTCCTTCTAGTCCCTTGTAAGTTGGATTCCTAGGTATTTTATTCTCTTTGAAGCAGTTGTGAATGGGAGTTCACTCATGATTTGGCTCTCTGTTTGTCTGTTGCTGGTGTATAAGAATGCTTGTGATTTTTGTACATTGATTTTGTATCCTGAGACTTTGCTGAAGTTGCTTATCAGCTTAAGGAGATTTTGGGCTGAGACAATGGGGTTTTCTAGATATACAATCATGTCATCTGCAAACAGGGACAATTTGACTTCCTCTTTTCCTAATTGAATACCTTTTATTTCCTTCTCCTGCCTGATTGCCCTGGCCAGAACTTCCAACACTATGTTGAATAGGAGTGGTGGGAGAGGGCATCCCTGTCTTGTGCCCGTTTTCAAAGGGAATGCTTCCAGTTTTTGCCCATTCAGTATGATATTGGCTGTGGGTTTGTCATAGATAGCTCTTATTATTTTGAAATACGTCCCATCAATACCTAATTTATTGAGAGTTTTTAGCATGAAGTGTTGTTGAATTTTGTCAAAGGCTTTTTCTGCATCTATTGAGATAATCATGTGGTTTTTGTCCTTGGCTCTGTTTATATGCTGGATTACATTTATTGATTTGCGTCTATTGAACCAGCCTTGCATCCCAGGGATGAAGCCCACTGGATCATGGTGAATAAGCTTTTTGATGTGCTGCTGGATTCGTTTTGCCAGTATTTTATTGAGGATTTTTGCATCAATGTTCATCAAGGATATTGGTCTAAAATTCTCTTTTTTTGTTGTGTCTCTGCCAGGTTTTGGTATCAGAATGATGCTGGCCTCATAAAATGAGTTAGGGAGGATTCCCTCTTTTTCTATTGATTGGAATAGTTTCAGAAGGAATGGTACCAGTTCCTCTGTGTACTTCTGGTAGAATTCGGCTGTGAATCCATCTGGTCCTGGACTCTTTTTGGTTGGTAAGCTATTGATTATTGCCACAATTTCAGCTCCTGTTATTGGTCTATTCAGAGATTCAACTTCTTCCTGGTTTAGTCTTGGGAGAGTGTATGTGTCGAGGAATTTATCCATTTCTTCTAGATTTTCTAGTTTATTTGCGTAGAGGTGTTTGTAGTATTCTCTGATAGTAGTTTGTATTTCTGTGGAATCGGTGGTGATATCCCCTGTATCATTTTTTATTGCGTGTATTTGATTCTTCTCTCTTTTTCTCTTTATTAGGTTTGCTAGCGGTCTATCAATTTTGTTAATCCTTTCAAATAACCAGCTCCTGGATTCATTAATTTTTTGAAGGGTTTTTTGTGTCTCTATTTCCTTCAGTTCTGCTCTGATTTTAGTTATTTCTTGCCTTCTGCTAGCTTTTGAATGTGTTTGCTCTTGCTTTTCTAGTTCTTTTAATTGTGATGTTAGGGTGTCAATTTTGGATCTTTCCTGCTTTCTCCTGTGGGCATTTAGTGCTATAAATTTCCCTCTACACACTGCTTTGAATGCGTCCCAGAGATTCTGGTATGTTGTGTCTTTGTTCTCGTTGGTTTCAAAGAACATCTTTATTTCTGCCTTCATTTCGTTATGTACCAAGTAGTCATTCAGGAGCAGGTTGTTCAGTTTCCATGTAGTTGAGTGGTTTTGAGTGAGATTCTTAATCCTGAGTTCTAGTTTGATTGCACTGTGGTCTGAGAGATAGTTTGTTATAATTTCTGTTCTTTTACATTTGCTGAGGAGAGCTTTACTTCCAACTATGTGGTCAATTTTGGAATAGGTGTGGTGTGGTGCTGAAAAAAATGTATATTCTGTTGATTTGGGGTGGAGAGTTCTGTAGATGTCTATTAGGTCCACTTAGTGCAGAGCTGAGTTCAATTCCTGGGTATCCTTGTTGACTTTCTGTCTCATTGATCTGTCTAATGTTGACAGTGGGGTGTTAAAGTCTCCCATCATTAATGTGTGGGAGTCTAAGTCTCTTTGTAGGTCACTCAGGACTTGCTTTATGAATCTTGGTGCTCCTGTATTGGGTGCATATATATTTAGGATAGTTAGCTCTTCTTGTTGAATTGATCCCTTTACCATTATGTAATGGCCTTCTTTGTCTCTTTTGATCTTTGTTGGTTTAATGTCTGTTTTATCAGAGACTAGTATTGCAACCCCTGCCTTTTTTTGTTTTCCATTTGCTTGGTAGATCTTCCTCCATCCTTTTATTTTGAGCCTATGTGTGTCTCTGAACGTGAGATGGGTTTCCTGAATACAGCACACTGATGGGTCTTGACTCTTTATCCAATTTGCCAGTCTGTGTCTTTTAATTGGAGCATTTAGTCCATTTACAGTTAAAGTTAATACTGTTATGTGTGAATTTGATCCTGTCATTATGATGTTAGCTGGTTATTTTGCTCGTTAGTTGATGCAGTTTCTTCCTAGTCTTGATGGTCTTCACATTTTGGCATGATTTTGCAGCGGCTGGTACCGGTTGTTCCTTTCCATGTTTAGCGCTTCCTTCAGGAGCTCTTTTAGGGCAGGCCTAGTGGTGACAAAATGTCTCAGCATTTGCTTGTCTGCAAAGTATTTTATTTCTCCTTCGCTTATGAAGCTTAGTTTGGTTGGATATGAAATTCTGGGTTGAAAATTCTTGTCTTTAAGAATGTTGAATATTGGCCCCCACTCTCTTCTGGCTTGTAGGGTTTCTGCCGAGAGATCCGCTGTTAGTCTGATGGGCTTCCCTTTGAGGGTAACCCGACCTTTCTCTCTGGCTGCCCTTAACATTTTTTCCTTCATTTCAACTTTGGTGAATCTGACAATTATGTGTCTTGGAGTTGCTCTTCTCTAGGAGTATCTTTGTGGCATTCTCTGTATTTCCTGAATCTGAACGTTGGCCTGCCTTGCTAGATTGGGGAAGTTCTCCTGGGTAATATCCTGAAGAGTGTTTTCCAACTTGGTTCCATTCTCCCCATCACTTTCAGGTACACCTATCAGACGTAGATTTGGTCTTTTCACATAGTCCCATATTTCTTGGAGGCTTTGTTCATTTCTTTTTATTCTTTTTTCTCTAAACTTCCCTTCTCGCTTCATTTCATTCATTTCATCTTCCATCACTGATACCCTTTCTTCCAGTTGATTGCATTGACTCCTGAGGCTTCTGCATTCTTCATGTAGTTCTCGAGCCTTGGTTTTCAGCTCCATCAGCTCCTTTAAGCACTTCTCTGTATTGGTTATTCTAGTTATACATTCTTCTAAATTTTTTTCAAAGTTTTCAACTTCTTTGCCTTTGGTTTGAATGTCCTCCCGTAGCTCAGAGTAATTTGATCGTCTGAAGCCTTCTTCTCTCAGCTCGTCAAAGTCATTCTCCATCCAGCTTTGTTCCGTTGCTGGTGAGGAACTGCGTTCCTTTGGAGGAGGAGAGACACTCTGCGTTTTAGAGTTTCCAGTTTTTCTGTTCTGTTTTTTCCCCATCTTTGTGGTTTTATCTACTTTTGGTCTTTGATGATGGTGATGTACAGATGGGTTTTTGGTGTGGATGTCCTTTCTGTTTGTTAGTTTTCCTTCTAACAGACAGGACCCTCAGCTGCAGGTCTGTTGGAATACCCTGCAGTGTGAGGTGTCAGTGTGCCCCTGCTTTGGAGTGCCTCCCAGTTAGGCTGCTCGGGGGGTCAGGGGTCAGGGACCCACTTGAGGAGGCAGTCTGCCCGTTCTCAGATCTCCAGCTGCGTGCTGGGAGAACCACTGCTCTCTTCAAAGCTGTCAGACAGGGACATTTAGGTCTGCAGAGGTTACTGCTGTCTTTTTGTTTGTCTGTGCCCTGTCCCCAGAGGTGGAGCCTACAGAGGCAGGCAGGCCTCCTTGAGCTGTGGTGGGCTCCGCCCAGTTGGAACTTCCAGGCTGCTTTGTTTACCTAATCAAGCCTGGGCAATGGCGGGCGCCCCTCCCCCAGCCTTGCTGCCGCCTTGCAGTTTGATCTCAGACTGCTGTGCTAGCAATCAGAGACTCCGTGGGCGTATGACCCTCCAAGCCAGGTACGGGATATAATCTCGTGGTGCACCGTTTTTTAAGCCCGTCGGAAAAGCGCAGTATTTGGGTGGGAGTGACCCGATTTTCCAGGTACCGTCCGTCACCCCTTTCTTTGACTCAGAAAGGGAACTCCCTGACCCCTTGCGCTTCCCAAGTGAAGCAATGCCTCGACCTGCTTCGGCTCGCGCACGGTGCGCGCACCCACTGACCTGCGCCCACTGTCTGGCACTCCCTAGTGAGATGAACCCGGTACCTCAGATGGAAATGCAGAAATCACCGTCTTCTGTGTCGCTCATGCTGGGAGCTGTAGACGGGAACTGTTCCTATTCAGCCATCTTGGCTCCTCCCCCTAGTTTGTACTTTCTAATTCAGCACCTTTCTCCTCGATTTTCAGTTCTTCCAGTACATATTCTCTGTCATCTGGGCCCCTCAGCCTGCTGTTCCCTCTGCTTAAAACACTCTTTCTACTGGGCTTGTAATTTCAGGCTGATGTTCCTTTTATAATTAAGAAAAGGTATGCAAATAAAACTATCTACTGAGAGCGAAAATAACCTGTGAGTTACCTGGAGTTTACAGAGGCTAGAAAGAATAGAATGCACTGTGGCCACAGTGCTCATGTTTTTCAAGAGGGTATCAGTGCTGTGACTTTTCGAATAATATCCTCATCATTTCCTCAGTAACAGGATTAGTATTAAATCCCAGAGGAAAGTTGCAAGAACCCATTTTCTCAAGTTATGTAAAACTCAGATTCAACAAACTCCCCCCATTTATACCACTGTGTGAACCTGATAACAACACATTCAAGATAGCAAAAACATGGAAGTAAGTGGCTTCTAGCTTCAATGCCACAGATATTTTTTAAATAGTTATTTTAAAATGATAATTTGTAGGTAGTATATTTAATTCAAGGAAGTCTAAAATATTAGACTTGAAATCATCAGGAGTGTGTAATACATCGGACAGTTTAGTTCAACTCAACTTTTAAATCAATATTTTAAAATCAAATTTTATTCTAATGTGTTTGAATTCTGCAAAGTTTTTTCAGGTATCAAAACTAGGAACTTTTTTAAATTTTACTTTAAGTTCTGGTATACATGTGCAGAATGTGCAGTTTTGTTACATAGGTATACATGTGCCATGGTGGTTTGCTGCACCCATCAACCCGTCATCTAGGTTTGAAGCCCCCCATGCATTAGGTATTTGCCCTAGTGCTCTCCCTCCCCTTGCCCCCACCCCCAGTAGGCCCTGGTGTGTGATGTTCCCCTCCCTGTGTCCATGTGTTCTCATTGTTCAACTCCCATTTATGGGTGAGAACATGCAGTGTTTGGTTTTCTGTTCCTGTGTTAGTTTGCTGAGGATGATGGTTTCCAGCTTCATCCATGTCTCTGCAAAGGACATGAACTCATTCTTCACTGGTCATTAGAGAAAGCAAATCAAAACCACAATGAGATACCATCTCACGCCAGTTAGAAGGCAATCGTTAAAAACTCAGGAAACAACAGATGCTGGCAAGACTGTGGAGAAATAGGAATGCTTTTACACTGTTGGTGGGAGTGTAAATTAGTTCAACCATTGTGGAAGACAGTGTGATGATTTCCTCAAGGATCTAGAACCAGAAATACCATTTGACCCAGCAATCCCATTACTGGGTATGTACTCAAAGGATTATAAATCATGCTACTATAAAGACACATTCCCACGTATGTTTATTGTGGAACATTATTTTTTGAATGTTTTAAAGGCTCTTAAGTAAAATGTTTTTTCTTAGTGTGATGTTTATTGTAGGGGCTTATGAATTGTTTGTTGCTCCTTTACTAATTAAGCAAAGTTTGTAAGGTTTTAGAGGCAGTTCCTTTCTTTTATTTCTATTCCAGGATTTTAGCAATTGTTAGGTTCTCATCTATCACATCTCAAAAGTTAGTTTTCACTCCAAAACTGAGAGGTTCAAATAGGATTTAAATTGTCAAAAAAAATTGTGTCTACTGTGGTGTTTTTTGCATCATGACAGTAATTTGACTCTGCAGCTTAAGAATATGGAGAATATTTTAAAAAAAAGGATATGGAGAATATGGAAGTGACAAGAATTGTAGGGTTCAGACATCTACTCTGATACAAATTATTTACCAGCTGGCTCAGGAAAGGTGAGCCAGTGCTTGTCCCTTGGAGACTCAGGCGTGTATTTGGAAGAGAATATGTAAAGCCTGAAGGAAATCTGCAGATGTGCTTTATTTAATTCCTTGTTATATTTATGTACCTAAGAACACTCTCGACAAAAGCAAGCTAGGCTTCTGGTTCAGATGGCAGAGTGTGAAAAGCTTTGCTGTGCATTGGTCCCTGTTGCAAACAGGCTGATGCCTAGGCCAGCCCTGTCAGCAATCCAAGCCCAGCTCTGGGCTTTTCACTGGTGAGGACAGTGGGGAGCAGTACAATCCCTGTGGACATAGGAACAATAGGCCACAGCCCACCGCAGTGCTCCAGGGAAGCAATTTGGAGCCTGAATCTAGCCCCATCATTTAGACATACACCATGAATCAGAGGGCATTTGTGCTATTATTAGTCCACACTCCTATAACAGGTCAGCCAGTTCACTATATTTCCCATTCTTTCTTTTTTTTATTCTCTTAAAACATATTTAGTTGACAAATAAAAATTTGTCAAGGAGTACAATGTAATAACTTGATATAAGTATACACTGTGTAATGAAGTACAGTGAAAAACTTCAGTGAAGAAAGCTGTAAAACCTCTTATGGCCTCTTGTGCAGATCTTGCAGCGTCTGCACCTGTTAAACCTCTGCCAGTCTCCTTCCTGGGTCTGAATCTGGCCTCCACCATTTCCACACTATGTGATCCAGGATCCATCATTTCGTTTCTTTAAGCTCCACTTTACTTATCTGTGTTATGGTTAATCAGAACGGCTTTTGCTAAGTAATGATGAAGTGAGATATACTCATGTATGCAAAGTGCTTAGAGCAGGGCCTAAAGGGTAGTAAGAGCCCAATGAATGTTAAGCGCAGGGTTTAAGACCCTTTGTAGAGGCCCAGCTCAATATCCTGCGATGTTCTGAGCAGGTTCCTTAGCGTATTCTTTATGTCAGTTAAGTCCAAAACGTGATAAGGGAACTAACTATGTCAGTGGCAAGTCCAGACAAGAAGGACAGAGATTTGTGAATTCCTAGGCGCCAACTGGATTCTGACAACCAGACAAGTGAGAACAGGAGGACTCAGCTACTTTCTTTTTCTTGAGGACCGGAAATCAGGGAAGATCTCTCTAAAACAGTAGCATTCAAATGCCTGTGCAGAATGCGGACTCCTTAAAGGGTGAAGTGAGTTGCTCAGAAACATGCAGCTAGGAGATGGGTAAAAGAGGTCTCCTGACTCCCATTTTGGTGTTTCTTGTGTTGATCAAACTGCCTCTATTAGAGCCTTCTTGGAATCTCCAGAAAATACTTTGTACAGAGCATATATACTGATCATAATAAGAAATCATCTGGAACTACATTCTTCCATTAAAAAAATTTTGAATGGCTGCTATGTTTAAGGCTCTGTGTTGGGCACTTAAAGACCCAGCATCTTTCTGTTAGCCATCTCTTCTTTGGGCCAACAGCCTCCTAGTCAGACAGGTCTAAAACTCCAGCATCAACTTTGACACCTGTATTGGCTCATTGTCTGTCTCTTTCACTAGCATTATTCGCTCACTATACATTTAGATTATGGTAGCAACCTTTCAATTTGGCCCCTGCCTGTAGGCTTGACATTTGTCACTAGGAGGGTCCCTAGTTTGGAGTTAATATAGGGTATATATAACTTTGGAGTTAATATAGGGTAAAATCTCAACTGAAGATTTAAGACTATTTCCCAAATGGGATCGATTTCTTAATTTCTGTTTATTTATAAATAAAGAATCAGTAAAAAGCGTCTGGGATTCTATCACCCAGAAATAACCAACACCAACCACTACCAGCAATCTCTGTATCTTTACATATTTCACATATGTAATTAAAAAAATCATACACATAATTTGAAATCATTTGCACATATATCATGAGCATTTTCATAACAATAAATAAATCAATTGATGCATTACATGCTATTATGTCACTAATCCTTAATTTAATCAATCCTCCATTGATTTTTTTATATTAATACTGTTTTTTTACTATTATAATCACTAACAGTAAATGCTAAATACACAGATCTTCATGAATTTGTTGGAGTACTTTCATCAAACAAATTATTGTAAAGGAAATTGCTAGATCAAAGGATGCTTAATTTTAAGGCTTTTGATGAGTGTTGTCAAAGTGCCCTCTGGAAATTTTATGCCAGTTTACACTGTGTTTCCTCTTTCTCTACAGTGTCATCCTGGTTATTAATATTTGTTAACATCTTTGCCAGTCTGAAAGGGGAAAATGATATTATGTTAATTTGTATTTTATTGATTACGAGAGTGAAATATTTTGCATATCAAAGGCCATTTATATTTCCTATTTTGTGAGTTATCCATTCATATCTTGTAACTATACTTTCACTGATTTATCTTATTTGTCTGTATTAATTCTGTCATATATAGTGAATATTTTCCCATTTAATTTTTTTTTACTAATTATTGTAATAAACATTAAAATTTTTGATTTCATCAAATCTTTCACACTTTTTATTTGCAACTTCTGAACTTAATTCTTTTCTTGGAAAAGCTTTTCTTATTCCAAGCCTAGCAAATATTCAGCAATATTTTATTCAAGCGCTTTTAAGGTTTCATTTGTTACCTTAAGATCTGATCAATGTTGAATTTATTTTGATATAGAGTATAAGAAAAAGTAACTGTGTTGTGGCTTGCATTTTCTCTAATTTACGATAAATCCATCTTTTCCCTCACTGATCTGGAATGGTGATATTATTATATGTTATACATACATGAATCTACTGAGGATCTTTGATGTGAAGAGGTTAGATGCAGAGATACCAGGGAGGTCCAGGTGCAAAGTAATGATAAAGCTGCTAGTAGCAATGAAAAGGAAAAGGATTAGTGCAAGAAATCTTGCATGAATGCATAGATGAATAATAGATAAGTCTTGTCTCCTCTTTGAAATATGAGGTAATAAGGAGAAACTACATAGTTTTTGAACTAGATGACTGGGGAAAATTGTCATGTACAAAAATAGGGAAAGCAGGAGTAGTTGGCTGTGAAGTAGAAGATGATGATCAATTTAATCATTAGGATTTTGAGTTTGTGGTCCCAATAGAGTATCTGTGGTGTGGTGGGGAGAGAGGGAGGGAGGGAGGGAAGAAGGTGGGGGGGGGGGGAGAGAGAGAGAGAGAGAGAGAGAGAGAGAGAGAGAGAGAGAGAAGCAGGGAGCAGATTAAGTCTAGATTCAGTTAACTTTTGTTACATATCTACTGTAACTACTTTATTTACTCTAACAGGCAACACTGCATTTTCCTGGATGGTTCATCAATACTTGAGAGATTTTACTCTTTCTCAAAAGAGTAAAGCAATAGCCAGCATCTCCACAGAATCTCAGAATAGCACATCATCTTCTCCCCGGCCCTCTTCCCTGCCCCCTTTTCTCTCCTCCTACCCAGCCTTGGATCCTCATATCTCAGGCTCCTCATCACCCTCCTCCTAGAGTTAGAGAGGCGGTGGAATTCTCATCCTAGCAGCCCTGCTTGGGGAAGGTAGAGAGCACAGGAAGGGAAAGAAGGTAGGGGAAGAGGCTTCTGCAGAACCTTAACTCTTGTGCTACTTTCCCTCAGCTTCTGCCAGGCTTATTGCTAGTCCAAGCAGAGACCAAGGAAAAGGTCTCTTACTCTTACCCCTTCCCCATAGAACACCCTGGCCTGCCTCCTACAGCTTACCGCTAATGTCTTTTCAGAGGCTGGGTGAGACCAGCAGAAGCTCAGAGCAGTCACAGACATGGGGGACAAATGCTGCCTTTCAGAACTGCAGCAGTAACAAGAAAAACGTTTCTAGTGTCCGCTATGGAAATGTGTGAGCTGTAGTGGTTTAGGGTCAAAGAAATGTCTGTGAACATTTATTATTAGTTAAGAAGACAACTTTGTGTCCAGGGGACAGTCTCCATGTTCCAGATCGTTGACTTGCGAACAGACAGTGGGACCAGAACTCCTGTAAGTTGGAAATGGGCTGCATTAATTTCTTCCAGTCATGCATAAAGAAAATGCATTATTGGACACGTATGCAACTTCTATATTTTGTCACATAGGTAGATATAAAAACATTTTCCAGCAAGGATTTCCCAAACACTTCAAATCAAAGACTCTAAAAGTTAAACACTAATCATGGTAAAGTCTGGTTATTAAAAATAAAAGCTTTATACTTTTATAATGTTTAAAATATGTTTTAGCATACCGTAGACTATTTTGTCTGTTTGGCAGCTCTTTGAGGTACAATTTTCCTCATTTTCCAGATGAAAAAGTTAAGGCTAGACGGGTCAAGCCACTTGACTGATACCACAGGTCAGAGCATACAAAGGACTCAAGATCAGACTGTGAGTTTCCCAATCTATTCCTCTTCCTAGTACATCACCACTGCTTCCACAGGCTTTGAGCGTCTGCTTTTTGAGACCATACTTTATTTTTGGTAAGCAAAATCTTTACCTCCAAGAACATGCATTTTTTTCAGGCTCAGCATGATTTATTCTGCTTACTTGGTTTGCAGGTGTCTACTGATGTGCTCTATTATACATGTCTAAAGTGTGGACTGATAGGCATTATCAGGAGTCAGTTACAGGTTTAATGAAGTGATCATACCGACAGCCTTCTTTTGATAAATTTAACAATTTAATATATAGGAAAATAGGAATATGTCAGGAGATAAAGGCTTAACAGATTGTGTTTTAACACCTAATTAAATAAAGCAGAGCAGAGAACTGTATTCTTAGATTAAAGCTAATAGAGTTGCTATTTTGAGACTGTGAACACTTGAGAATTATCCGTGATTTGTGGTAAATATAAGAAAAGATAGTCCAAAATTTTAAGAAGACATTTCAACCTTTCTTCATAAAATGACTACTCCCCAACACAAGCAACATTAATTAGAATTTCCTTTCAATTTGCTCCTTTATTACAGTTAACACTAGTTTAAATTCTCCATTTGAAAGATGTCTAAGGAAAGCTAGTAGCTACTTTTGCCAAAGCAAATAAGTGAAATACTATTTATAACTTTCACATGAAATATGACATGATAAGAATAAAAATGGTTAAAAGTGGCTCTTTCTAAAGAGGAAAGACAATAACAATGAAATAAAAAGCTTTTAGGAGAAACCCAGAGATGGACCTGAGAGCTCTCTGTACTCTTGCCTAAATATGAGAAAGCTGTAGTCACGTAGCATCCCCAGCTGAGGGTGAGGCAGAGGTGGGCAGGAGAGTGCTGGAGCCTGGCTGGCTCATTGACTGTCCTTCTCCTCATGCCACATCCAACGTGGCTGGCAAACAAGACTGCCTTTCAATGAGGAGCAGAAGCTGCAGGTTCGTAGGTGTCCAGGTGCCTGAGTGGCCAACACGCCCAAGCAAAGAAAGTAAGCTTGTGCTTTTATGGACACTAGGTAAACGCCTTCAGTTTAAATTTTTTGCTAAATATTTTAGCTTATTTTATTGTTATCTTCCAGGTGTCTAAATCTCCAGTCTGTCTGTTGTACTGGTAATTTAACTCTGTAATGGAATGGTTTGCTGCCAACTATTTATATTAAATAATTTTAAAATATTTGTAATATTATTGACTAACAAACTATTAAGTTATTGGCAAAAAAAAAAAAAAAGGAAGCTTGAGGGAATAAAACATTTTTGTTTTAGGCCACAGAATAAGACCTTCTGGAAACTGTCTCTATTAGGATAGTTTCTGCCAAGGCCTAAGAGATACTTACTTAGTTTTTAAAAATTAAAGATGATCTTTTCCCTTCTCTAGTTTTTCCTGTCTTACCGGACATGGAAGTTCCAGTTATTTATAAAAGGTTTATATTTTTGGAGCAAGCTGGCTAGGAAGAGTAGGCTAAATCTGTCACTTTCCCAGGAGCCTAAACTCCTGAAGTTCTGACATCAGTGGCCTCTTTATTGCTGGTGGATGCACCACTTAGTTGCAGGTGGAGCCACTCTTGAGCACTGAATCAGCACTTTTCTATTCAATCTTGTTCACCAAAGAATGCTAGAATGATACATCCAGGGCAGAGTTGAAAATTTGGGGGCACATATTTGAGATTTTTAAAATGCTTACATTTCTGAAATTCTAATACATCAAATAATATGAAAGAAAATGGAAAAGAATAATATGGTTCCCTCTCATGGTTCCTTATTTTGATTGGAATAATAAAACAATTCATTTGGCATGTTTCCAAGCATGACAAATCAATAGAGTATAAAATGAAGAGAAATAAGAAGTTGAAATCTATACCAGTTGAAAAATTCAGCATTTTATGTCCAAATGAGTATTTCAGATACATATCATATTTGTTAATGAAAAGTCTAAGTGGCGAATGCTGGCAAATAACATTCAGTTTTAGGATTATTAACAAAGGAAGACAAATACGCTGTTTATTTACATGTGAGAAGAGTTTATTTTCACTTTCAGCAAAATGTTGCAGTCTTAAATTCTGATAAATCTGCCATTATTTTGGTGACATTTACATATTCAGAAGATATTTACTTTGGGCTGAATGATTAGTGTAATTATTCTGCGTATTGACTGAAACAGCCTCACTTTATAAGGAAACAAAGGTGTATAATTATATTTGTTTCTCTTGTGGATTATATATTATCATATTAATACTATACATATATACAGCACTCTATTTTTTAACGCAAATAATTAATTTGAGAATTTTTCACCTGAGACCTTTCTTACTTCATAAGGCCAGAGTCAGGGAGATAAATGTATAAGGCTGAGTCTCAATGGGAAAAGAAAATAGGAATTATTAGCTCAAAAATTAGCTGATTCTGACCTTTTCTCATGCCTATTTGCTTTTCGAGTTTCTGGGAAATTTAGTAAAATGTAGATTTATATTCTTTGCAATCTATGAATACAATATTCTCAATTTTATGCTTTGTTTTACAGAGTAATCAAGGAGGCGTGTTGAGCCAAGTGTACAAATTCAACAGCTGGGAAGGTATTATGGGGAGGTCTTGTAACATTTTATTCAGGTTTCCTTGAAAAGAACTGAAAACTGATGAAACTTTTAGACCGAATATTCCTTTGAAAACATGAATAGAATTCATTTGCTGAGAGGCATGTATTGAAACGTGATATCTAGTGCATGGTTATTTTTCACTTTCTAAATTAAACTGACATAGAGAGTTTGAGAAATAAGTTTAAGAAATAGACATGGCTTATGATTGAAAGCACAATTTTCCATCTAAATGTTGGTCCGTGTTCATCTTTATCTCAGTTAGTAGCAACCTTTGTTCCGCAGCAGTTGTTCGTTGATTGTTATGGTCTGTCGACAGCTCCAGCTCGTGCCATCTTCCCAATGTACCAACTTCTCTTTCTCTGGTCAGGTTGCGCTGTTGCCTTTGTATGTCTTCCCACCTCATGGATGTTAGTTTCATTATGAGAATATTGAAAAACAGTCTTCCAGTCATAACCCCACTGGCTTCCTTTTCTCTGTCACTTCCAAACCGCAGGACCATTGCTGGGCACCATGTCTACCCACCCATGAGAGTTAGGAATAAACACAAACGAGTTCAATTCAGTTCAGCAAACAGTTATTGTGCATCTATTTTATGCCAGGAACTGCAGAAGGTGCTGGGGTACAAAGTGAAGAAGATAATTTGCTTGGTCTCAAGGGGGAGCTCCTGGTCTAATACCCAGGCTCCTATAATCCCTCAGCATTATCCTCTCCACTTTGCCTGTTCCCCTGTTGCTCATTACCTGTGCAACCGCTCCTCCCTCTCTGGCTCAATTCCTGCTTTTCTTCCCTCTGTTCCTTTATCCTGCTAGTGTCTTCCTTTTCAACCATAGCCAACACTCCATCTTCAAATGCTTAGCGATACAACTTATACCTCAACTATCTGGAAAGGCTTTCTGAACTAAGTAGGAGAAGTTGTAAATATTTAACTTTTTATTTTTCTAAATTATCTGATTATAAGCAACAGTAAAACAAAGATCCCATATTATTATCTGCAGAGTTAATTTGGGGACAACAGGGACCTCTTAGTTTTTTTGATTAATTTTAAACTTACTTGTAATTAATTGGTAGTATATGTTACAAACCATTAAAAATTACTTAACAGTAATCACTTTTGAAAATAGGAGGAAAATAAACATTTTTATGGCAGATTTGTTTGCCTTAAGAATTATTTTGAAAGAAGTATTAGAATCGAGGCTTAGAAAAACGGTAGAGTGCTTGGCTGGGCGCAGTGGCTCACACCTGTAATCCCAGCACTTTGGGAGGCCGAGGTGGATGGATCACGAGGTCAGGAGTTCGAGACCAGCCTGCCCAATATGGTGAAACCCTGTCTCTACTAAAAGTACAAAAATTAGCCGGGCGTGGTGGCGCACGCCTGTAGTCCCAGCTACTCAGGAGGCTGAGGAAGATCACTTGAACCCGGGAGGCAGAGGTTGCAGTGAGCCAAGATTGTGCCACTGCACTGCAGGCTGGGTGACAGAGTGAGACTCCATCTCAAAAAAACAAAAAGCAAACAAACAAAAAAACCCCAAAACAAAGAGTGCTCATATTTTTGCCTAAATGAAAAAAAATTAGAGATTTTTCTTTCACCTATCCCCCAAAACACCAAGAATTCATATAGCCTTATTTCCAAGAAATTGGAATGCTGGATCTGTGAAAACAAAAATAAAGAACATGGAAAATGTTGCAAAACTAAAGTATTTCTCTAGATCATTCAAATTAATTAAGACAATAATTTTGTTTCTTAGAAACATTCACATATACCCAGGCCTGATTACTTCCCCAAATGCTCCCTCTTTCCATTCCTTTTTCTCCCTACTCACCCCTCACCCCCTCCCAAAAAACTCACTATGGCTCCACTTTCCAGAGACTAGAAAAATTGAACCCTGGCTGTTGAAAAAATGACTATTTTTAACATCTCTAAAAGTTTCCTAAACCTTCTCTTTATCTCTTTTAATTAAACTTTCTTTTCTAAACAACCCCCCCATCTAATTGAATCCCAGTGGTTTTTTTTTTGTTGTTCTTTTCTCCCCCCACTGTTGCTGCAATACTATATTTTCTATTGTTTATTTAAAGCATGCAGTATTTCAATTACATTTGGATTAAATAAGGTTTTTGTAAGCTGGTCTTGAAACTTAATCACCGTCTGTAGCAAAGTGTTATGAAGAAATATGTTCTAAGACTAACAAATTACTCTCTACAATACAGCCTGTTGTAAACTGAAAAGTGTTTCTTATAACATCGATTTTCATGTGTGGGTTTTGTACCCAGCTTTGTTAAATTATAGTTTCACCCAGAATGTTGCTTTTCAGGATCTTTTTTAATATAGAGCTTATATTATTATTTAATTGGTAGTAAGCCATTTCTTCTTCAGCACATGAAGGACACAGTTATTGACATTCTAGCTTGTAAGTCAATTTTGATAGTTCACGATAATTGGATTAAACATTACTATGTTAAATAAGTGACCCAGTACTTTGGTCATTAAAATTCCCAAATTGGATTACTGTTTGCTTCCTGATTGGACAGCAGTTGGCCTGCTAAATGTAAACTTAATTAGAGACATTACCTTGTCAATATATCAAACTTTCAGTATGCTGCGTTCCATTAACTCACTCACTATAACTCTTTGCCCTCTAGCATTTTTTTCAGGGCATCCTTTACTTCTGTGTTTCTCAGGCGATAGATAAGAGGGTTAAGCATGGGAATTACAAGACTATAAAACACAGAGACTACTTTGTTTGGCTTCCATGAATTCCCCGCTTTTGGTTGCTGCAGGTACATGAAAAATAGTGTGCCATAAAAGATGGTGACGACAGTGAGGTGGGAGGCACGGGTGGAAAATGCTCTGCACTTGCCCTCGGAAGACTGGATTTTTATAATGGAAAAGAGGATGCAAATGTAGGAGATGAAGATGGTAAGGAGGGACCCAGTGAGATTTACTGCAGAGAAGATCATGAGCTGCTTTTCTTTGTTGTGGGTGTCAGAGCAGGAGAGGGCCAGGAGAGGGGGGTCAGCACAGTAGAAGTGGTGGATGACGTCGGAGTTGCAGAAAGACAGCTGAAACGTCAGAGCTGTCTGTATCACAGAGTTTCGGAAGCCATAGGTATAGACCCCTATCACTAACTCCCTGCAGACCCGCTGCGTCATAATAGCTGTGTAAATCAGGGGGTTGCAGATGGCCACGTAGCGGTCGTAGGGCATTGTGGCCAAGAGGAATCATTCTGTAGTGGCAAAAGCACCGGAGAAGTACAGCTGAGCAAAACAGCCTGAAAAGGAGATGGTTTTTTTCTTCACCAATACATTTTGCAGCATCTTGGGCCCAATAGAAGATGAGTAACACAGATCAATGAATGCCAGGTGACTGAGGAAGTAGTACATGGGGGTGTGGAGCCGCGAGTCTGCTCTGATCAGCAGGATCATGCCAAGGTTTCCCACCAGGGTGATGAGATAAATGACAAGGAACACCACAAAGAGGGGGAGCTGCAGCTCAGGACGGTCTGTGAATCCCATGAGGACAAATTCGGTCACTGTGGTACGATTGCCTTTTGTCATGTTCTCTCGCCTGCTGCAAAAAATAAGAAATGATTAGATACTTAAAAACAAACGCTTCTTACCTCTTTGTTGCATTACCATACGAAAAAAAAAATGTGGCTTTACATTTCCAATAGTTAAAGGCTGTCATTAGCTATGGGACTTTATTCTGCTAAAACAGACTTGGCAAGACTGAACTCATTTCTTTTTGGAACCAGGAGAACGATTTTCCTAGGACAGAACCTATTTTTATGTTAACAGTGTTGGTGTTTTCAGTTCAACTCAACAGATACTTCTGGGCTTTGTGTGGGGCCAGATAGCATGCTTGGTGCTGGGCTGGAGATGGGTATGACAATGACATTGTCTTTGTTCTTATGGAGTCTAGTGGAGGGTTCGTAAAACATTCCTAAGGGGAAGTGAGCCAAGTATTTTTGGAGCTGCAGAGTGCTGTAGGAGTTCACAGGAGGGAGAGATTGAATGTGGATGGTGGAAATGGAAAAGCTTCATTCATTCATTCTCATTCACTTATCAAACACATATTGCCCCTCTTCAATGTGCCAGATGCTATGCTAAGTGAAGGTGACCCAAACATGAATAAAACGTATGTCTGCCTTCAATGAATGCACAGGCTGGTAGGAGAAACATACATGTAAGTAACTAGTTACAATTCACTGTGGGTAATGCTCTGAAAGAGAGGAATCTCCTAACTCAACCGTGTGTGGGGGTGGAGGATCAGCAGTCTTAGGCAACACTGAATTGTCCTAAATTTTAGGCTGGATATTTAAAATTATAAATGTAATATATCCACTTGGTGAAATTATCAATAGGAGAAAGGGATATAAATGAAAAAACAGTTTCTCTCCTCTACCTCCAATATAATTAATGGTATCCAATGTTAACAGTTCCTTTAGTATTCTTCTAAGAATGCTTAGGTATAAACAAGTATCAATACACACAAAACACACACACACATACTTTTCTACATAAATGAAATCATACAGTTTTGTACCTTTTCTCTTCTTACACTTAAGAAATATTTCCATGATAAGAACACATGGATACATAGAGGGGAACAACACACATTGGGGCTTATTGGAGGGTGGAGGGTGGGAGGAGGGAGAAGATCAGGAAAAGTAACTAATGAATACTAGGCTTAATACCTGGGTGATGAAATAATCTGTACAACAACCCCCTATGACACACATTACCTATGTAACAAACCTGCACATCCTGCACAGTTACCCCTGAACTTAAAATAAAAGTTAAAGACGTATTTCCAAAGTAGTTCATAGAAATCCATGACATTTTCATAACTGTATCATAATTTATTAATAAGTTCTCTCTTAATGGATATTTAAATGTTTACAATTTTGTTTTTTTTTTTCTATCTCAAATAAAGCTTGCGCTCATATGTCTAAGCATGTGTGTGGATTAAAGATAAACCACTAGGTCAGGCATGGTGGCTCAAACCTGTAATCCCAGTACTTTGAGAGGCTGAGGTGGGCGGATCATGAGGTCAGGAGATCGAGACCATCCTGGCCAACATGGTGAAACCCCATCTCTACTAAAAAAAAAAAAATTAGCTGGGTGCGGTGACACGTGCCTGTAATCCCACTGTAATCCCAGCTACTCGGGAGGCTCAAGCCTGAGAATCTCTTGAACCCAGGAGACAGAGGTTGCAGTGAGCTGAGAAGGTGCCACTGCACTCCAGCCTGGTGACACAGCGAGACTCCATCTCAAAAGAAAAAAAAAGAAAAAGATAAACCACTAGAAGTGAAGTTTGGGTCAAAATGTATATATTCACTTTACTTTTTTGATCGTGATTGACAAATTGACCTCCAAGTAAATTTCACCGAGTCAAACTCGCTTCTAACGAGATTGTGCAAGAACACTGATTTTCCCATACTTTTATCCAAAGTTTTATTAAGTTTTAAGCCTTTGCCACTGTGATAGTGGACATTGGTAGCTCCTGCAGTTTTGTGTGTTTTTATGAGTAGGGTTTAGCATTTTTCAAACAATTATTTGTATGTATATTTTTTCCCTATGAACTGTCAGTTCCTTTGTGAATTTTTCTATTAGGTTGATTGATTTTCTAGAACATTTTATTTCTAGGAGGTCTTCGTTTATTAAGGAAACCAGCTCTTTGTCTGATGCATGTATTGCAAATTACTTTTCAGTTTGTCAGTTGTCCCTTAACATTGGTGTGATAATTACTTTGTGTGCTATGCAGTGAGGTTTGCATTGTTTGATTTCAAATTTATCAATCCTTTTCCTTTTGAATTCTGATCTTTGCAACATGGTTAAATGAAACTTCTTCGATTTAAAATTATTTAAAAAATTATCTCCTGTTTTAGTCCAGAGACTTACTTCATTTCAATTTTATATTACAAACTTTGATTTTCCTGGAAATTTAATTTCGATATAAGGAATGAGGCAATCAACTACAGTTATGCATCACATAAAGACAGGAATACATTCTGAGAAATGCATTGTTCAGTGATTCTGTCATCGTGTAAACATCATAGAGTGTACTTGCACAAACCGAAATGGTATAGCCTACTATGCATCTAGGCTATATGGCATAGCTTATTGCTCCTGGGCTACAAACCTGTACAGCATATTACTGTACTGAATATTGTAGGCAATTGTAACACAATGGTATTTGTGTATCTAATCATATCTAAACAAAGAGAAGGTACAGTAAAATACAGTATTATAATATTATGGGACCACCATTGTAAGCTGTCTGTTGTTGATTGAAATGTCATTATGCACTGCATGACTGTATTTTTACTTATTTCTTCAAATGGCTAGCCAGATGATCTAATGCAACTTATTTGTGAAATTGTTTTCCTGCTGGTTTTGTTTATTTAAAACTCCAGACTTATCCTATGCTAATACTAAAACATCCTGAAGTACTTGGGTCAATTTATGATTTTTTTGTAGTCTTTTCTAGAACCAGGACCACACATTTAAATTAAATAGTTATATAATTCATTTTACTATCTAGTAGCAATTTTTCTGGCCATTCTCACATGTACATTTTCCAGATGCATTCTAACATTATTTTATCAAGTTCCAAAAAAATCCTGTTTGTACTTGGAACGCTATTGCATTAAATTGATTTGTCAATTTAAGGGAAAATTGACATTTTTACAACTGAATCTTCTTTTCTGTAACTATGGTATTTATTTTATTGATTAAATAATTTCCTAGAGTTTTAGAGTTTTCTCTAAACTTTACAGATATACATCCTATGTATTTCTTTAAATTCTAGTCACAGATATTTTATCTTTTTGTTACTATTGTAAATTAAATCTTAAAAAGAGTTTTTTGTGGTCTATTCAAGTATTATTTGTGTATAGCAAAACTACTGATTTTTATAAATTAATTTTATAACTCTCTTCCTTACAATAGTTTCCTATCATTTAAAAATAGTTTTCTGGTTGATTCTCTTGGGTTTCTTAACTGCATAATCATACAATATGAAAGGATGTGAGTTTCGTTTCTCATTTCTCTAACGTATTCTTGTTCCTTTTTCTTCTCTACTTGTATTGGTTAGTACTTCCAGAGCAATGTTAATATACAGTAACAGTGGTGGTAATTTTTACCTTTTATCCTCTTGAAGGATGCTTCATAAGTACAAGGAAATTCTCAGGCATTCTAGACAGAGGGAATAGCCTGTGCAAAGTTACTGAGGTTTGAGGAAGTCCAGGCGTTAAATAACTACAAATATTTGGTGTGGTTAGAAAGCAGGCTTCCTAGGAGCAAACCTGCCTTTGGCATTGGCAGGGCCCAGGGCAAGAATAATAAATGAAGGCTCACGTACAATATGCCTAAATATTTAAAAGTTAAAAATCAAGATAACAAATTACTAAAACACATTTTATCCTACCTCCTTAACAACTATCCTTTATAATATCTGGAAGGAAGAATTCTTGGGATCCTTGGAATTCCAGACTGGAAGGCAGTGTTGGTGAGGAGGACTGGTTGCTAGCCCACATGACTGCACTTGCACAGACATCCAAGCAAGAATGTATAAGCTCTGTTTACACTCCTGCAAGTGGCCATCCCTTGGCCACCCATAAGGCCTAGGTGTGAGAACATGAGCAGCATGGTTTACCCTTGCAAGGATGATTTGGTAAAGAGACACTTATGGACATGGCCAAGTGGGGGACATGTGCAGGTTTGCTACATGGCTATATTGTTTGATTTTGAGGTTTGGGGTACACGTGATCCCATCACCCAAGTAGTGAGTATAGTAAGGAATAGGTAGTTTTTCAGCTATTTCTTCACTCTCTCTCATCCTCCTTAGTAGTCCTCAGTGTCTATTGCTCCCATCTTGATGTCCATGTGTACCCAATGCTTAGCTACCACTTATAAGTGAGAACATGTGATATTTGGTTTTCTGTTTCTGTGTTAATTTGCTTAGGATAATGGCCTCCAGCTGCACCCATGTTGCTGCAAAGGATGTGATTTTATTTTATTTATTTATTTTTTATTCTTAAAGTAATATTAATCTCTTTATTTGGGGTGTTTGTGTCTTTTTTATTATTATACTTTAAGTTCTAGGGTACATGTGCACAATGTGCAGGTTTGTTACATAGGTATACATGTGCCATGTTGGTTTGCTATACCCATCAACTTGGCATTTACATTAGGTATTTCTCCTAATGCTATCCCTCCCCCAGCCCCCTACCCTACAACAGGCCCCAGTGTGTGATGTTCCCTGCCCTGTGTTCAAGTGTTCTCATTGTTCAATTCCCACCTATGAGTGATAACATGCAGTGTCTGGTTTTCTGTCCTTGTGATAGTTTGCTCAGAATGATGGTTTCCAGCTTCATCCATGTCCCTACAAAGGACATGAACTCATCCTTTTTATGGCTGCATAGTATTCCATGGTGTATATGTGCTGCATTTTCTTAATCCAGTCTATCACTGATGGACATTTGGATTGGTTCCAAGTCTTTGCTATTGTGAATAGTGCTGCAATAAACATATGTATCTTTATAGTAGCATGATTTATAATCCTTTCGATATATACCCAGTAATGGGATCACTGGGTCAAATGGTATTTCTAGTTCTAGATCCTTGAGGAATTGCCACACTGTCTTCCACAATGGTTGAACTAATTTACACTCCCACCAACAGTGTAAAAGCGCTATTTCTCCACATCCTCTCCAGCACCTGTTATTTCCTGACTTTTTAACGATCACTATTCTAATTGGTGTGAGATGGTATCTCATTGTGGTTTTGATTTGCATTTCTCTGATGGCCAGTGATGATGAGCATTTTTTCATGTGTCTGTTGGCTGCATTAATGTCTTCTTTTGAGAAGTGTCTGTTCATATCCTTTGCCCACTTTTTGATGGGGTTGTTTTTTTCTTGTAAATTTATTTAAGTTCTTTGTAGAGTCTGGATATTAGTCAGATGAGTAGATTGCAAAAATTTTCTCCCATTCTGTAGGTTGCTTGTTCACTCTGATGGTAGTTTCTTTTTCTGTGTAGAAACTCTTTAGTTTAATTAGATCTCATTTGTCTATTTTGGCTTTTGTTGCCGTTACTTTTGGTGTTTTAGTCATGAAGTCCTTGCCCATGCCTATGTCCTGAATGGTATTGGCTAGGTTTTCTTCTAGGGTTTTTATGGTTTTAGGTCTAACATTTAAGTCTTTAATCCATCTCAAATTAATGTGATTTTATTTTTTTAATGGCTGCATAACAGTCCATGGTGTATATGTACTATATTTTCTTTATCCAGTTGGTTCTGTGTCTTTGCTGAGTTGGTTCTATGTCTTTGCTGTTGTGAATAGTGCAGTGATGAACATATGAGTACATGTGTAGTTTTGGTAGAATGGTTTATTTTCCTTTGGGTATATATATATCCAGTAATGGGATTGCTGGGTAAAATGATAGTTCTAAGTTCTTTGAGAAATTTCCAAACTGCTTTCCACAGAGGCTGAACTAATTTACATTCCTATCAACAGTGTATAAGTATCACCTTTTCTCTATAGCCTAACCAGCATTTGATATTTTTAAAACTTTTTAATAGTAGCCATTCTCACTGATGTGAGATGGTGTCTCATACTATAAGGCTACAGTAACCAAAACCCATGGTACTGGTACAAAAATAGACACATTGACCAATGGAACAAAATAGAGAACTCAGAAATAAAGAACAATGGGGAAAGGACAGACTATTTAATCAATGGTGCTGGAAAACTGGGTAACAATATGCAGAAGAATCAACCTTAATCCCTACCCTCTTACCACATACAAAAATTAACTTAAGGTGGAGTAAAGACTTAAGTGTAAGACCTCAAACTATAACAATCCTACAAGAAAACCTACAAAATATTCTTCTGGCTTTTGGCCTTGGTGAAGAATTTATGACTAAGACCTCAAAAGCAAATGCAGCACACCCCAAAATTGACAACTGGGACCTAATTAAACAAAAGAGCTTCTGCACAGCCAAATAAACTATCAACAAGGTAAATAACCTACAGAATGGGAGAAATATTTGTGAGCTATGTATCTGATAAACGACTAATATCCAGAGTCTATAAGGAATTTTAAAAAATCATGAAGCAAAAACCAAATAACTCCATTAGAAAGTTGGAAAAGGACATGAACAGACCGTTCTCAAAAGAAGACATAAATTGTCAGAAAACATGAAAAAATGCTCAACATCACTATTCATTAGAGAAACGCAAATCAAAACCACAATGAGATATTATCTCAAACTAGTCAAAATGGCTATTATAAATATATTATATATATTTATATATATTTTTTAGCAAATGTTAGCAAGGTCACAGAGAGAAAGGAATGCTTATACACTATTGGTGGGAATGTAAATTAATTAATTCAGCTCCAGTGGAAACCAGTTTGGAGACTTCTCAAAGAACTAAAGATAGCAATTTACCCAGCAATCCCGTTAGTGGGTACACACTCAAGGGAAAATAAATCATTCTGCCAAAAAGATACATGCGGTCTAATGTTTGTTGCAGCACTATTCACAATAGCAAAGACATGGAATCAATCCCTATGTGCCCATCAACAGTGGATTGGGTAAAGAAAATGTGGTATGTATACACCATGGAATACTATGCAGCCATAAAAGAATGAAATCATGTTCTTTGCAGCAACAAGGATGGAGATGGAGGCCATTATCCTAGGTGAATTAATGAAGAAACAGAAAACCAAATAACACATATTCATGTATAATAGGAGCTAAATATTGGGTACACACGCACATAGACAGAATTAACAGGCACTGGGGACTCTAAATGGAAGGAGGGAGGGGGACAAGGGTTGAAATCTACCTATTGTTTACCATCTTCACTATTTGAGTGATAGGTTCAATAGAAGCTCAAACTTCAGCATCACTCAATATATCCATTTACGAATTTGTACACGTAACCCCTGAATGTAAAAAAGTTGTACATAAATTGTACATAAATGTAAAACAAAATCGTATAACTCCATTGAAAAAAAACTGCTCTGACAATGTTTATCAGATAAAAAAGCAATCATTTGTGACCATAAAAGGGTTAACCCAGCAAGAAGATACAATTTATCTTTGTATACATCTAATAACATGGCTCTGAAATATATAAAGCAAAAACTAACAAAACTGTAAGGAGACATAGATAAATCTATCATCTTAAATCTTCCATTTTAGTGGAGGATATTTAAAGATACCTCTACAATCTAAATGTACATAATCAGTACAATAGAAAAATACATAATGTTATGCAATGGACTACTATATAACAGTGAAAGTGAATAAACTATATATGCACAAAGTGGATGAATCTCACAAACAATGTTAAATAAGTCAAAAGAAAAAAAATGTATGATTCTAGCTACATAAAGTTTAAAAGCAGGCAAAGCTAGGGCATTCAGCAATAAACGTTTACATAGTAAAACTATAGAAAATAAAGCAACGTTGCAATTTCTATTTTTCTTTGTTGCTCCATAATGTAATTTTGTCAGGACCTGTTTGTTTGGTTCTCAAAACCTATTTACCCCTTTCTCTACTGTTCCTCCAAATGCTAAAGCACCATTGGAGAACCAAAAATTATAAAAGAATCCCTGAAAAATGAAAGCAGGAGAAAATTTCCTGAGAAGAAACTTTAGCCAAAATGTATCTGTAAGAGGATTTCTGCAAGGTGGTAGCCTTGGGAAACAGGACGGACTGCCTAAAATGTGGTTGGTGCAGTGGTTTGTGCTCTAATAGAAGCAGTGACGGGATACAGACATTCTTTCTGTTCCTGCTAGTGCAAAGCAGTGAGCAACAGAGGCATCTGTTACAGCTGGAGCAGTGAGTGGCTCAGAATCCTAGAATCAGAACCGTTTCATTAACCCCCACAAAACTATGTCAGCGCCCTCCCCCCAAGAAAACCCCACACTGTTAACCAGCTGATTTTACTAAAAATTTGAGGCACAGTTAGTGTTTCTCTTTTAATAATTAGTTACAAGAATAGAGAAAGAGACAAAGTTTGCTAATCATTTCATGAGGCAATGTGTAACCTCGGTATTCAACCCACAAAGTGGTCAATAAGCGTATGAAAAGCTACATTATCTTGGGAAGAACCAGAGAAATGAGGTACCATTTTACATCTAAGATGGATGCTGTGGTATGCTGTCCACAGCATTCTGGGATTGAACCATTTTCCCCATTGCTCTTCTGGCAATTGTCTTTGGGTGAAGTAGGTCATTCCCCCTTGCTCCAATTTGAGGCTAGTCGATGCACTGGCATAAAGGCCCAAACACATTGCTTAAGTTGGAAACCACTTGCAGGGCCATCCCAGTGACTGTGTTCCCTGTGAGATCTGCTGAAGCCGTTGCTGTGATTGCACTGTAGGCCAGCTTCTCTCTCTACCTAATTCTGCTTCAGTGTTTACAGGAGTGAATGCTGAGAACACTTCCTAATAAATATCTTATATACAAATCTCTATCTCAGACTGCTTCTCAGCTATAACAAAATACCGTAGACTGGATAGATTAACCTGTTAATCTGTTATTATTCACAGTTCACAGTTCTGGAGACTGTGAAGTCCAAAGTCAAGATACTGGCAGATTTGGTGTCTCAGGAAGGCTCACTTCCTGGCTTGTAGGCAGTCACCTTCTTACTATGTCCTCCTAGGGCTTTTCTTTGGTGCAAGCTTGAGAGAGAGAGAGATAGAGAGAGAGAGAGAGAGAGAGAGAGAGATCAGTTTCCTTCTTATAAGGGCGCTAATACCATCAAATCACCAGGATCCTACCATCATGATCTAATAGAAACAAAATTACTTCCCAAAGGCCTCACTTTCAAATTCCATCACATTGGGGGTTAGAGCTTCAACGTGTGATTTTTTGAAGGGACACATTCAGCTCATAACAGGTAGTAAAAAATATAATATAAAATTGGAGTTTGGAGCTGGATCACCCACCAGCTGGCTGGAAATGAGGACTCCATCACTGGTGGTAAGTGGAGTTTGAGCAGCCCTTAGTGCTATAATTATTAACACTTTATCCGGTGGTAAATAGGGATGACATACTAGTAGAAAAGAAGGCACTGGCAGATTAAATGTATTAAGTATTTGAGACATAAAAGGGAAATAGTAATTATAAGGGCAATGGAATTGGATGTCTGTTGTAGAAACAGTAGAGGGTTTTGAGAAAGACTTTGAAAGGCTGAAGTTGATTAATTACCAACTAAAAGTTAAATTTGAGAGCCACAGTCCCTCCTTATAGCATTTGGAGTCTAGCATCTCCTGTAGCCTGTAACGTAAAAGGCTAGGAATCAGGCTTAAGACTTGATTATGAGAGAAGTAGACATTATGTTAGAATTTTAAGCCACTGCAGCTTGACTACTAAGTTCAAGATCTTAATTAGGAAAGAATGAGACACTGAGTCATGGAATAGGGGTATCTGTGTTGATGCATTTAAAAATCTTGAATCACTAGATTCTTCTAAACCCTCTGGATTCTTCCCTGTTAAATGTTTGTGTTCCACCCGTAGATAAAGATAAAACAGAGGATGCTATCTTGCAAAACAACATATGTTCTCCTTAAACTCTGTCCCTACCTTTTCTTAACCACTTGATTATAACTAAGGGTAAATCATAACATAACCTAACAGGGAAAAGGCTGAGTCTGCTATGGGAGCTGTAGGACCTAGTCAACATGTAGAATCAGGAGCTGAAAAGAGTACATGCTGAATCAAAGGGTCAGACATCAAATTGGATAAGAGATAATTTATCAGTGTTGGAGCCCTCTCCCTTACTATAGGATTTAATATCTTGGTAAAGATCACAGCATATGATGCAAAGAAGCTGCTACGATGGCTTTTAGAAACTTGCAGAAATTGGTGACGCACACTAAGTAGAAATGTCAGAACTGCTGTGGAAGACAGTAGAAGGAGGGATAGAAAAGCTTAGAGAAGAGCACTTGCTAGAATAAATACGTGAAAATGAAAAGTCCACCAGATAACTAGGCTCCATATAAGGTCCCAGAGGACATTCTGTTTACTAAACAAAAGGAATATGCTGGTGAGAAGGACACCAATGTCACTGAGAAGCTCAGTGGTGGCTATCCTCTGTAGGATAGGGCTGATTGTAATGATGTCATTACAGAAGTGAACCTTTGATAGAAATGGAGATGATATGGCATCAGAATAAAAGTAAATGATGTTTCTGAGATAAGACAAATGGGTAGACAACAACAACATGCTCAATCTACACAATTAAAAGAAATCAAGGATAGAGATTAGAGGGGGGTGATTATAGCTGCTCAAACAAAAACAGGTGATCTCTTGCCCAGTTTCCACACCTGAACCAGTTTTCAGACTCAGAGCCCTCTGACTGAAGAAGAGGCCAGGACCTATGATCAAGGACCCTGAAAGTGCAGTTATATATATATTTTTGCCTTTGGCCAGTGGAGTTATATATATATAGCCTTTCCTCAAAGAGAACTATGGTCATTACTGGAGTAACTAAATCCTGGGGAAACAGAAATATCCAAACTTATCAAGGCTTATAACATGCGAAATTTGAATTGACATTGACACCTATGACCTAAAGCTTCATCGTGGCCACTTTTAGGGTATAGGAGGGCCAGATAATAAATGGGATCCAGGGCCTATGTATGTCCATGAATGCATGGACCCATCCAGTGCTATTTCTTTGTTCTCAAAAGGTATATGGAATGAACAAAATGGTAGAATAGTAGTAATGGGCAGAATATCCACATTGATTTATTAGCTTTAAGAGCCATCATAGTAGTGAAGCCTGAGTGGAAGCCTCTGAAACTGCCCATTTCCTGGCCAAATTACTAAAAAATAAAAATCTAATCTCAAAGGGAAATGGCAGATATCAATGCCATCTTTAAGAACCTAATGATACTAGGGTGGTGGTATCATTAGGTTCTTAAAGGTTTCGTTTAATTCACCAGTGTAGTTCCTACAAAAACCGGAAAGATCCTACAAATTCAACAAAGCATTAACCCCAAATGCAGCTGCTGTGCTACATGTGTGGTATCTTTGCTTAGAGATTATTACAGCCTCAAATACGTGGTATGGGGCAATTGATCTGGCAAATACCTTCTTTTCCATTCCTTATCAGAAAGAATGATTGTGGAATAGATTATATATATATATATATATATATATATATATATATATATATATATATATACAGATTTTATATATATATAAACAAACAGATTTTATATATATAAACAGATTATATATATATAAACAGATTTTATATATATATAAAATCTTTCTCAGAATTATGTTAACTTGATCACCCTTTGTCTTAAGATAATATTAGAATAATAGAAAGAGGGTTTATATCTTCTCAACTACCTATGAGGTAAAAAAATGGAGCAAAAGACCCATCCATGATGGAAAAATGGAAAAGGCAATTCGGTAGGTTGGTTTGAACTTGGAAGAGGAAGATTGAAAATAAATTCCTCTCAAAAGATATTACCAGGAAAAATTATAACAGAATAAAGAAAGCATAACAACATAAGAGAGTACAAAATAGATTTCAAGGTAAAAACTGTTAAAAGGGACAAAAAAGGATATTTCATATTAATATTTTATCCCAAGGTACAGTTGACTAAGAAGTGGTGAGGGAGGCTGGGTGCTGGGGCTCACGCCTGTAATCCCAGCACTTTGGGAGGCCGAGGCGGGCGGATCATGAGGCCAGGAGTTTGAGACCAGCCTGGCCAACATGGTGAAACCCTGTCTCTACTAAAAACACAAAAATTAGCTGGGTGTGGTGATGGGCACCTGTAATCCTTGTTACTCGGGAGGCTGAGGCAGGAGAATCGTTTGAAACCGGGAGGTGGAAGTTGCAGTGAGCAGAGATCGCGCCATTGTACTCCGGCCTGAGAGACAGGGCAAGACTCCGTCTCAAAAAAAAAAAAAAAAAGGTTGTGAGGGAGTTATAAATACAGGCTTCAGAACCAGACTACAGCGCTAACATTCAAATCCCAGTCTCAGCATTTTCTGTGTGATTTCAGGTAGATTTTTTTAACTTCTCTGTGTTCATTTTACTTTGAGGACCAGAGAGTCTTTTTGATATACTTTAAGCAAACACACATACACATATTATATGTATATAGATATAGATTTAGATATATATGATCTGTCATGGGAAGGCTTGGGCTTCTGAGTGAATTTAGAATGCCATTACAGAAAGTTAACTTATAAAAAAATTCCTGTTTATTTCTTCTGTAGCACTTATAATTGGTCATTATGTTATCATGCATTTGTTTATAGTTTACTATCTGCCTTACCTACTAAAATATAAGCTCCATGAGGGCAGGAACCTTGTCTGCCTAGTTCATTATTTTATCCTGAGTGCCTAGAAGAGAGTTTGAAACACTGTTAATGTTCAATAAATATCTGCCAAATGAATGAATGAATGAATAATTAAAATACTTTGTGGTCCAAGTAAGGTATTACTTCAAGACTTTGGGTTACAATAATAGAAAGTGACAATACATGTTTCAGGATCCTCCCAGTCTTCCCTCTGAAATACTCATGAAAATGGATGCACATATCTCATTAGCTCTGTGAATAGTAAGGTTGGTCAATGATCTTGACTCCAGAATGAATTTCTACTAACCGGCTCATCTAAACATCTAGACAGAACAGACGGGACTCTGCATACAGTGATATTTCATCCATGCATTTGGAAACGATAAGAGCAGTGGATCACAAAGTTACCTGGATATCAAAATCACCTGAGGAGTCTTTATAAATCCCAGTGCACGGGCCATACCCTATACCAATTAAAACAGAATCTTTGGGAAAGGGTTCAGGCAGTATTCTTTTAATTTTTCCATGTTGTTCTGATATTCAGCCAAGATTGAGAACACTGAGGTCGTGATTCTTAAACTTTGGTGTGGATCAGAATCACATGGAGGGTTTACTAAAACACCAGGAATATTCCTTTCAAAAAGGAGTAAAACACAGAGGAGCTCCAGACTATGCACAAGGATATAAGTAGGGAGAGAAGCCAGGCTAGTTTATTCCTGTTTCTATTCCAATACCTCTTCCAAAGGAAGAGGCAGCAGTGATCGAGGTGTCTGTCTCTAAGCAGAAACAGTGCTTTGGGCAGAGTCGAGGTATGGTAGTAAAACCCAGAAGACAGGTGGCTGAGGTACCTTTCCTAGCTGTTCATCTTACCTATTTCCCTGCCTAACGAAACAGGGAGCAGTACCACTGTCTTTGCACCTTTCCCATGTAAGAATCAGTGGGCAGTTCAGCAGAAAATCCCCATTATAAAAATGCACTTATAGTAACCCGCCCCCCAAATCTTTTAGGATTACTAGAATCACAAAATAAGAGAGACAAATTCAAAAGACAACAGCAAAATAAAAACAAAAACCAGAAGTAAAGAAAAGAAAAAAGGCAACAGAACATAAATCCAAGTAAAGAGAGTTTGTAAAGCTATCATGATAAAATTCACATTAAAATAAATATAATCTTTTTAATGATTCAGGAGAAAGTGCTATATAAAAATAAGAAAATATGATTATGAAACGTTAAGAATAAGTTATAAAAACATATTAGAGACTTTGGAAATGTAAGAGTATATCATGGGCTTGTTTCAGAAGCTGAACATATGGGGACATTTTATCTTTTTAATGTCCACATAGTAATCCATAGGATGAAGGTGCCATCATTTTTTCAACAATTCTTTTGTTGATGCACACTAGACACTGCAATTTTTCTGCTGTTTAAGCAATCATGTGATGAACATCTTTTTGTATATGTATTTTTTCAGGTTATTATTACCTCTAGGATTAATTCCTCAAAGTGAAATTTTGGAGTACAGCACTTGAAATTTTAAATAAAATTTGCCACGATATTTTCCAAAAGTTTTTAGAAAATTCATATATTTTTCATAATGTATAAAAGTACCTTTTCCCCCTGTAATTTGCTAGTACCAGATACATACAATCATTTGAATGTTGGCTTACTGTGATCTAGCCTCAGTGGCTTATTCTTCTCGTGGATTTTGCATTACTCAAATTTAAAGGGAGTAAAACCTCCTTGAAAAGCTTTCCCCCTAAACCTTTACATGGTTTACTTCCTTATTTCATTCATATATATGATTTATTGTTATCTCCCAACACTAGAATACTAGAATGTAAGTTCTATGAGTTCAGTGATTTTTTTTCTGATTTGTTTATCACTACATCCCAAGGAAGCTTGGGATATAGTAGTATTCAGTGCATATTTTGGAATGAATGAATAAATGAATTCATTTGACAAATACCCTGGGACCTCTGGAGAGAGTGATCATTTGTTATCATGTGTATTAGTTTCCTGTGGCTATTGTAACAAATTACTATGAATTTGGAAGCTTAAAATAACAGAAACTTATTATTTCACAGTTCTGGAGGCCAGAAGTCTAAAATAAGTATCACTGGGCAAAAATCAAGGTGGCAACAGAGCCATACTCCCTCTGGAGGCTCCAAGGTGGAATCCATTTCCTGTGTCTTCCAGCTTCTGCTGGCTTCTGGCATTCCTTTGCTGTGGCCAAACCACTCCAATCTCTTTCTCTTTGGTCACATTGCCTTCTCCTTCTCTGTTTGTGTCACATTCTCCCTCTGTCTCTCTCTTATAATGATACTTGTGATTGCTTTTAGGGCCCACCCAGACAATCTAGGATAATCACTCCATTACTCCATTTTAAGATTCTTAATCACATATGCAAAGGCCATTTTTAAAGTAAGGTAACATTTATAGATTCCATGGATTGGGGCCTGATATCTTTGGGGGCCATTATTCAGTCTGCTACAGTCTTCTCTCTGGCCCCCAGTGATTTATGTTCATTCCACGGTAAAATGTGTTCATCCCACCTCCAAATCCTCAAAAGCCTCAACCCAACACAGCATCAACTAAAGCCCAAAATATCATCTAAATATCATCAGCTTGAAAGTCCTAAATCTCATTATCTAAATTACCTAAATCAGATATAGGTAGGATACTGTGTATGATCCATCCTGGGGCAAAATTTCTCTCCATCTGTGGACCTGTGAAACAAGAAGACAAGATATCTGTTCCCCAAATATAATGATGATACAGGCATCATGATGTAACAGTAATAGACATTTACATTCTAAAAGGGGGGAAGTGGAAGGAGGGAAAAGGTCATCAGACCCAAGCAATTCTGAAGTTCATCAGGGCAAACACGGCATTTCAAGGCCTATGAATAACACTTAGTGACTCAATGCTCCATGCTCTGGGTCTGAGACTAATATTTTCTGTGTGCACTGCTCCAACCTCTGCACCATGGCTCTAAATCCTAGACCCAAGGCTCCAGCTTTTGGGCCAAAGGGTTTGTTCTTGAAGTTATCCTTTCTTTTTCTTGATAGGTAGCACATATTTGTAGCTGATTAGTTTTATCAGCCTTTTCCTGCTTGTAGAATTTTATGAGTCTTACAGCCTTCTTTCATTTTGTTCTGTCTCTGTCCCTTTAGCACAAGCTGGTGGTGTTTCTGAAACTATATCATTTTTGAAAACCTGGTTCTCCCATGTATGTTATGACTATTCACATCATTAGACAAGAGGGTCCTTCACCTTTAAGTAATTTGTTCTCACATTTTAATACATTGAGTAAACAACAATAGGCTGTACCTTCAAAACTTTGTAAATCTGCTTATCTAAACATCCAAGTTCATCACTTACAAGTTCTGCTTTCCATGTAACTGTAGGTCAAAATTAAGCTAGACTTTCTGTCACTATCTAACAAGGATAACTTTTTCTCCAGTTTCAAAACAGCATGTTCCTTGTTTCTGTTTGAGCCCTCACCCAGCAAAGTGAACTAAAACACATGACCCAGCTCTATGCTGTCTACAAGAAAGTCACTTCAAATATAATAATAGAGGCAAATTGAAAGTAAAATAATGGGTCAGGTGTGATGGCTCACACTTGTAATCCCAGCACTTTGGGAGGCTGTGGTGGTTGGATCACGAGGCCAGGAGTTTGAGACCAGCCTGGCCAATGTGGTGATACCCCATCTCTACTAAAAATACAAAAATTAGCTGGGCGTGGTGGCAGGCGCCTGTAATCCCAGCTACTCGGGAGGCTGAGGCAAAAGAATCTCTTGAACTCGAGAGGTGGAGTTTGCAGTGAGCCGAGATTGTGCCACTGCACTCCAGCCTGGGTGACAGAGCAAGACTCCATCTCAAAAAAACCAAAACAAAATCCAAAAAAGAAAGTAAAATAATGAAAAAGACATAGCATGTAAATATTAATCAAAAGAAAAGCAGTAGCTATATTAATATTGAATAACGTAGACTTCAGAGCAAAGAAAATTACTAGAGGCAGAAAGGGATGTTACATAATAATAAAATACTTGAAATTATAAAAATGTAGAAACAGAGAACATATTAGAGGATTCCTGAAGTTAAGGAAGGGATGGGGATGGGACAGAAGTTGTTGTGGCTATGAAAGAGTAATGTGAGGGGTTATTGTGCTCATGGAAATGTTCTGTATCTTGACTGTATCACTGCCAGTATCCTCGTTGTGATATTACACTACAGTTTTTCAAAATGCGTTCATTGGAAGAAATTGGGTAGAGGGCATATAAGATCTCTCTGTATTAATTTCATTTCTTAAAACTGCATGTAAATCTACAATAATCTCAAAGTAAAAAGTTTAATTAAAAAATAAAGGTAGTATCATCTAGAAACATACAGAAAACATAAACATTTATTTTTTCCCAGAAGAATTTTTATTTTGAAGAGAAATTACTCTGGTACACTGTACTCTTGCTTATTCCTATAAATCTCAATATAGTTACAGGGGATTTAGCAGTTCATCAAAAAGTTTTATTTAAAAATTCTAATGCATACTAAAAATAAATAAATTTACAGATGTTTTTAGACTTTTTTTTTTCAGTTGAGGTCTTGCTTAGTTGCCCAGGCTGGAGTACAGTGGTGCAATTCTAGCTCACTGCAGCCTCAAACTCCTGACTTCAATCAATCTTCCCATTTCTGCCTCCTGAGTAGTTGAGACTACAGGCATGAGCCATGACACCTGGCTAATTTTACTTTTATTTATTTATATTTTTTTTTTGTAGAGATGGGGTCTTGTTATGTTGCCCAAACTTGTCTGAACTCTTGGCCTCAAACAATTCTCCCACCTTGGCCTTCCAAAGTGCTGGGATTACAAGTGTGAGCCACCATGCCCAGCAGCAACACATATTTTTATGAGCATATGTACCTGTAATTTCCATTGTCTTGATGAATTTTCAGTGAAATTTTTATAAACAAGTAGTGTACTCAAGAGGCTATATCCCAAAGGACCCCAAATCTCATAAATATCACCTTCCTATACAGTGACAGTTCTTTGCAATTTGTTATTATTGCTGATGTACATTCATCTGCAGGTAATAATTTCCCTTTTCTATTGATACAGGAATGTTTGTTTCTCATTTTTGTATTAGAAGTTAAGGTATAGTTTTTTAAAGGAAATAATCATTTGTTGAACATTCACTTATTTCTATGATCCATACTTGGTATTATCATGTACATCATCTTATTCAACACAAGAATCATGTGAAGTATTTTTTTAAACAAATAACGTAATGAAGAGTTGAACAGTTTATGTAAAATTTCCAAGATTCCATAGATTGCTGGTGACAAAGCTGAATCTAATCCCAGGGCCGTATGTCTCCAAAGCTCATGGCATTTCTGTCCAACACATTGCTTCCATGCCATAATAGCATGTATAACTGACTCTGAATTTCTATTATACACATCTATCTTTTCTAAAATTTTAAGCATTCATTCATTCTTGGGTCCATGCCACTTAATAAAGCCCTGTACAAAGATAAGGAAGATAGGACTTCAGAGTTCAAACATGTAATTGCATGGTGTTCTTAACATAGCATGATATTGATCAGTTAATTCAGACGTGAAATTATTCAAGCATCTCAGTTCAGAATAAAAGTGTGAAAATAATGTGGCTGGATGAGCACATGACTTTGATGCCAGTGTGTGTGTGTGTATGCATGTGGTGTGTGTGTGAGAGAGAGAAAGAGACAGCAGTGCATGTGTGCAAGAGCGTTCAGTCTGCTTGAGAGCAAATTCTTTAAAGAAAAATACATTATTCCTTAATTTTGGTTGATCTTTAAAGAGAGAATTATGGGAATTTTTGTGGTTGCTATTGTTGAGGAGCAATAAAGAATGGAAGTTTCCAAGAGTAAATAAACCTTATATTAAATGATGTAGGAAAACATTGAATTATCTTAATTTTCTTCCATAGAAGAAGATATCATTGATAAAAATGGAATTAAATTGTTGACATGTGAAATAAAAATTCCCTCTTTTATCTTATCAGCTATAGCACCTCTTTTGGCTCCCTCTGTATGGTCTGCCTTTCATATTCCTCTGCCTTTCATTCATTCCTCTCTACTTTTTTAAAAAAACACTTTTGCTTCTCTTTTTTCTTAATTCTAATAGAGGCATCAATTGGATACTTAAGATACATAGAAGCAAAGAGCAAAGTGTTTGCAGACTCCAGAGTGAAAGCAATCTATTGAGAAAGTTCACGCATTATCTTCATATGGATGTGTAGAGTATAGACTATAGTGGATTAATTTACTATGCTGAATCCTAGAATATCATTTTAAAATGTCACAGCATCACATTAGCTCAGGTAGACCTGTAATTCCTGAATCTCTTTCATAGTGCTGTCACCAATTTGCAGCCCATTCCAACTGGGCACAATTGTGACTGCTTGATGATTCTCCCATGTATTGAGCAGTTATTTTGTGTATCCTCAGACTTCTAAAAAGCACTGGAGTAGTAAAAAAAAAAATAAGATAAAAGTTAATTTCCTTCAGGAGCCATTTCTTGCCCAAGATAAATTGCTTATGTTCCTTCATTCACTTTAAAACTCTGTATCTTCTGTTTCTCTTTACTCATATTCCCAACCAATCAACATGGAATTTCTGTATCAGCAACCCTATTTTTGTAGCAGCCACTGCAACATTCTTCCCCATCTTGCTGATGCCCTTTGGTGCATATTGGTCTTTCTATGCTGTAATCCCAACTTCTATTACCCAAAAAGGTTGCTTTTTCATAAAGTCATGAGACCCTACAAATACAGACACAAATATATATTTTCAAATATTTTTTCATATTTATGATGAAGCATACATTTTATTTTTATGGTAATTTTTCTCTCCTTCATAAAAATCAACTTCTCATTTTGGAAATTTTCTTTCTTATATCTCCACGTTCAGTTTAAACATTTTGTATAATATCTGTTCATCTTCATTCTTCCCTGTCCTAGTAAGATGTTCTCTATTTCTAGCCAATTTTTTGAAACCCTATATGAAATAACAGCATAGGTAGAGATGAAAGTCTTGACAGACCATATGTAATATTCCAGATGCATACTCCATAAAAGTAACCATGACTAGCAATGGCAGTTTTGGATCTACGTGAAGTCACCACTGCAGTAATCTCAGAAATGACTATCACCAGAATCCAGTTTTTTTGTTTTTTTAACTCCAGGATTTTTGACCCTTTGATTTTACCTACTAGTGTTTCTCATTGGTTTTAAATTCTTCAATAGGGATGACTTTTCCTTGGGTGAGATACTGGGATTGCCTCAAAACTGTTAAGTCACTCCAGGTCAGCTGAGTTGTTTACCTATTACCCCTTCCTCACAATCTTCACAACTTTGGGATTAGCTTTCACCCTCCCTTCTGCTATTCAGCAATTAAATTGTAGCAACTAATGTATGTTAGACAATTGTGTGTATTATCTTCTGTACTCTCTCTCTCAGAATGCCATCTCTATTCAGCTGGAGCTAAGAAAGGTTATTTTCAAGTATCCAAGCCTTCTCTTGAATCAAGAGGTCCCATATCCATCTCTTTTTAACTCTTGAAGCCTTTTTCCTGTGCCCTTCTGCAGTCACAGTTATCAACAAAATTTCTTATGTCCTCAGTATTGGTTTTGAACATTCCATTTCCCTTACTGTCCTTTTCAACAGACACTTGGCTGTCCCTGAGGACAATGTTTTCTCTGCAGCCTTCTCAAATGATGAACTTTTTTTTCTCTTACCACTTTTACCCCGAACCTGGTGATGGATAGGATCTTCCATTTCCCTTGTTGCTGCTTGTGGACATTCTCTCTCCTTCCTACCTACAAATACCCATAGTTGAGTTTTATGTCATCAGACTATACTAACCAATCTTACCTTTCTCTCCTTATGCATTTGCAGTCATCAACTGGCTAGCATCATGTCTCCGCATCTTTGGAAGATTTTTGGCTCTGGCTCACTCATTTTCTTACATTATTTCTGTCACTATTCCTGGTGGCTTTAATACCTCCACATAGAGGTTGCTTTCAACATTTTGGCTTCTTAGTTTCTTGACATATCTTCAAAAAAAATTTGTTTTCCTCCCTAAAACCTGTCTCTCCCGTTGTTAGAGTTTAGACATTAGCATTTGCCAATAACTGTAGCTTTTCCGTAATCTCATTTTTAAGCACCCCAAACTGTAACTACCATCATTTCTTGTTTTTCCTGCTTGTTTTCACTGGTAGAATAATTATAGCAAATTTTCAATCCTTGCAGAAAGGCTAGAACCATTTTGTTGATTTTACCCATCTCAGGTACTCACTTCATCTTTGCCTAGCTTAAATGTAGTGGTTATTTTACTCTCTACCTTGCATATACCCTAACATTCCATATCTGTCCCTTTCGTTGCTCAGAAAAAAGAAAATCTTAGTGAAATTTGACCCCTCATCTATCAGGCACTCACAACTGTTCAGCTGAAAACAAAAGCATATCAATTCCCTAGGTGCTGGGCACTGAAGGAGACTATCACCTGCCTCAAAGAATTGTCGTTATCTCTCAGCCGCATCTTTATGTGAATTACTGCACTGCAAAATTCCCCTTTCAAGAGTAAATGTATTATTTATATGTTAGCATAATTTTAAAACCTTTTTAAATATGTAATGAACCAAATATACTTTCTGATAGTCTATAGTCTTCTTTAGAAATCATAGAAAAGATGTATAATATGTGAAATAAAGATAGTAAATGAATTAGAAGTCCAAGAATATGGTTCTTCATTTTAGCTCAGTTTCCAGAAAGCCATTTGATCTAAAGTTATGTTGGACAATGGTGTGTATTATCTATCTTTTTTAGATCTCCGTTTATAATTTTATAAAGTGAGAGAATCGAGTGGATTATTTCTAGGACCTTTTGAAGCTGTGAGAAAGCTCTCCTGCTTTTCTTGCATTTTCTTGATTTTTCTCAAGCGAGTTGGTATGGAGGAGGGCCTTCCAGAAGGTGACCTACAGATGCAATTTTTTTCAGACAGCAACTATTCAGATAGGGCTGGATATTTGTGTTCTGTAGAAGGCTGGAATCTTCTGTTAGCAACCTAGCCCCAGCTTATGCAGAGTCTTGGGTATAAGTTGTATCTTTGGAGCCTTCCAGGAGTAACCTGATCATGTCTTCTCTAGATTGGCTCACTATCATGAATCAGATAGCTTGATCCTGAGATAATTAGGAGATATCTCATCTCCTCTTTCAAACCTCAGTCTTCCTCTGTTTACTTGTTTATAGTGTGAGTGCATTACTTCACCTTCTGCCTCGGTCCAGACTTCCTGGATATTTGGTGTACTTTTCCTCAATTGTGAAATCTCTGGGTGGGGACCACAGCTCAGTGTTGAGTTACTGACCTCTTCTTGGTCCTGTGGATTAGCATGCAGCTAATCTGTTTGACCTCTGTTTGGAATTCGGAATTCTTAATGACTACACATCTTTGATACAATAGATGATACCTCAAACATCCTTTTGAACAGCTGTTCTTTTCCATGAGTCTTGGTCTATTCTGACATTTATGTCTCCCTTCAATCACGTCTTTGGCCTTAGAAGATTGAGTTACTGGATTCTTTATATATTCTAGTGGTCATCTCTGAAATGTGCTCAGAGAGCACCTAAATTAACCATCCAATACGAGTTGAGTGTGTTAAGTTAAAAAAAAAAAAAGATTTTTCTGAGTATTCCTGACCTTACATCAGTGAACATTTATGTTTTAAAGTCTTACATAAGATACTGTGTGTGAAAGCATTTTCTTCCCAAATTTACATGAGTGCCTAAATTGTTATACTTTTTGGTTAAATAGATATTGGAAAAATAAGTGTGCAATTATAGCATTTAATCCCATTATAATATTCATTTGTTTTTCTTTCAGTTGGCACCATTCCCAATATAGATGGGGACTGGAAATGACACCACTGTGGTAGAGTTTACTCTTTTGGGGTTATCTGAGGATACTACAGTTTGTGCTATTTTATTTCTTGTGTTTCTAGGAATTTATGTTGTCACCTTAATGGGTAATATCAGCATAATTGTATTGATCAGAAGAAGTCATCATCTTCATACACCCATGTACATTTTCCTCTGCCATTTGGCCTTTGTAGACATTGGGTACTCCTCATCAGTCACACCTGTCATGCTCATGAGCTTCCTAAGGAAAGAAACCTCTCTCCCTGTTGCTGGTTGTGTGGCCCAGCTCTGTTCTGTAGTGACGTTTGGTACGGCCGAGTGCTTCCTGCTGGCTGCCATGGCCTATGATCGCTATGTGGCCATCTGCTCACCCCTGCTCTACTCTACCTGCATGTCCCCTGGAGTCTGCATCATCTTAGTGGGCATGTCCTACCTGGGTGGATGTGTGAATGCTTGGACATTCATTGGCTGCTTATTAAGACTGTCCTTCTGTGGGCCAAATAAAGTCAATCACTTTTTCTGTGACTATTCACCACTTTTGAAGCTTGCTTGTTCCCATGATTTTACTTTTGAAATAATTCCAGCTATCTCTTCTGGATCTATCATTGTGGCCACTGTGTGTGTCATAGCCATATCCTACATCTATATCCTCATCACCATCCTGAAGATGCACTCCACCAAGGGCCGCCACAAGGCCTTCTCCACCTGCACCTCCCACCTCACTGCAGTCACTCTGTTCTATGGGACCATTACCTTCATTTATGTGATGCCCAAGTCCAGCTACTCAACTGACCAGAACAAGGTGGTGTCTGTGTTCTACACCGTGGTGATTCCCATGTTGAACCCCCTGATCTACAGCCTCAGGAACAAGGAGATTAAGGGGGCTCTGAAGAGAGAGCTTAGAATAAAAATATTTTCTTGATGAAACTAGTTAGTTTGAAGAATCTGATATATTAATATTCTATATATAATAATAATAAGACACCGAGTGTTTGTGGTCAAAATTTATCTGTCCATAGACCATTACCCAGTGTGGAGCTTTTTAGTCAATCAGGAGGGAAGATTTTCAGATAGAATAGGAAATTAGAAGTCCATCTTGCTTTACCTTTAATAAAATTTAATTAAATTTATAATTGAGAATGCAAATAGTTTCACATGAAAAAAATGCTTTATCTGCTGAAAATCCTTTAAAAATTTTATTCTTATTTTTTCAAGAGTTGTTTTCTGCCATAAGTTAAGGCATACCTTTAAACCTTCAGACTGTGGCCATTGTCAACATCAGCTTATCCTGAGATACATGCCTGATATCTATAGTTGTTACTGAGTACATTGTGAGAGAAAATGACAAAGGAACCATAGTAAAATTGCTGGAGATATTCTTCTTCCAGAAAGGTTGCCTGCTGACAATGAGCTTGGGAGACCCACAACAATCTGGGCTGCGTTTCTATTCTCTGTCTCCAGCATGGTTATAGGGTCCCAGAGAAGAACCTGTTAGAGGCCCCTGACTAACCTATGAATTTCTCTGTCAGGTCAAAACCGGTGACTTCTGTGGGAATGAGCAGGGTTTCTGAACTCCTTAGAGACTGAGTGGAAAAAAAAATCAGGCAATAACTTCCAAGAGGAGAATCCAGCTTATAGTGTGACATTGTGGCTGTGAGGAACAACCTTTTGGAGTGACTCATTCATGGTCAGAGCCTCATCTTACTTAGGAAACTCAAGGGGACTAGACTGCCTCTCCTCTGAAAGTATGTCTGCCCCTGGAGAGGCTTAATCAACCTCTGCATGCTGACCACTACCAGATTTATTTCTCTTTCCTGTCCCCTCTTTAGTGTTTCAGACAACAATCCCAACATTCTGTCAATAGAATCATAGGGTATCAATCACTTCATTCATTTATTTTTTATTTTGTACATTCAAAAACTATATTTGAGGCCGGGCACGGTGGCTCATGCCTGTAATCCCAGAACTTTGGGAGGCCAAGGCAGTGGGATCACTTGAGGTTAGGAGTTCAAGACCAGCCTGACCAACATGGAGAAACCCTGTCTCTACAAATAATACAAAAAAAATTAGCCGGGCATGGTGATGGGCGCCTGTAATCCCAGCTACTCAGGAGGCTGAGGCACAAGAATCGCTTGAACCCAGGAGGCAGAGGTTGCAGTGAGCCGAGATGGCGCCATTGCACTGCAGCCTGGGCAACAAAAGCAAAACTCCTTCTCAAGAAAAATAATAATAATAAATAAATAAAGCTATATTTGGTGATTCTTATTTTATTTTATATATATTTTTTGAGATGGAGTCACGTTCTGTCACCCAGGCTGGAGTGCAGTGGCGTGATCTCGGCTCACTGCAAGCTCTGCCTCCTGGGTTCATGCCATTCTCCTGCCTCAGCCTCCAGAGTAGCTGGGACTACAGGCCAACCCGCCACCACATCCGGCTAATTTTTTGTATTTTTAGTAGAGATGGGGTATCATCTTGTTAGCCAGGATGGTCTCGATCTCCTGACCTCATGATCCGCCCACCTCACCCTCCCAAAGTGCTGGGATTACAGGCATGAGCCACTGCCGCCGGCCTATTTGGTGATCCTTGTAGGCACTGCCCTAGACGAGGATATAAGTGACTAATAGCCACAGATGTCTGTCGTGATGGAATTTGTCTTCTAACATAGGAGTCAGACAATAAAACTAACAAGTAAGTGATACCTACTATTAGAAGGGAATGAGTGCTATGGAGAAAGAAAAAGTGGAAGAGTACGTGGAAGGTTGATGTGCCAGGGGCAGGGAGGAGTCACTGCAGGTCTCACTGGGAACATAACATCTGAACAACTGCTGCCAAAGGTGAGGACAGTTCATGTTGAATATGGTGTTACCTGTGTAACAGCTCCAGGAGTCTAATCTTCACTCACACGCATGTAATTTACTTTTGAGGTTTCTGTTCCAACAGCGGCAGAATTGGTCATTTTAATCAGTGCCATGGTGAGTACAATTAAAACATGATAAAATGTTACATATATCTTAAATTTCACGTTAGAACTTATAGGATAATAAGGGATTGTCTTATCAGAAAGTGTGATAACCTAGAGAAGTAGGCCCAATACTCAAAAATGCTTTTGCCGAGAGAGAATTTGACAAGTCAGAAGATTGTTATTATCCTGAGCTGTAGCTTTAGTGTTCTTTTGGGATGAGAGGGCCACAAATCAAAGCCTATGGCATATCCAGGTGAGAAGTCTGATTTATACACCTCACATATATCCTCAGGATAAGGGAAAACCTGAAGTAACCAAGACTGGCACAGGTTAGCAGCCCTGGAGAGCTTGAGAAGCTCAGTGCTTGAATTTGAATATAACATGGTCAGGGACAGGTGGTCTGAGTCAGGGTGAACGGAATAAGCAAACAACAAACCCATACCTCAATGAGTCCTACTGGTAATTATTCAAAATCAGTAACCAACACACAGTGAAAAATAATGACCAACACAAAAGGAAACAAGGTACCAAGCATGAAAGCCAGTGGAAGCGACAGGCAACAGAAACAAAACTAAGAGTTAACATATGGAAATGAATAATTACAGACTATAATATTGCTTTGTTTCAAAATAAAAAGACTATTTGAAATGTGTACAATCACAGAAAACCAAAAATAATGACTAAATGTATGCAATTATTTAGAACATCATACTTGAAAAATTCACCACGCCAGTAGAGTTACACCAGGCATTTCTATTTGGTGAGCATAATCCTCATTGGTCTTCACATAGAAATCCCAAGCAGCAGCACAGGCAGAGGAGCCAGCCTACTTAGAAGCCTCATGACCTTAACTGGAATCAATATAGTCTACATAGTGTTTAGTATAGTGTTTAGTTCCAGGGTCCCTGCAAGGTTTTTACAGCAATAAGAATCACTGCACTCAAGGAAATATAAAGTATAAAATAGAATATACTGGCCCCCTGTATGGATAGAATTTACAATTAATCATTTTTGTCATAAACATTTTAGTGTTATATGTAACACACCTGACATTTAAGTTTTGTCTGAATTTAGGAGAAATAGGAAGTTCACTCATGGTAAAATTTATCCTTAAAGAAGTCAAAGGACATGGCACTGGGGGTCTTAAATGCAATACACTATTTACATAGAATTCTGAACAAATGCACTGTTTAGAATTCCATACTGAATCATAGGCAGGACTTAAGAGCCATGAATAATGTTATTTGGGAAATAGGCCCCTTCCTCTGTGTGTCAAGTATGGGGCTCTGAGAGAAATTTGTTTAGAAGACAACCTAGGCAATACCATTCAGGACATAGGCATGGGCAAAGACTTGATTGCTAAAACACCAAAAGCAACAGCAACAAAAGCCAAATATGACAAATGGGATCTAATTAAACTAAAGAGTTTCTGCATAGCAAAAGAAACTATCATCAGAGTGAAGAGGCAACCTACAGAATGGGAGAAAACTTTTGCAATCTATCCATCTGACAAAGGACTAATATCCAGAATTTACAAAGAACTTAAACAAATTTACAAGAAACAACCCCATCAAAAAGTGGGTGAAGGATATGAACAGACACTTCTCAAAAGAAGATATTTATGCAGCCAACAAAAGTAGGAAAAAAAACTCATCATCACTGGTCGTTAGAGAAATGCAAATCAAACCACAATGAGATACCATCTCATGCCAGTTAGAATGGTGATCATTAAAAAGTCAGGAAGGCTGGGTGCAGTGGCTCACACCTGTAATCCCAGCACTTTGGTAGGCTGAGGTGGGCAGATCACGAGGTCAGGAGATTGAGACCATCCTGGCTAACATGGTGAAACCCCGTCTCTACTAAAAATATAAGAAATTAGCCGGGCGTGGTTGCGGGCACCTGTAGTCCCAGCTACTCGGGAGGCTGAGGGAGGAGAATGCCGTGAACCTGGGAGGCAGAGCTTGCAGTGAGCCGAGATCGCACCACTGCACTGCAGCCTGGTGGACAGAGCAAAACTCCATCTCAAAAAAAAAAAAAAAAAAAAAAGTCAGGAAACAACAGATGCTGGAGAGGATGTGGAGAAATAGGAACACTTTTACACTGCTGGTGGGAGTATAAATTAGTTCAACTATTGTGGAAGACAGTGTGGTGATTCCTCAAGGATCTAGAAGTAGAAATACCATTTGACCCAGCAATCCCATTACTGAGTATATACCCAAAGGACTATAAATCGTGCTGCTATAAAGACACATGCACATGTATGTTTATTGCGGCACTATTCACAATAGCAAAGACACGGAACCAACCCAAATGTCCATCAATGATAGACTGGATTAAGAAAATGTGGCACATATACACCATGGAATACTATGCAGCCATAAAAAAGGATGAGTTCATGTCCTTTGCAGAGACATGGATGAGGCTGGAAACCATCATTCTCAGCAAACTAACACAAGAACAGAAAACCAAACACCACATGTTCTCACTCATAAGTGGGAGTTGAACAATGAGAACACATGGACACAGGGAAGAGAACATCACACACCAGGGCCTGTCAGGGGATGGGGGACCAGGGAAGGGATAGCATCAGGAGAAACACCTAATGTAGATGACAGGTTGATGGGTGCAGCAAACCACTATGGCACATGTGTACCTATGTAACAAAACTGCATGTTCTGCACATGTACCCCAGAACTTAAAGTATAAAAAAGAATAGAATAAAAATATTATTTTTTCTTGAAAAAAAACATGACAGCCACTGATTCAAAAAAGACTTTGATAATTTTTATCATCAATTTGTGTTTAAAAAGCCTTAGCAAAATTGAAATAGTGTAATTACTTCATCTGGGAAAAACTACTCATGTTTTGAAAGCTTTTCCTTCATGTCTGAGAATGAGAAAGAGATGCCATTGTTAGCATTTCTATTCTTCGTGGTATGGATGACACTAGCCAGGGCACTATAACAAGAAAAGGAAATAGAAGGCATAACAATAGAAAAAAAGAAATAAAGTATCATACAAGATGACCGTTTATGTAGAAAATAATAAAATAAAAATAAATTATCAATACTAGAGATTTTTTAACAATATTGATGGAAAAACAAAATAAAAGCAAAAGTTTTATTTCCTTTTAAAATTTTTTAAATTTTTATGGGTACACAGTAGGTGTATATATTTATGGGGTATAGGAGATGTTTTGATACAGGCATGCAATGTGTAATAATTACATGATAGAGAATGGGGTATCCATCCGCTCAAACACTTGTCCTCTGTATTACAAACAACCCAATTATACTCTTTTAGTTATTTTAAAATGTATGATTAAAATATTATCGATTGTAGTCGCCCTGTTGTGCTAGCAAATGCTAGGTTTTATTCATTAATTCTATTTTTTTGTACCAATTAACCATCTTCACTTCCCCTCCAACCCTCTACTGCCTTTCTCAACCTCTAATAACCATCCTTCTACTCTCTATCTCAATTAGTTCAATTGTTTTGATGTTTATATCACACAAATAAGTGAGAACATGTGATATTTGTCTTTCTGTACCTGGATTATTTCACTTAACATGATGCTCTGCAGTTCCATTAACATTGTTGCAAATGACAGGGCCTCATTCTTTCTTACGGCCAAATAGTACTACATTGTGTCTATGTACATTTTCTTTATCCATTCATCTGTTGATGGACAGTTAGGTTGCTTCCAAATCTTGGCTATTGTGAACATTACTGCAACAAACATGGGAGTACAGATATCTTTGATATACTGATTTTCTTTCTTTGGGGTATATACCCAGCAGTGAGACTGCTGGATCATATGGTAATTCTATTCTTGAGGAACCTCCACACTGTTCTCCATAGTGCTTGTACTCACTTACATTCCCACCAACTGTGTACGAGGTTTCCCTTTTCTCCACATCCTCGCCAGCATTTGTTATTGCATCTTTTAGATAAAAGCCATTTTAACTGGGGTGAAATGATATATCATTGTAGTTTTGATTTGCATTTCTCTGATGACAAATGATGTTGAATACATTTTCATATGTCTGTTTGCCATTTGTATGTCTTCATTTGAGAAATGTCTATTCAAATCTTTTGCCCATTTTAAAAACTGGATATTTTCCTAAAGAGTTGTTTGAGCTCCTTATGTATTCTGGTTATTAATCCCTTGTCAGAGGGGTAGTTTGCAAATATTTTCTCCCATTCTGTGTGTTGTCTCTTCACTTTGTTTATTGTATCATCTGCTGTGCAGAAGCTTTTTAACTTGAGGTGATCCCATTTGCCCATTTTTGCTTTGGTTGCCTGTGCTTGTGGGGTATTGCTCAAGAAATTTTTGTCCAGACCAATGTTCTGGGGACTTTGTCTAATGTTTTCTTGTAGTGGTTTAATAATTTGAGGTCTTAGAGTTAGGTCTTTGATCCGTTTTGATTTTATTTTTGTATATATAGAGAAACAGGGGTCAGTTTCATTCTTCTGCATGTGGAAATCCAGTTTTCCCAGCATGATTTATTGAAGAGACTGTCTTTTCCCCAGTGTACGTTCTCTCTTCCTCAGTGTATGTTCTTTGCACCTTTGTCAAAAATGAGTTTACTATAGGTGTGTGGATTTGTTTATGGGTTCTCTTTTCTGTTCCATTGGTGTATGCATCCATTTTTATGCCAGTATCATGCTGTTTTGTTCACTATAGCCGTGTAGCATAATTTGAAGTCAGGTAATGTGATTCCTCCAGTTTTGTCCTTTCTGCCTATGAGAGTTTTGGCTACTTGGGCTCTTTTCTGGTTCCATATAAGTTTTAGGATTGTGTTTTCTATTTCTGTGAAGAATGTCATTGGTATTTTGATAGAGATTGCACTGGATCTGTAAACTGCTTTGAGTAGTATGGACCGTTTAACAGTATTGATTCTTCTAATCCACAAGCATGGAATATCTTCCCATTTTTTGTGTCCTTTTCAATTTATTTCATCAGTGTTTAACAGTTTTCTTTGTAGATATCTGTCACTTCTTTGGTTAGTTCCTAGTTATTTAATTTTATTTGTGACTGTTGTGAATTGGATTCTGTTCTTTATTTCTTTTTTATATTATTCACTGTTGGCATATAGAAATGCTACTGATTTTTAAAATGTTGATCTTGTATTGTGCAACTTAACTGAAATTGTTTATCAGCTCTAATAGTTTTTTTGGTGGAGTCATTTGATTTTTCCAAATATAAGATTATATTATCTGCAAATAATGATAATTTGACTTCTTTCTTTCTGATTTGGATGCCCTTTATATTTTTCTCTTGTTTGCTCTAGCTACAACTTCCAGTACTATGTTGAATAACAGTGGTGAAAGTGGCCATCTTTGTGATGTTCTAGGTCTTAAAGGAAAGGCTTTCAGTTTTTACCCATTCAGTATGACACTTGTTGTGGGTCTGTCATATATGGATTTTATTATGTTGAGGTATGCTCCTTCTATAGTTTTTTTAAATGTTTTTATGATGAAGGGATGTTGAATTTTATAAAATGCTTTTTCAGCATCAGTTGAAATTATTATATGGTTTTTGTCCTTCATTTTGTTAATATGATGTACCACATTGGATTGATTTGCGTATGTTGAACCATCCTTGCATCCCTGTGACAAATCCTACTTAGTCATGATGAATGATTTTTAAAAAATGTGTTGTTGAATTTGATTTGCTAGTATTTTGTTCAGGATTTTTGCATCAATATTCATCAGGCATATTGGGGTATTGAAGTCTCCAGCTATTATTGTATTGAGTCTATTTCTCTTTTTAGCTCTAATAATATTTCCTTTATATATCTGGGTGCTCCAGTGTTGGATGCATGTATATTTAATATTGCTATAATCCACTTTCTGAATTGACCTCTTTATCACTATATAGTGACACTTTGTCTCCTACAGTTTTTGTTTTGAAATCTATTTTGTCTGATATAAATATAGTGACTCCTGGTGTTTTTTGGGTTTCCATTGTCATGGAATACTTTTTCCATCCCTTTGTTTTCAGTCTATGTGTGTTTTTATAGGTAAGGTGTGTTTCTTGGCAGAAACAGACCAATGGGTCTTGTTCTTTCATACATTTGGTCAGCCTACGCCTTTTGATTGGAGAGTTTAGTCCACTACATTCAATGTTATTATTGATAGGTAAGGCCTTGCTCTTGCCATTATGTTATTTGTTTTCTGGTTGTTTTGTGGTCCTCTCTTCCTTCTTTTCTGTCTTCCTGTCTTCCTTATAATGAAGGTGATTATCTCTGGTGATATAATTTATTCTCTTGCTTTTTTTTGTATATCTATAATATGTTTTTTGGTTTGAGGTTGCCATGAGGCTTGTAATTACCCATTATTTTAAGCTCATAACAACTTAATACTGTTTTCATAAACAAATAAACAAAAAGAAAACCAATAAACAGTTTAGCTTCATCTCCCCTGCTTTTTAATTTTTTTGTTGTTTTTATTTATACTTTATTGTCTATGTCTTGAAAAGTTGTTGCAGTTATTATTTTTAATTGGTTCATCATTTTGTTTTTCTACTAAGGTATGAGTAGTTACATACCATGATTACAGTGTTATAATATTCTGTGTTTTTCTGTGTAGTTACTACCAGTGAGTTTAGTACCTTCAGGTGATTATTTAGTGCTCATGTACGTCCTTTTATTTCTGCTTGAAGTACTCCCATTAGCATTTCTTGTAGTGCAGGTCTGCTGTTGATGAAATCCCTCAGCTATTGTTTGCTGGGAAAGTCTTTATTTCTTCTTCGTGTTTGAAGATGTTTTCACCAGATATGCTATTGCAAGGTAACCTTTTTTTTTTTTTTACTTCAGCACTTCAAATATGTCATGCTGCTCTCTCCTAGCCTTTTCCACTGAAAAGTCTACTGCCAGACATGTTAGAACTCCATTGTAAGTTATTTTTTTTTTCTGTTGATGCTTTTTGAATCCTTTCTTTATCCTTGACCTTTGGTAGTTTCATTATTAAATGACTTAAGGTAGTCATTTTTGGATTAAATCTGCTTGGTGTTCTATAATCTTCTTGTACTTGAATGCTGATAGCTTTCTCTAGTTTTGGGAAGTTCTCTGTTCTTATCCCTTTGAATAAACTTTCTTCCCCTATCTGTTTCTCTACCCCCTGTTTAAGGCCAATAACTCTTAGATTTGTCCTTTTGAGGCTATTTTGTATATTCTATAAGAATGCCACAATTACTTTTGCACCAACCTAATATCTCCTCTGTGTATTTTCTTTTTTTATTTTTATTTTTTAATTTTTTTATTATACTTTATGTTCTAGAGTACATGTGTACAACATGCAGGTTTGTTACTTATGTATACATGTGCCATGTTGGTGTGCTGCACCCATTAACTTGTCATTTACATTAGATATTTCTCCTAATGCCATCCCTTCCCGCTCCCATGACAGGCCCCTGTGTATGATGTTCCCTGCCCTTTGTCCAAGTGTTCTCATTGTTCAAGTCCCACCTATGAGTGAGAACATGCAGTGTTTGGTTTTCTGTCCTTGCGATAGTTTGCTCAGAATAATGGTTTCCAGCCTCATCCATGTCCCTGCAAAGGACATGAACTCATCGTTTTCTATGGCTGTATAGTATTCCAGGTGTATATGTGCCACATTTTCTTAATCCAGTCTATCATTGATGGACATTTGGGTTGGTTCCAAGTCTTTGCTATTGTGAATAGTGCCACAATAAACATACATGTGCATGTGTCTTTATAGTAGCATGATTTACAGTCCTTTGGGTATATACCCAGTAATGGGATGGCTGGGTCAAATGGTATTTCTACTTCTAGATCCTTGAGGAATCACCACACTGTCTTCCACAATGGTTGAACTAGTTTACACTCCCACCAACAGTGTAAAAGCATTCCTATTTCTCCACGTCCTCTCCAGCACTTGTTGTTACCTGACTTTTTAATGATCACCATTCTAACTGGTGTGAGATGGTATCTTATTGTGGTTTTGATTTGCATTTCTCTGATGGCCAGTGATGATGAGCATTTTTTCATGTGTCTGTTGGCTGCATAAATGTCTTCTTTTGAGAAGTGTCTGTTCCTATCTTTTGCCTACTTTTTGATGCGGTTGTTTTTTTTTCTTGTAAATTTGTTTAAGTTCTTTGTAGATTCTGGATACTAGCCCTTTGTCAGATGGGTAGATTGCAAAAATTTTCTCCCATTCTGTAGGTTGCCTGTTCACTCTGATGGTAGTTTCTTTTGCCGTGCAGAAGTTCTTTAGTTTAATTAGATCCCATTTGTCAATTTTGGCTTTTGTTGCCATTGCTTTTGGTGTTCTAGTCCTTGCCCACACCTGTGTCCTGAATGGTATTGGCTAGGTTTTCTTCTAGGGTTTTTATGGTTTTAGGTCTAACATTTAAGTCTTTAATCCTTTTTGAATCAATTTTTATATAAGGTGTAAGGAAGGGATCCAGTTTCAGCTTTCTACATATGTCTAGCCAGTTTTCCCAGCACCCTTTATTAAATAGGGAATCCTTTCCCCAGTTGTTGTTTTTAATCGGGTTTGTCAAAGATCAGATGGCTGTAGATGTGTGGTGTTATTTCTGAGGACTCCGTTCTGTTCCATTGATCTATATCTCTGTTTTGGTACCAGTACCATGCTGTTTTGGTGACTGTAGCCTTGTAGTATAGTTTGAAGTCAGGTAGCATGATGCCTCCAGCTTTGTTCTTTTGGCTTAGGACTGACTTGGCAATGTGGGCTCTTTTTTGGTTCCATATGAACTTTAAAGTAGTTTTTTTCCAATTCTGTGAAGAAAGTCATTGGCAGTTTGATGGGGATGGCATTGAATCTATAAATTACCTTGGGCAGTATGGCCATTTTCACAATATTGATTCTACCTATTCATGAGCATGGAATGTTCTTCCATTTGTTTATGTCCTCTTTTATTTTGTTGAACAGTGGTTTTTAGTTCTCATTGAAGAGGTCCTTCATATCCCTAGTAAGTTGGATTCCTAGGTATTTTATTCTCTTTGAAGCAATTGTGAATGCGAGTTGACTCATGATTTGGCTCTCTGTTTGTCTGTTGTTGGTGTATAGGAATGCTTGTGATTTTTGTACATTGATTTTGTATCCTGAGACATTGCTGAAGTTGCTTATCAGCTTAAGGAGATTTTGGGCTGGGACAATGGGGTTTTCTAGATATACAATCATGTCGTCTGCAAACAGGGACAGTTTGACTTCCTCTTTTCCTAATTGAATACCCTTTATTTCCTTCTCCTGCCTAATTGCCCTGGCCAGAACTTCCAACATTATCCAGGAGAATTTCCCCAATCTAGCAAGGCAGGCCAACGTTCAGATTCAGGAAATACAGAGAACGCCACAAAGATACTCCTCGAGAAGAGCAACTCCAAGACACATAATTGTCAGATTCACCAAAGTTGAAATGAAGGAAAAAATCTTAAGGGCAGCCAGAGAGAAAGGTCGGGTTACCCTCAAAGGGAAGCCCATCAGACTAACAGCGGATATCTCGGCAGAAACCCTACAAGCCAGAAGAGAGTGGGGGCCAATATTCAACATTCTTAAAGAAAAGAATTTTCAACCCAGAATTTCATATCCAGCCAAACTAAGCTTCATAAGTGAAGCAGAAATAAAATATTTTACAGACAAGCAAATGCTGAGAGATTTTGTCACCACCAGGCCTGCCCTAAAAGAGCTCCTGAAGGAAGCACTAAACATGGAAAGGAACAACTGGTACCAGCCACTGCAAAATCATGCCAAAATGTAAAGACCATAGAGACTAGGAAGAAACTGCATCAACTAACGAGCAAAATAACCAGCTAACATCATAATGACAGGATCAAATTCACACATAACACTATTAACTTTAAATGTAAATGGACTAAATGCTCCAGTTAAAAGACACAGACTGGCAAATTGGATAAAGAGTCAAGACCCATCAGTGTGCTGTATTCAGGAAACCCATCTCACGTGCAGAGACACACATAGGCTCAAAATAAAGGGATGGAGGAACATCTACCAAGCAAATGGAAAACAAAAAAAGGCAGGGGTTGCAATTCTAGTCTCTGATAAAACAGACTTTAAACCAACAAAGATCAAAAGAGACAAAGAAGGCCATTACATGATGGTAAAAGGATCAATTCAACAGGAAGAGCTAACTATCCTAAATATATATTCACCCAATACAGGAGCACCCAGATTCAGAAAGCAAGTCCTTAGAGACCTACAAAGAGACTTAGGCTCCCACACAATAATAATGGGAGACTTTAACATCCCATTGTCAACATTAGACAGATCCACGAGACAGAAGGTTAACAAGGATATCCAGGAATTGAACTCAGCTCTGCACCAAGCAGACCTAATAGACATCTACAGAACTCTCCACCCTAAATCAACAGAATAGACATTTTTTTCAGCACCACACCACACCTATTCCAAAATTGACCACATACTTGGAAGTAAAGCTCTCCTCAGCAAATGTAAAAGAACAGACATTATAACAAACTATCTCTCAGGCCACAGTGCAATCAAACTAGAACTCAGGATTAAGAATCTCACTCAAAACCACTCAACTACATGGAAACTGAACAACCTGCTCCTGAATGACTACTTGGTACATAATGAAATGAAGGCAGAAATAAAGATGTTCTTTGAAACCAACGAGAACAAAGACACAACATACCAGAATCTCTGGGACACATTCAAAGCAGTGTGTAGAGGGAAATTTATAGCACTAAATGCCCATAAGAGAAAGCAGGAAAGATCCAAAATTGACACCCTAACATCACAATTAAAAGAACTAGAAAAGCAAGAGCAAACATATTCAAAAGCTAGCAGAAGGCAAGAAATAACTAAAATCAGAGCAGAACTGAAGGAAATAGATACACAGAAAACCCTTCAAAAAATTAATGAATCCAGGAGCTGGTTTTTTGAAAGGATCAACAAAATTGATAGACCACTAGCAAGACTAATAAAGAAAAAAAGAGAGAAGAATCAAATAGATGCAACAAAAAATGATAAAGGGGATATCACCACCGATCCCACAGAAATACAAACTACCATCAGAGAATACTACAAACACCTCTACGCAAATAAACTAGAAAATCTAGAAGAAATGGATAAGTTCCTTGACACATACACTCTCCCAAGACTAAACCAGGAAGAAGTTGAACCTCTGAATAGACCAATAACAGGATCTGAAATTGTGGCAATAATCAATAGCTTACCAACCAAAAAGAGTCCAGGACCAAATGGATTCACAGCCGAATTCTACCAGAGGTACAAGGAGGAACTGGTACCATTCCTTCTGGAACTATTCCAATCAGTAGAAAAAGAGGGAATCCTCCCTAACTCATTTTATGAGGCCAGCATCATTCTGATACCAAAGCCGGGCAGAGACACAACCAAAAAAGAGAATTTTAGACCAATATCCTTGATGAACATTGATGCAAAATTCCTCAATAAAATACTGGCAAACCGAATCCAGCAGCACATTAAAAAGCTTATCCACCATGATCAAGTGGGCTTCATCCCTGGGATGCAAGGCTGGTTCAATATACACAAATCAATAAATGTAATCCAGCATATAAACAGAGCCAAAGACAAAAACCACATGATTATCTCAGTAGATGCAGTAAAGGCCTTTGACAAAATTCAACAACGCTTCATGCTAAAAACTCTCAATAAATTAGGTATTGATGGGACATATTTGAAAATAATAAGAGCTATCTATGACAAACCCACAGCCAATATCATACTGAATGGCAAAAACTGGAAGCATTCCCTTTGAAAACTGGCACAAGACAGGGATGCCCTCTCTCACCACTCCTATTCATATTGTTTTTTAATGGCTGCATAGTATTCCATGGTGTATATGTACCACATTTTCTTTATTTAGTCCATCTATGTTATGGGAAGTCAGAGACCCCGAACAGAGGGGCCAGCTGGAGCTGTGGCAGAGGAACATAAATTGTGAAGATTTCATCTTAATATGTACATTTATCAGTTCTCAAATAATACTTTTATAATTTCTTATGCCTGTCTTTTATCTCTTAATCCTGTTATCTTCGTAAGCTGAGGATGTGCGTCACCTCAGGACCACTGTGATAATTGTGTTAACTGTACAAATTGACTGTAAGACGTGTGTTTGAACAATATGAAATCAGTGCACCTTGAAAAAAAACAGAATAATAGCGATTTTTATGGAACAAGGGAAGACAACCATAAGGTCTGACTGCCCTGCGGGATTGGGCAAAAACGGCCATATTTTTCTTCTTGCAGAGTGCCTATAAGCAGGCATGCAAGTGGGAAACATATCACTAAATTCTTTTCCTAGCAAGAAATATTAATATTAATACCCTGGGAAAAGAATGCGTTCCTGGGGGGAGGTCTATAAATGGCTGCTCTGGGAATGTCTGTCTTGTGCAGTTGAGATAAGGACAGAGATAAGCCCTGGTCTCCTGCAGAACCCTCAGGCTAACTAGGGTTGGGAAAACTCAGCCCTGGTAAATTTGTGGTCAGACCGGTTCTCTGCTCCTGAACCCTGTTTTCTGTTGTTTAAGATGTTTATCAAGACAATACATGCACTGCTGAACATAGACCCTTATCAGTGGTTCTGCTTTTGCCCTTTGCCCTGTGATCTTTGTTGGACCCTTATCAGTTGTTCTGCTTTTGCCTTTTGCCCTGTGATCTTTCTTGGACCCTTATCAGTGGCTCTGCTTTTGCCCTTTGCCCTGTTCTCTCAGAAGCATGTGATCTTTGTTAGACCCTTATCAGTGGTTCTGCTTTTTGCTCTTTGAAGCATGTGATCTTTGTACCTACTCTGTTCTTACACCCCCTCCCCTTTTGAAACCCTTAATAAAAACTTGCTGGTCTGAGACTCAGGTGGGCATCATGGTCCTACCGACATGTGATGTCACCCCTGGTGGCCCAGCCGTAAAATTCCTCTCTTTATACTGTCTCTCTTTATTTCTCATCCAGCTGACACTTACAGAAAATAGAAAGAACCTACTTTGAAGTATTGGGGGCAGGTTCTCCCAATACACCATTGTTGGGCATTTAGGTTGATTCCATGTCTTTGCTATTGTGAACAGTGCTGCAATGAACATACACATACATGTGTCTTTGTGCTAGAGTTATTTATTTTCTTTGGGTAAGTATCAAATTGTATATGGGATTACTGAATTGAATGGTAGTTCTGTTTTAAGTTCTTTGAGAAATCTAAAAACTGCTTTTAATAGTGGATGAACAAGTTTACCCTCCTACCAGCAGTGCATTAGTATTCCTTTTCTCCACAGCCTCAGCAGCATCTATTATTTTTTGAATGTTTCATAATAGCCATTCTAACTGATTTGAGATGGGTATCTCATTGTGGTTTTGATTTGCATTTCTCTAATAATTGGTGATGTTAACATTTTTTATTTGCTTGTTGGCCACATGTATGTCTTCTTTTGAGAAGTATTTATTCATGTCCTTTGCCCACCTTTTTATGGGGTCGGTTTCTTCTTGTAAATTTGTTTAAGTTCCTTATAGATGCTGGATTTTAGACCTTCATTGGATGCATAGTTTGCAAATATTTTCTCCCATACTGTAGGTTGTCTGTTTACTCTGTTGATAGTTTCATTTGCTGTGCAGAAGCTCTTTAGTTTAATTAGATCCTGTTTGTCAATTTTTGCTTTTGTGGTAATTACTTTTGGTGTCTTCATCATGAAATCTTCACTAGGGTCTATGTCCAGAATGGTATTGCCTAGGTTTTCTACAAGGTTTTTATAGTTTTAGTTTTTACATTTAAGTCTTTAAGCCATCTTCAGTTGATTTTTGTATATGGTGAAAAGAAAGGGCCCAGTTTCAGGCTTCTGCATGTGGTTAGACAGTTATTCCAGCACCATTTATTGAATAGTGAGGCCTTTTTCCTTTGCATGTTTTTGTCAACTTTGTTAAAAATCAGATGGTTATACGTGTATGGCTTTATTTCTGGGTTCTCTATTCTGTCCCTTTGCTCTATGTGTGTGTTTTTGAATTAGTACCATGCTGTTTTGGTTACTGTAGCCTCATAGTATAGTTTGAAGCCAAATAGTGTGATGCCTTCAGCTTTTTTCTTTTTTGCTTAGGATTACTTTAGATATTTGGGTTCTTTTTTGGTTTCATGTAAATTTTAGAATAGTTTTTTTTTCTAATTCTGTGAAAAATGTCATTGGGAGTTTGATAGGAATAGCGTTGAATTGTAAATTGCTTATGACAGTATGGCCATTTTAACAATATTGATTCTTCCTATCCTTGAGGATAAAATGTTTTTCCATTTGATTGTAGTATTTATGATTTATTTCTAGGTATTTTTGATAGCTATTATAAATGAACTGCCTTCTTGATTTATTTTTTCCAATTTTATTATTGGTATATAGAAATGGTATTAATTTTTTGTATGTTGATTTTTTGTTCTACAACTTTACTGAATTTGTTTCATCAGTTCTAAGAGTTTTTTTGATGACATGTTTTGGTTTTTAAAAATAGAAAATCATGTGGTTTGCAAAGAGAGGCAATTTGACTTTCTCTTTTCCAATTTGGATGGTTATTTCTTTCTCTCACCTGATTGTTTTGGCTAGGATTTCCAGTACTATGTTCAATAGTAGAGCTGAATGTGGGTATCCTTGTTTTGTTCCAGTTCTTAGAGAAATGGTTTTCCATTTTTCCCCATTCAGTATGATGTCAGCTGTGAGTTTGTCATATAAGGTCTTATTATTTTGAGGTATGTTCATTCTATGGGTAGTTTGTTGAGAGTTTTAATCATAAAGGGAAGTTAATTTTTTTCACGTTTTTCTGCATTATTGAGATGACTATATAATTTTTGTTCTTCACTCCATTTGAAGACTGAAACAAAGGTTCAACCCCCCACCCCATCGACACACTAATGGACCCTTGGTATGGTTTGGCTATATCCCCACCCAAATCTCATCTTGAATTGTAGTTCCCATAATCCCCACATGTGGGAGGGGCCTGGTGGGAGGTAACTGAATCTTGGGGGTGGTTACCCCATGCTGCTGTTCTCATGATAGTGAGTGAGTTCTCACAAGATCTATGGTTTTATAAGGGGCTTTCCCCCCTTTTGCTTGGCACTTCTTGCTGCTGCCAAGTGAAGATGAACGTGTTTGCTTCTTCTTCTGCCATGGTTGTAAGTTTCCTGAGGCCTCCTCAGCTAGCCTGAACTGTGAGTCAATTAAACTTCTTTCCTTTATAAATTACCAAGACTTGGGTGTGTCTTTATTAGCATAAAATTAGTGTGAGAATGGACTAATACAACCCACTAGGCTAAAATACCCCAAAACCTTTGAGTTCCTGGCCATGATGAGACAGATTGGTTATATCCCACTCTTGGCTTCCCCTTACTTATTATTACCAGATTTTCTCAAAAGCCAGCTTGGGAGAACAAAAGACAGGAAAACACCTCCACTTATTTAATTTGACCACCTGACACCACTCCTTTTGTTTTCATGGTTCTAGCATTGCAGTTCTCCTTGTCTACAAAGCATTCCTTTTTGCTAAATGACTGCTGGCTATAGACTGGTTTTGACCAGTTTACTGAGTATGTACAGAGAGGTGGCTCTGTGCCCTTTGTTTCACCTTTCTTTAGGTGAAATTTGAAAATTGGGCCACTTTATGGGATCTCATATGTCATAAGGGATTTATTCTTTTTTATTTTTATTTTTGCTCACTGGATTATTTCAAAAGACTTGTCTTCACATTCTGATTTTTTTTTCTTACTGTATCTAGCCTATTGTTGAAACTTTCAAATGCATTGTGTATTTCATTCAATTAATTATTCTCTTCCAGGATTTCTGTTTGGTTCTGTTTTATATCTATCTCTGGTAAATTTCTCATTCATGTTCTGAATTGTCTTTCTGATTTCTTTGTATTGTTTTCCAGAATTCTCTTATATGTCACTGAGCTTCTTTAGCATCAAAATTTTGAATTCTTTCTTCTGAGATTTCATAAATTTCTTTTTGATTAGGATCTGTTGCTGGAGAATTATTGTGTTGCTTTGGAAGTGTCATATATCCTTGTTTTTTCTTCTTCCTATGTCCTTACTTTGATACCTGCACATCTGATTTAACAGTTGCTTTTTACATTTTTTTAAATTTGTCTTTGGAGAGAAGGATTTTTTCCTGAAGATATATCTATGGTGCTGCTTGGGTATTACACTTTAGCTTTGATTCTGGGTGCATTTAATAGTGTAGTCTCTGTATTATTTCTTTGGCTGTAAACAGTGTCAATGACGTCTGTAATTTCCTCAGTGGCTCAAGGTGTAGTTGTTAGTGAAGGTTTTGCTGAAGTTTTGCTGGGGACTGGACAACCAGGTAGACCAGTCTTCAGACACCAGTGGTAGCAGCGGTGGGCTGAGTGTGCCTGTCTTTGGGCCCCAGAGCACCAGCATTAGTGGGTCGAGGCAGGCCAATTCTTGGGCCTCCAGGTGGCTTGCTCTATTGTTGGGAATATCAGTGGAGGGTTGGGAGGTGGGGTGGGTTCTTGAGCCCCTAAAGAGTGGGTGTTGCTTGGGCAATGGCAGTAGCAGTGGTGAAACAGCACTTTGGGACCCAGGTGGTCCCCACTGGTGTTAACAGTGTTAACAGACCCACACGTGGCATATGGAGGTAGGTGCTAGCTGTGGTGGCAGTGGCAGGTTGAGTGGGTCCAGCTTTAGACTCTAGGAGAAGAGCTCAGATGCCACTAGTAGTGGACTAGACTGTGAGAGTCCCAGGTTCCTGGATGCTGTGCTCAGGTACTTGGGATGGGGGCAACCAGGCCTGCCTGTGTCCTCAGGCCCCTTGTTGGTGTGTAAACACATTGGCTATGGTGTGCAGTAGTAGGGTAAGCCCAAGGCCTCTGACAGAATGCTCAGGTGGAGGAGGCAGTGGGTGTGCTACTGTAGAGGGTGGAGTTGCTTTTCCTGGGGGCAGACATAGGCAGGCAGCTGGGGGTGTGGGCTTTTAGTGTACCTCAGCCCATAGCAGTCTACACCTACAGCAGTTGCAGGCAGCAGAACTCATCCTCAGGATATGTGAGAATGTGCAGCCCTCTGCAGGGGTGGGGCAGAATCGCGCTGGTGGCTGCCATATTGGCCCAGGTTGCAGGACAAGATGCAGTCTGGTGTGGGCTGGGCTCTCAAAATGGCATCTTGTTGCTGTGCCCAGGACTTCAGGGCTTGTGGGACCCAGCATGACCTCTCTTTCTGAAGCAATGCCTTTGTGTGGTTTCCAGGGACTCCCTATGTTATTCTCGGGGCCTGCAAGGGTCATGCAGCTCTCCATTGGCTAGGATTATAGGATTTCTTGGTGGGAATGTGGACCACTGGAAATCTCTCATTTACATTTTCCCTGCATTAGGGAGTCTTTTCTGGTTCCCCACTGATCTTGGCTAAGCAGACTGCCTTGCTCCCTGCCTTTCCCTTGCTTTAGGTGTTTGTCACCACTTCTCTGTTGAATTCCAGTGTTTTCTCTTGGATGATCTATTCAAAGAGTGATTATCTCTTCACTATTTTGGTTATTTTAATTAAAGGAGGTGAGTAAGAGATGCTTCTAATCAGCCATATTGGCCCCTATTTTGTTGCACTTTTGACGGATAGAATTTGTAAGCCCAGGCATCAGATAAAAATTTAACATTAATGACTTGAATGGTCAGATGACAGAGCTTGGGAAAAAAAGAGCAGCTGGAAATTTGATGGGCACCTACATGCAAGGGAACTAAATGCAGACAGGCTGAACCCTGTTCTCCAAACTGATAATAAACTGCCCAAATTATTAAATTATTGACAAATTCACAATCATGAAAGAGTTCCCCTACACGCCAGGTTAAAAGAACAGCAGCTGGAAGCCAAATGAATTGAACAAATAGATCACGTGTTGCAAAACAAACGGAAAAGAGTCTACTATATGCTTTATAGTATAAGTATAGAGAAGACAGCTATCTACCACAACATAAAACCAACAACCATCAGAAGAATATAACAGATTTCAGAGTCATTACAATTATTACCTATAATGTCCTATTTTTGAACAAAAGTCTCTAAAAAAATGAAAAGAAGCAGTAAAGTATAAGCCATGTCAATAAAAAATGGTGGTCAATTGAGACCCACTCCAAATAACAATTGTTGGATTTAGGAGACAACGATTTCAAAGAAGGTATTGTAATATGTTCAAAGGCTTAAAAAATGCATAAACAAACCAACATAGATCTAATCAGAAAAATAGAAACTATATAAAAAAGGATAAACTCTATAGCTGAAAAAATACAGTCACTGCAAAGATAAAATAACTAGATGGGTTTAAAAGTAGTTTACAGACGGCAAGCAGGAAAAAATTAATTAAATATATAATGTCTGTTCAAATGTTTCATCTGTTTTTAACATTGGGCTGTTTTACTTCTTATTTATTTATAAGAGTTCTTTGTATATTCTTGTTCAAGAGTTGGCAAGATCTTAAAGGCCAGAGAGAAATATCCTGGGCTCATTGGCCAAACAATCTGTCATAACTACTCATCTCTGTCACTAAAATGCACAAGCAATCATATATAATATGTAAACAAATGGGCATGGTTGTATTTCAATAAAACTTTATTTAAACAAACAGATGGTCAGCGAAAGTTTGTAATTTTTTGTTCTCTTTTCTGAACATAAGGCCTATGTGAGATATATGTACTGCAAATATTATATCCTTTTCTGTGTTGGTTTGCTGTCACTTGAAGAACAAACGTTTTAAATTTTGATGAAGTCTAATGTATCAGTCAGCATGGGCTACCATAAAAAATACTTAGACTGGGGGCTTAAACAATAGACATTTATTTTCTTATAATTCTACAGAAACAGGATGCCAGCATGGTCAGTTTCTGAGGTCTCTTCTTTAGGGTTATGATCTCATCAGGCCAGGGCCCCATTCTCATGACCTCCTATATCCCCAATTACCTCCCCAAAGCCTCATCTTCATATACCATCATATTGGAAGTTAAGGCTCCAACATGTGAATTTTAGGGGACACAAAAATTCAATTCATAACCAAAGTATAATTTTTTTTGCCTCTCTTATGGTTTGTGGTTCTTGTGTAATGCCAAAAAATCTTATTTCCCAAATGCAAAAATTTTCTCCTATGTTTATATCTAGAAATTTTTTTTTATTTTTTTGCATTTACATCTATGGTACATTTTGAGTTAATTTTCTTTATGTTGTGAGTTAAGGGTAGGTGTTATATTTTTCATGTGTATATGCAGTTGTTCTAGTAACATTTGTTGCAGACTCTTTCTATTCTTAGAATTTCTTTTAACATTTATCTGAAATCAATTGATCATTTATACTTGTGTCTATTTTTACATCATTTTTTCTGCTCCTTTGAACTATATATCTAACCTTTCACCAATATAACAGTGTTGACTGCTGTAGGCTTATGAAAAGTCTTGAAATCATGTCTTGCAAATATTAAAACTTTTTCCTTCCATTCCAAAATGGTTTTATTTATTCCAGCTAGTAGTCATTTTCCTTCCATTCTAAAATGGTTTTATTTATTCCAGCTAGTAGGCATATCTATGTAAATCTTATATGTAGTTTATCAATCCCTACAAAAGTTTCATGGACTACATAGGTCATTTTTTTGAGAATTAACAATTTTTTTGTAAATTTATTTGTTTATTCGTGTGTGTGTATATATACATATATGTGTGTGTATATATATATATATATATTTTTTTTTTTTTTTTTTTGAGACAGAAGTCTTGCTCTGTTGCTCAGGCTGGAGTGTAGTGGCATGATCTTGGCTCACTGCAACTTCTGTTTTTCAGGTTCAAGAGATTCTCGTGCCTCAGCCTCTGGAGTAGCTGGAGCTACAAGTGTGCGCCACCAAGCCCAGCCAATTTATGTATTTTTAGTAGAGACGGGGTTTCACCAAGTTGGCCAGGCTAATCTGGAACTCCTGACCTCAAGTGATCCACCTGCCTTGGCCTCCCAAAGTGCTGGGATTACAGGAGTGAGTCACCATGACTGGCCCATTTATATATTTTTAAAACTTTTATTTTAGCTTCAGCTACATGTGCATGTTTGTTATATGGGTAAACTCATGTCACAGGGGTTTGCTGTACACATTATTTTGTCACCCCAGTACTAAGCCTGGTACCCAATAGCTTTTTTTCTGCTTCTCTTCCTCCTTCCGCCTTCCACCTTAAGGTAGCCCCCAGTGTCTGTTGTTCTCCTTTTTTGCATCCATGTGTTCTCATCATTTAGCTTCTACCTATAAGTGAGAACATGCGACATTTGGTTTTCTGTTCTTGTGTTAGTTTGCTAAGGATAATGGCCTCCAGCTCCATCCATGTTTCTGCAAAGGACATGATCTTGTTCTTTTTTAGAACTGCATAGTATTTCGTGGTGTATATGTACCACATTTGCTTTATCCAGTCTACGATTGATGGGCATTTAGGTTGATTCCATGTGTATTAGTCTGTTCTCACACTGCTAATAAAGACATATCTGAGACTGGGTAATTTATAAAGGAAAGAGGTTTAATTGACTCAAAATTCCACATGACTGGGGAGGCCTCACAATCATGGTGGAAGCAAAGGAGGAGCAAAGTCATGTCTTACAAGGTGGCAGGCAAGAGAGAATGACAACCAAGCAAAAGTGGAAACCCCTTATAAAACCATCATATCCTATGAGACTTATTCACTACCATGAGAATAATATAGGGGAAACCACCCCCATGATTTAATTATCTCCCACTGGGACCCTCTCACAAAACATGGGAATTATGGGAGCTACAATTCAAGATGTGATTTGGGTGAGGACACAGTCAAACCATATCACCATGTCTTTGCTATCATGACTAGTGCTGCAATGAATACACATGGGGATGTGTCTTTATGATAGAATAGTTTATATTTCTTTGGGTATGTGTTAGTCCATTTTCATACTGCTCTGAACACATACCCGAGACTGAGTAATTTATAAAGAAAACTGTGAGTTTAATAAACTCACAGTTCCACATGGCTGGGGAGGCCTCCCAGTCATGACAGAAGGCAAAGGAGGAACAAAAGCGTGTCTTACATGGTGGCAGGCAAGAGCAAATGTGCAGAGGAGCTGCCCTTTATAAAATGATCAGATCTAGTGAGACTTATTCACTATCACAAGAACTGCATGGAAAAAACCTGCCTCCGTGATTCAATGACCTCCCACAAGATCCCTCCCATGACATATGGAGATTATGGGAGCTACAATTCAGGATGAGATTTGGGTGGGGGCACAGCCAAACCATATCAAGGTATATACCCAGAAATGGGATTTCTGGGTCAAATGGTAGTTCTGTTTTACCTCTTTGAGGAATTACCACACTGCTTTCCACAATGGCTGAACTAATTTACACTCCCACCAACAGTGTATAAGCATTCCCTTTTCTCTGCAACCTCACCAGCATCTGGTTTTTTTGAATTCTTAATGATTGCCATCCTGACTGGTGTGAGATGGTATCTCATTGTGGGTTTGATTTGTGTTTCTCTAATGATCAATGATATTGAGCTTTTTTTCCATATGCTTGTATGTCTTCCTTTGAAAAGTGTCTGTTCATGTCCTTTGCACACATTTTTATGGGCTTTTTGTTTTCATCTTGTAAGTTTGTGTAAGTTTATTATAGATTCTGGATATTAGACCTTTGTTGGATGCATAGTTTGCAAATATTTTCTCCCGTTCTGTAGGTTGTCTGTTTACTCTGATGATAGTTTCTCTTTTTGTGCAGAAGCTCTTTAGTTTAATTGGATCCCATTTGTCAATTTTTGCTCTTGTTGTATTTGCTTTTGCCATTTCCGTCATGAAATCTCTGTCAGCTCCTATGTCCAGAATGGTATTGCCTAGGTTATATTCCAGGGTTTTTATAGTTTTGCATTTAAGTCTTTAATTCATCTTAAGTTTTTTTTAATGTAGTGTAAGAAAGGGGTCCAGTTTCAATCTTCTGCATATCATTAGCCAGTTATCCCAGCACCATTTATTGAATAGACAGTCCTTTCCCCATTGCTTGTTTTTGTCAGCTTTGTCAAAGATCAGATGGTTGTATGTGTGGCCTTATTTGTGGGTTGTCTATTCTGTTCTGTTGGTCAATGTGTCACTTTTGTACCAGTTCCAGGCTGTTTTGGCTACTGTAGTCCTGTAGTATAGTCTGAATTCGAGTATTACAACGTGATGACTCCAGCTTTGTTCTTTTTGCTTAGGATTGCCTTGGCTATTTGGGCTCTTTTTTGATTACATATGAATTAATTTTTTTCTAGTTCTGGGGAGACTATCATTGGTAGTTTAATAGGAATAGCACTGAATCTGTAAATTGCTTTGTGCAGCATGGCCAATTTAATAATACTGATTTTTTCCTATCCATGAGCGTGGAATGTTTTTGCATTTGTTTGTGTCATCTCTGATTTCTTTGAATAGTGCTTTGTAATTCTCATTGTAGAAATCTTTCACCTCCCTGGTTAGCTATATTCCTAGGTATTTTATGCTTTTTGTGAATGGGAATGCCTTTCTGATTTGGCTCTCAGCTTGGCTGTTGTTAGCATATAGGAATGCTAGTGATTTTTGTATGTTGATTTTGTATCCTGAGACCATGCTGAAGTTATCAAATTAGGGAGCTTTTGGGCTGAGACGTTGGGGTTTTCTAGATACAGAATCATGTCATCTGCAAACAGGAATGGTTTGACTTCCTTTCTTCCTATTTGAATGTCCTGTATTTATTTCTCTTGCCTCATTGCTCTTGCCAGGACTTCCGATACTGTGTTGAATAGGAGTGGTGAGAGAGGGCATCCTTATTTGTGACAGTTTTCAAGGGCAATGCTTCCAGCTTTTGCCTGTTCAGTATGATGTTGGCTGTGGGTTTCATAGTTGGCTGTTTTCATTTTGAGGTTGCTATTTGTCCGCTCAGATATTCCATTTCTTCCTGATTCAGTCTTGGGAGAGTGTATGTGTCCAGGAATTTATCCATTTTTTTCCCAGATTTTCTAGTTTGTGGACATAGAGGTGTTCATAGAAGTCTCTGATGATTATTTGTATTTCTATGTGGTCAGTAGTAATATTTCCTTTGTTGTTCCTAATTGTGTTTATTTGAACGTTCTCTAACACTACAAAATACTTAGAAAATGAACATTTGTTGAATGAATGAAACTGTTTACTGTTTTATATTTGCAGTTTAGTATTCTTTAACCTGAAGTATCAAAGTAAACTTAGAACCAATATTTGGCTGTGAGATAATGCATTATATTATACTCCCATTAACTATCAAATGAAAGTGCACCACCCCTCAGACAAAATGAAAAAAATTGATCATCTGAGAATTGACAACCTCTTAAAGACTATGTGTGTTTTTGTGAGTTGAACTGCTCAATATTCACTTGAGGATGTGATAATGATTCCTGCTGCTTTTAATTCACATTTGAGTCTCTAGACTCTTCAGAGATTTATCCCCAAAGGCAAAAAATAATACAGTGTGGCTACTATATAATAACAAGGAATCTAAATTTATAAGTGTAAGATGATTACATTTTTTGTTTGTTTGTTTTGAGTTGGAGTCTCACCCTGTCGCCCAGGCTGGAGTGCAGTGATGCGATCTCAGCTCACTGCAACCTCCAGTTCCCGGGTTCAAGCGATTCTCTTGCCTCAGCCTCCCAAGTAGCTGGGACTACTGGCGTGCACCACTGAGCCTAGCTAATTTTTGTATTTTTAGAGATGGGGTTTCACCATGTTGGCCAGGCTGGTCTCAAACTCCTGACCTCGTGATCTGCCCGACTCGGCCTCCAAAAGTGCTGAGATTACAGGCTTGAGCCACCGCGCCCGGCCAGATGATTAAATTTTTATTTCATGAGGTAAGACTTTCGATTTGTGGGTGAATCTGGTGTAATGAGTTTCATTTGAGAACACTTTATTCTCTAAAGTTGTATGTGTACACACAAGTCATAATTAAGAAACAAAACAGATGTAATCTTGCAGTCAGCTAGCAAGTAACTTTAGTGAATTAAATTAAGTTTCTGCCATCAATTTAGTGTGAGTTAACAGGCATGATTCAATTTACCAAGATTCTTCATTTATCCACCCATAAGAACAGAAACTCACGTGGTCTTTCACTGCCGTCTAAACTTGGCACTCAGCTGTAATGCTAATATAAATTAATTAAGTGTGAGTCTCACTTTGTCACCCAGGCTGGGAGTGCAGTGCTGTGATCTTGGCTCACTGCGACCTCTGCCTCCCAGGTTCAAGTGATTCTCCTGCCTCAGGCTCCCGAGTAGCCGGGATTATAGGCATGCACCACTATGCCAGCTAATTTTCGTATTTTTAGTACAGATGGGGTTTCACGGTGTTGGCCAGGCTGGCCTCGAACTCTTGACCTCAAGTGATCCACCCATCTCAGCCTCCCAAAGTGCTAGGATTACAGATGTGAGCCACCATGCCTGGCCCAAGACACTTTTTTTTTGGAGACAGGGTCTCACTCTATCACTGAGGCTAGAGTGTAGTGGTGTAATCATGGCTCACTGCAGCCTTGACCTCCCAGGCTCAGGTGATCCTCCCACCTCAGCCTCCTAAGTAACTGAGACTACAGGTGCACACCACCGTGCCTGGCTCATTTTTAGAGATGAAGTTTTGCCATGTTGCACAGGTTGGTCTCAAATTTCTGGACTCCAGTGATCTGTCCACCTCGGCCTCCCAAAGTATTGGGATTACAAATGTGAGCCACCATGGCTGGCCCAGCTAGACATTTCGGAGAAAGATAAGGCTATAAGGCCAGAAAACTTGGAGATGAGGGTCAAGCTGGCCATCAACAGAGTGGCCCTTGGTAAACTTTTTATATTTCTAGGCTGAAACTTTGTTCTTCTGTATATTATGTCCAAAATAATATTATTTGATTCTATAATACTTCAATTTGTTAACATTGTTACACTAGGAAAAGATTTGGTTTGACTAAATATCTTAATTATGTTCTGAATATTAATCATACAACATTTTGCATAATGGTTAAATTGGTATTTCAACTTACTTGATATAATAATATTTTAATTGGAAATAATAAAAGTCATTAATCAATTTATACTAGGTGACTTCATTCATAAGCATAACTTGAAATTCCCATTTCTTCCCTGTCCTATGAAGAAAATTGTATGTCTCTTTTAAAAAACTAGTGTTGTTTAACTGATAAACATTGTAAACTATGTAACTAGCTAGGCGTCTCTTTTATACATCAGTTGTACATTTCAGAGAACTGAAATGTTAATCTGTTATCTACTGATTTTCAAGTGTACCAGATTTCATGGTAAAAATTCTCCAACTATGCTATAAATGTAATGGTTTTACAATTTTATACAAATTATACAATTTTATACAAATTACATTAATAACATAGTTATTATGGAAATTGACTGGATTCAAACTATGTGGGATTCTGATCCAGATTCTACCACTTGCTGTGTAACCTTAGGTAAATTACTTAACATTTGCAAACTTAGTTTCCCTATCTATAAAATGGTAATAATAAAAGTGCTTCATATTATTTTATGGAAATTAAAATACGTATCTCTGTATATATAATGTATATAATACAATAATATGTTATATATTATATGCATATAGATAAAATTCTTAACCCTGAGCCAGTAATTTGATAGGCATTCAGTAAATGTTAGCTAATATTTGTGTTCATTAATCTTACATTAATATATTTTAATCATTTTTGTTATATGTACCATACCTTTTATTATTCTTATAAGTCTTATGTTTTAAAATCTTTCTCTTTAAAGCAACTTTAAATATATTTCATTAAAAATACAAATTGAAAAGGATATACATTATTTGAAGCAATTTTTTGGTGTTCTAAAACAGATTTTAAAATATAGAAAGACTGATTACACATAAATACATAAACAATGAAACCCTAAGGTAAAAAAAAAAAAGTCTGAACTTTCCTTGAATGATACATCTGTTCATATTAACCTTCATGTATATATTAATGAAGATGAAGCCATCAAATTTATAACATTTTAATGTGCTGTTCTCATTAGGGTTCATTTAGTCAGCAGCTACTTCGTCTCATGAATTCCCTGAAGGACGGGAATCACACCGCTCTGACGGGGTTCATCCTATTGGGCTTAACAGATGATCCAATCCTTCGAGTCATCCTCTTCATGATCATCCTATCTGGTAATCTCAGCATAATTATTCTTATCAGAATTTCTTCTCAGCTCCATCATCCTATGTATTTCTTTCTGAGCCACTTGGCTTTTGCTGACATGGCCTATTCATCTTCTGTCACACCCAACATGCTTGTAAACTTCCTGGTGGAGAGAAATACAGTCTCCTACCTTGGATGTGCCATCCAGCTTGGTTCAGCGGCTTTCTTTGCAACAGTCGAATGCGTCCTTCTGGCTGCCATGGCCTATGACCGCTTTGTGGCAATTTGCAGTCCACTGCTTTATTCAACCAAAATGTCCACACAAGTCAGTGTCCAGCTACTCTTAGTAGTTTACATAGCTGGTTTTCTCATTGCTGTCTCCTATACTACTTCCTTCTATTTTTTACTCTTCTGTGGACCAAATCAAGTCAATCATTTTTTCTGTGATTTCGCTCCCTTACTTGAACTCTCCTGTTCTGATATCAGTGTCTCCACAGTTGTTCTCTCATTTTCTTCTGGATCCATCATTGTGGTCACTGTGTGTGTCATAGCCGTCTGCTACATCTATATCCTCATCACCATCCTGAAGATGCGCTCCACTGAGGGGCACCACAAGGCCTTCTCCACCTGCACTTCCCACCTCACTGTGGTTACCCTGTTCTATGGGACCATTACCTTCATTTATGTGATGCCCAATTTTAGCTACTCAACTGACCAGAACAAGGTGGTGTCTGTGTTGTACACAGTGGTGATTCCCATGTTGAACCCCCTGATCTACAGCCTCAGGAACAAGGAGATTAAGGGGGCTCTGAAGAGAGAGCTTGTTAGAAAAATACTTTCTCATGATGCTTGTTATTTTAGTAGAACTTCAAATAATGATATTACATAGAACCCTATCTCTTCTCTTGAGAATACTCAATGCACGTGTAGATACAGATTTAGTGTTTGCTTTCTTGACAGTGTTGAAAGTTTCATGTAGAATCTACCACATCTTTTCTTCTCCCCATGTACCTAATTTTCAAACAGTTTCTAGAACTTAATAAGCATACTTGCATATTTAAAATGGAGAGATAAAGAAAAAATTAATGAATTAATGGATGGCTGAATGAAGCATTTGTTCCTGCTTGAACTGCTGACTCTGCTGACTTTGAATCCTGGCCACTGATCAGCTGAATGCTTCTGCCTGATTCAAGTGACTGAATGTTTAGGTGAGATCCTGCTATAACAGAGACAGGCTTTTACAACAAACCCATCCTCAGCACATCTACATCACTTCCTTGACACTTTTATAACCTAGATTAGCAACTAGAATCTCAGCCTAGTTTACTAAAAGGTTTGAATTCACACTTTACTAAATAGTTGCTCCTTTATGCATTTGCATGGTTGGAGAGCTAAAAGATCTAGAAGTCAAATGTTAGTAATAGTAGTAACAGGATTAAACTGTCTACTACATTCTGGGCACTGTTATCACTGTTTACAAGTAAAGTATTAACCTAATTATTTCTTGGAATAACTCTTTAAAGTTTTTTTAAAAATTATTGTATTACAAAGGATGTAACTGAGGCACGTAAGGTTAAGCAAAAGATCAATGGCACAAATATTCTCATAATACTTTGGCTTTTTTTAAGGCACATACTTCCTGTGGAGTGAAGGGCAATTTGAGAACACTTCACCATGAACTTTCATTTGTCTCTGACACATTTCTTTCTAGCAAACCCTTTCTGTTCACAGTAAGTATAGAGACTTCTATATCTGGATATGGCAGGCTAATTTGTATTACACCAACTTTGTGGCATGAAATACATAAGAAACTGCATATTTCTACATGTTTGAAGGCATAGATTTTTGATTACCTTGATGCTGAAGTAGCCCCATTTCTTCCAGGCCCTTCCTCTTATTACCAAAAAATCCCTATATGTAGCACAAAAACAAGTAGGAAGACTTTCAAAGGTGGAATAAAAAGGGTTAACTGCCTAGGAACTATTGGACTTGAAAAACAACATAGCAATGAAGTTTTGAGGTTTCCTTATTGCTTCCACATACCCAGGACAGGATCCTTTAGAAAATTCCAACTTAGGACTGCCAACAGACACAGACAAAAGCAAAAAACAAAAAACAACTGTAAGAAAAGACTGTTCTCTCCTGGTCAAAGAACTGGGAAAAGGGTGGCCTGGAGAGAAAAGAAAACATTTAGGCACTTCCTGCCTTACTCTAGACAAAAACCAATGGAAAAATTATGTTTCAGTGGGGCCAATCAGGGAGCCTGTTTTCCAACTGAACTGGGATCCACTTGCCCTGCACAATAACGCCAAACATCTACACCAGGTTTATAGCAGGAGAAAGGAGAGCATTTATTTGCAGAGTGCCAAGCAAGGAGAATCAAGCAGCCCTTGCTCAAGTCCCGATCTTTCCAATGGCTTGCAAGTAAGGATTTTTAAAGGTGGGGAGGCAGAGTTGACAGGCAAAGTCATAAATCGGAATATGGAGGCAATACATTGGTTTGACCTAAAAGGGTGGCAGATCTTGAAGTGGAGATAGGGAACAGATCATAGGTGGACTCGAAGATTTTCTGATTTGCAGTTGGTTCAGGAGGCAAAACTTTGTTTAAAACTTTGGGATTAGCAGAAAAGAATATTAGTTCTGGCCTTGGAGTGTGACCCCTCCCATGCCCATCAGGAAGAAATTTAGAGCAAAGCATGGCTGTGGTCAGACTTCAGTCCTCATTTCCTCCTTATCTGAGGTCTATGTGCCAGCAGATGGAATTTTTCATCTGGTGGGGGTCCAGGTTTCTGAAAAACAACCCAGGGACATATGTTGTTAAGATGCTATCTTAAGTTTCTACAGGAGAACCAAACATCCCGTAATTCTAACTTCCTTGGCTATTGTTTTACGCCACTATTACTTTCTTTCATATCAAGTTTCTCATTTACTTCTCAGAGCTAGCTAGGTGTCTGAAATTTCCCTTGAAAAAACTCAATTTTTTTTTCTGTTATTTCTATGCTTGAGGGGGCCCATGGATCCCTAAGAGGAGTCCCTGTTCCATCTCATGCTGATCTTCACCTTGCCCCGACTCTGATTCCCCTGCCAGGGTAATGTCAGCAGGGTTCAGTGGAGAAAGGAGCCTCCACTGTCACCTGGCAGCAACAAGACTTAATGAGATGGTGTGAGGTAGGGCTAGCTGGTATTCTACAGCCCCCATCATGACTCTCCTGCTCCAATGTGAGTGGTGGTCCAGTGAGGAGCTGAGCTTCCAACCCTCCCTGCAATGAGGTAGTGTGAACCAGCTAGCCACCTCACCTTTCCTTAGGGTCAATTGGTCCCAACAGGAAGCAGGACCTGAAAGGTAAGGAGGCATACAAATCAATGCCCTTCACTGGGATGAAGTCAACAGAGCAGTGGGGAGCTGAACATTCCCCTCACCCATCTGGAAGAAAGTAGTATGAGTCAGCTCTCCATTTTCAGCAGACTGGAACATACCTGGAAGTTTCAGCTACAGCTCAACAAGGATGACTGCTGAAAAAGACTGGGCACGATTCAGAGATTTAGAGTCTCATAATATGATATTCAGAATGTCCATGATATGGTCAAATATCAATTTTCATTCCAAGGAAAACACAACTTGAATGAGAAAAGGCAATACATGCCAACACTAAGACTAAGATGAAGCGGATATTGAAATTTTCTAACAAAGATTTAAAGCAGCCATAAAAAATGATTCAAGAAGCAATAATTAATTTTCTTGAAAGAAATAAAAATAGAGAATTTCAGCAAATAAATAGAAGTTACAAATAAGAACCAAATGGAAATTATAAAACTGCAAAACATACTCATAGAAATATTAAAAAACAACAAACTTGCTGGATGAACTCAGTAGCAGAATAGAGATACAGAGGACAAAATCAGTGAACTTGAATAAAGATGAATAGAATTTACCTGTTCTGAACAATAAACAAAATAGATTGGAACAATAAAAAAGAACAGAACACATGAACCTATGAGACAGTAAAAGAGAGCTAATATTTATATCCTGAGAATCTCAGAAGGAAAGGGGTATTCAATAAGTAATCAAAGAAGTAATGATTGAAAACATTCCAAATTGGTCAAAGATATATAGAGCTACAGATTCAGGAAGGTGAGCAAATCTCAGATAGGATAAACCCAAGGAAATCCACAACAAGACACATCCTAATTAAACTTTTGAAAAATAAAGACAGAAAAATCTTGAAAGCAGCCAGACGGAAAGGACATATTACTTAGAAGAGAAAAGCATTTTGAAAGACAATGAGTTTCTCATCCAAAACTATAAAACCAGAAAGAAGTGGTACAACATTTTTCTTCTGTTTTATGAGTTAAAAAATTGTATATGTTTAAGTTATACACCATATTTTGTTACCCATGTACATAATATAACTGTAACAATTAAGCAAGTTATCACATGCATCATCTTACATAGTTATCTTTTTTTTTCTTGGTTGGAGCACCTAAAACCTACTCTCTTGGCAGAATGATGGTTACCAGAAGCTGGGAAGAGTAGTGAAGGTGGGTGGAAGGGGACATGTTTAATGGGTATAAAAATATAGTTAAACAGAATGAATAGGATCTAGTATTTGACAGCACAACAGGGTAACTATAGTCAACAATAATTTACTGTACATTTTAAAATAAAACTTAAAAAGTAGAATTGGAATCTGTAGCACAAAGAAATGATAAATGCTTAATGTGATGAATACCCCATTTACCCTGATATGATTATTACACATTGTATGCCTGTATCAAAATATCTAATATATTCCATAAATATAAACACCTACTATGCACCCATAAAAGTGAAAAATAAAGAAACAAAAAAGTCTACTCCCTTAACAAATTTTGTGGGTATAATATTATTAGCTGTAGTCTTCCTATTGTACATTAGATTGCTCAACTTATCCTAAACAGCTGCAACATTTTAGCCTTTGACCAACATCTGCCATTACCTACTACACCCTCCTCCTGGTACCCACCAATCTGCTCTCTGTTTCTGTGTATTTGACATTGTAAAAAGATTTCGTATATATAAATGAGATCATGCAATACTTTTCTTTCCGTGTTTGGCTTATTTTGCTTAGCATAATGTCCTCAGGACCATCCATGTTGTGGCAAATGGCAGGATCTCCTTCCTTTAAAAGGCTGAATAATATTCCATTGTGTGCATGTGTGTGTAGTGTGTGTGTGTCTGTATGTATATAATATATATTTAAAAGGCTGAATATTTAATATGTATATTTAAAAGGCTGAATAATATTCCATTGTGTGTGTGTGTACACAGACACACACACAAACACACACACCATTTTGTTTATCCATTTATGGTGGCTCAGGTGTCTCCATGAGGCACTGATTTTATTTCCTTTGAGTATATACCCAGCAAAGGGACTTTTGGGTCATATGTAGTTCTATTTTTAATTTTTTGAGGAACTTTCTTACTGTTTCCAAAATGTCTACACCAGTTTAGAATCCTACCAACAGTGCACAAGGTTCCTTTTTCTCCATACCCTCACAAACACTTGTTATCACTTGTCTTTTATAATAGCCATCCTAATGGGTATGAGGTGATATCTCACTGTGGTTTTGATTTGTATTTCCTTGATGAATAGCAATATCAACAAGTCTGTTTTTTTTCTTTTTTTTAAATTATACTTTAAGTTCTAGGGTACATGTGCACAACGTGCAGGTTTGTTACTATGTATACATGTGCCATGTTGGTGTGCTGACCCATTAACTTGTCATTTACATTAGGTATATCTCCTAATGCTATCCCTCCCCACTACCCCCACCCCACGACAGGCCCTAGTGAGTGATGTTCCCCTTCCTCTGTCCAAGTGATCTCATTGTTCAATTCCCACCTATGAGTGAGAACATGTGGTGTTTAGTTTTCTGTCCTTGTGATAGTTTGCTGAGAATGATGGTTTCCAGCTTCACCCATGTCCCTACAAAGGACATGAAATCTTTTTTTATGGCTGCATAGTATTCTATGGTGTATATGTGCCACATTTTCCTAAACCAGTCTATCATTGATGGACATTTGGGTTGGTTCCAAGTCTTTGCTATTGTGAATAGTGCTGCAATAAACATACGTGTGTATGTGTCTTTATAGCAGGATGATTTATAATCCTTTGGGTATATACCCAGTAATGGGATTGTTGGGTCAAATGGTATTTCTAGTTCTAGATCCCTGAGGAATCGCCACAATGTCTTCCACAATGGTTGAACTAGTTTACAGTCCCACCAACAGTGTAAAAGTGTTCCTACTTCTCCACATCCTCTCCAGCACCTGTTGTTTCCTGACTTTTTAATGATCACCATTCTAACTGGTGTGAGCTGGTATCTCATTGTGGTTTTGATTTGCATTTCTCTGATGGCCAGTGATGATGAACATTTTCTCATGTGTCTGTTGCCTGCATAAATGTCTTCTTTTGAGAAGTGTCTGTTCATATCCTTTGCCCACTTTTTGATGGGGTTGTTTGTTTTTTTCTTGTAAATTTGTTTGAGTTCTTTGTAGATTCTGGATATTAGCCATTTGTCAGATGAGTAGATTGCAAAAATTTTCTCCCATTCTGTAGGTTGCCTGTTCAGTCTGATGGTAGTTTCTTTTGCTGTGCAGAAGCTCTTTAGTTTAATTAGATCCCATTAGTCAATTTTGTCTTTTGTTGCCATTGCTTTTGGTGTTTTAGACATGAAGTCCTTGTCCATGCCTATGTCCTGAATGGTATTGCCTAGGTTTTCTTCTAGGGTTTTTATGGTTTTAGGTCTAACATTTAAGTCTTTAATCCATTTTGAATTAATTTTCATATAAGGTGTAAAGAAGGGGTCCAGTTTCAGCTTTCCTCATATGGCTAGCCAGTTTTCCCAGCACCATTTATTAAATAGGGAATCCTTTCCCCATTGCTTGTTTTTGTCAGGTTTGTCAAAGATCAGATGGTTGTAGATGTGTAGTGTTGTTTCTGAGGACTCTGTTCTGTTCCATTGGTCTGTATCTCTGTTTTGGTACCAATACCATGCTGTTTTGGTTACCGTAGCCTTGTTGTATAGTTCAAAGTCAGGTAGCATGATGCCTCCAGCTTTGTTCTTTTGGCTTAGGATTGTCTTGGCAATGCGGGCTCTTTTTTGGTTCCATATGAACTTTAAAGTGGTTTTTTCCAATTCTGTGAAGAAAGTCATTGGTAGCTTAATGGGGATGGCATTGAATCTATAAATTACCTTGGTCAGTGTGGCCATTTTCACGATATTGATTCTACCTATTCATGAGCATGGAATGTTCTTCCATTAGTTTGTGTCCTCTTTTATTTTGTTGAGCAGTGGTTTGTAGTTCTCCTTGAAGAGGTCCTTCTAGTCCCTTGTAAGTTGGATTCCTAGGTATTTTATTCTCCTGGAAGAAATTGTGAATGGGAGTTCACTCATGATTTGGCTCTCTGTTTGTCTATTATTGGAGTATAAGAATGCTTGTGATTTTTGCACATTGATTTTGTATCCTGAGACTTTGCTGAAGTTGCTTATCAGCTTAAGGAGATTTTGGGCTGAGATGATGGGGCTTTCTAAATATCCAATCATGTCATCTGCAAACAGGGACAATTTGACTTCCTCTTTTCCTAATTGAATACCCTTTATTTCTTTCTCCTGCCTGATTGCCCTGGCCAGAACTTCCAACACTATGTTGAATAGGAGTGGTGAGAGAGGGCATCCCTGTCTTGTGCCAGTTTTCAAAGGGAATGCTTCCAGTTTTTGCCCATTCAGTATGATATTGGCTGTGAGTTTGTCATAAATAGCTCTTATTATTTTGAGATACGTCCCATCAGTACCGAATTTATTGAGAGTTTTTAGCATGAAGGGCTGTTGAATTTTGTCAAAGGACTTTTCTGCATCTATTGAGATAATCACATGGTTTTTGTCTTTGGTTCTGTTTATATGCTGGATTACATTTATTGATTTGCATATGTTGAACCAGCCTTGCATCCCAGGGATGAAGCCAGCTTGATTATGGTGGATAAGCTTTTTGATGTACTGCTGGATTCGGTTTGCCAGTATTTTATTGAGGATTTTAGCACTGATGTTCATCAGGGATATTGGTCTCTAACATTCTCTTTTTTTGTTATGTCTCTGACAGGCTTTGGTATCAGGATGATGTTGGCCTCATAAAATGAGTTAGGGAGGATTCCCTCTTTTTCTATTGATTGGAATAGTTTCAGAAGGAATGGTACCAGCTCCTCCTTGTACCTCTGGTAGAGTTCGGCTGTGAATCGGTCTGGTCCTGGACTTTTTTTGGTTGGTAGGCTATTAATTATTGCCTCAATTTCAGAGCCTGTTATTGGTCTATTCAGGGATTCAACTTCTTTCTGGTTTAGTCTTGGGGGGGTGTATGTGTCGAGGAATTTATCCATTTCTTCTAGATTTTCTAGTAATTTAAGCATGTTTTTATATATACCTGTTGGTCATTTTTATGTCTTCTTTTGAAAAATGTTTATTCAGATCTTTTGCCCAATTTTTAATCTAGTTATTTGGAGTTTTTTTTGCTATTGAGTTGTGTAAGTTCTTTATTTATATATTTTGGATATTAATCTCTTATCAGATATGTGGTTTACAAATATTTTCCCCCAAACCATAAGTTGCCTTTTTATTTTGTTGATTGTATCCTTTGTTCTGCAGAATAATTTTAGTTTGCTGTAACTTATTTTTGCTTTTCTCACCTGAGCTTTTACTGTCAAATCCAAAAAATAATTGCCAAGGTCAATGTCAAGCAGATTTCCCCCTGTATTTTCCTCTAGGAGTTTTACGGTTTTAGGTATCATGTTTTGGTCTTAATCAATTTTGAGTTGGTTTTTGAGAATGGTTTAAAATGAGTACAATTTCTTTGTTTTACATGTGCATATCCAGTTTTCCCAAAAGTGCTTACTATGGAGATTATCCTTTTGCTGTTGTGTGTGCTCAGTAACCTTGTCTAAAATTAGTTAACCATATATGCATGGGTTTATTTCTGTGCTCTCTAGTCTTTCTGTTGACCTCTGGGGATATATACTTTTTAAAATTGATTTTAATTGTGGTAAAATACATATAACAAAAATGTCCAACTTAACCATTTTAAGTGTAAAGTTCAGTGATGTTAAGAACATTCAAATTAGCTGGATGTGGTGGCACATGCCTGTAATCTCATCTACTTGGGAGACTGAGGCAGGAGAATCACTTGAGCTGGGGAGGCGGAGGTTGCAGTGAGCCGAGATCGTGCCATTGCACTCCAGCCTGGGCAACAAGAGCGAAACTCCATAAACAAAGAAACAAACAACCAAAAAAAAATTCACGTTGTTATACAACCATCACCACCATCTATCTTCAGAACGCTTCATCTTTTGAAACTGAAACTGTAACTAGTAAACAGTAACTCTTCATTCCCCTCTCACTTTCAGCCTCAGTAAATCACCATTCTACTTTCTGTCTCTATGAATTTGACTACTCTAAGTAACTTCTACATGTAGAATCATGCAGTATTTGTCTTTTTGTGATTGGCTCATTTCATGTAGCATAATGTCCTCAAGGCTCATCCATGTTGTAGCATACCTCAGAATTTCCTTCCTTCTTTTTGTTTTTAATCCACCCATCCTCACACTGATTCCTTCCCTTTTAAGACTGAAAAATATTTTCTTATATATATATATACCACATTTTTTGTTTATCCATTTATCTATCCATGGACACATGGGTTGCTTTCACCTTTGGGCTATTATGAAGAATACTGCTATGAACACAGCTGTACAAATACATCAATATTTTGGGTATATACCCAATTGTTTTTCAGTTTAGGAGAGTATATACCAAAAAGTGAAATTGCTAGATTATATGATAATTCTAATTTTGATTTTTTGAGGAACTGCCACGTTGTTTTCCACAGTGGCTGCCTGCACCATTTTTCGTTTTTACAAATAATGCACAAGGGTTTCAATATCTGCACATCCACATTTGTTATTTTCTGTTTTTATTTGATAGTAGTCATCCTAATGGTGTGAGGTGATAAGTCACTACGGTGTTGATTTGCATTTCTGTGGGTTTATTTTTGTGCCAGCACCATACTATTTTGATTACTATAGCTTAGTTAATGTAATTTGAAATCAGAAAGTGTGATGCCCCCAGCCTTACCTTTCTTGTTTAAAATTGTTTTACTATTTGGGGTCATTTATCTGTGTTTTCTTCAATTTCTTTCTTAATGCTTTGTAGCTTTCAGTGTAGAGGTCTTTTCCCTCCTTGATTAAAAGTAACCCTAGGTAGGCCTGGCACAGTGGCTCATGCCTATAATCCCAGCATTTTGGAAGGCCTAGGGGAGTGGATCACCTGAGGTCAGGAGCTTGAGACCAGCCTGGCCAACATGACAAAAACCCGCCTTTACTAAAAATACAAAAATTAGCTGGATATGTTGGAGCATGCCTATAGTCCCAGCTGCTCAGGAGGCTGAGGTGGGAGAATCGATTGAGCTTGGGAGGTGGCAGTTGCAGTGAGCTGATATTGTACCACTGCACTCCAGCCTGGGCAACAGAGTGAGACTGTCTCAAGAAAAATTAAAAAAAAAAAGTAACCCTAAGTATATTATTCTTTTTGATGTGATCCTAAATGAGTTTGCTTTTTTAATTTCTTTTTTACCTCTTTTTAACTCATCCATAATAGATGTACATTGTTTGGGGTACATGTAATAACTTAATAGATTAATATCGTTTGTAAAGGTCAAATCAGTGAATCAGTGTACGTGGAATATCCATCACCTTAAATTTTGTCTTTTTTTAGTGCTAAAACCATTTGAATTCCCTTCTAGACTTTTGAAGTGTACAATAGATTATTGTAAACTACAGTCACTCTACTGCCCTACTGACCTATCTAATGGTATATCTTATTTCTTTTTTTCTTTTTCTTTTCTTTTTTTTTTTTGAGACTGAATCTCACTCTGTCACCCAGGCTGGAGTGCAGTGGTGAGATCTTGGCTCACTGCAACCTCCGCCTCCTGGGTTCCAGCGATTCTTCTGCCTCAGCCTCCTGAGTAGCTGGGACTACGTGCACATGCCACCATGCCTGGCTAATTTTTGTATTTTTAGTAGAGATGGGGTGTCACCATATTGGCCAGGCTGGTCTCGAACTCCTGACCTCTTGATCTGCCCAGCTTGTCCTCCCAAAATGCTGGGATTACAGACATGAGTCACTGCACCTGGCCTTGTTTTTTTTGTTTTTTGTTTTAGATGGAGTCTCACTCTGTCACCCAGGCTGGAGTGCAGTGGTGCAGTCTTGGCCCACTGCAACATCCATCTCTCAGGTTCAAGCAATTCTTCTGCCTCAGTCTCCTGAAGTAGCTGGGACTACAGTGCCACCACGCCTGGCTAATTTTTGTAGTTTTAGTACAGATGGAGTTTTACCATATTGGCCAGGCTGATATTGAACTCCTGACCTCGTGATCCACCTGCCTCAGCCTCCCAAAGTGCTGGGATTACAGGCATGAGCTACCATGCCAGTCCAGATCTTATTTCTTTCAGCAAACTCTTGATTTCTTTCTCTGATAGGTTGTCATTGGTGTAAAAAATGCAACTGATTTTTGCATGTTGATTTTGTATTCTGCAACTTAGCTAAATTTATTTCTTAGTTGTAAAATTTTGTTTTTGTCTGACATCTTTATTTTTTTCTTATATATGTTTAATCATGTGTTATGCAAATGGGGTAACTTTACTTCTCCCTTTCTGGTTTGGATGGCGTTTATATCTTTTTCTTGCCTGATTGCTCTGGCTAGGGCTTTCATTGCTACATTGAATAAATGTGGTGATAGTGTACATCTTTGTCTTGCTCCTGATTGTGGAGAAAATCAGAATTTTCTGTGGGATCTAAGGATTTTCTGTGGGATTGTCAAATATGGCCTTTATTGTGTTAAGGGACCATTCTTGCCATTCGTAATTTGTTGAGCATTTTAATCTTGAAAGGAACTTGAATTGTTTAAATGCATTTTCAGCATCTATTGAGATGATCATGTGATTTTTATCCTGCTGGGTTTTGGTGCCAGGATGATGCTGGCCTCCTAGAATGAGTTGGGAAAGAGTCCCTCCTTTTCAATGTTTTGGAATAGTTTCAGTAGAAATGGTATCAGCCCTTCTTTGAACATTTGGTAAAATTCAGCTGTGAATCTGTCTGGTACTGGGCTTTATTTATTTATTTAGACTATTTATTACTGCCTCAATTTCAGAACTGTTTATTGATCTGTTCAAGGATTCAGTTTCTTCCTTGTTCAGTCTTGGGTGTATGTATGTGTTTAGGAATTTATTCATTTCTTCTAGATTTTCTAGTTTATGTACATAGAGGTGTTTATAATATTCTCTGATGGCTGTTTGTATTTCTTTTTTTGAAGGAAAATTTGTATTACTTTAATTATTTTTATGTCCAGAAAACTCAACAGTGTACATTTAACCCAGTTTAGTGGCAAGTTCTTTAGCCTTTGCCTTTTTGAGCTTGGCAATGTGAGCCACAGACTTGGGACCCAGGACATTACTTCCCCATTGATGGCAGATCTCATCGTATCTGTCATTGTAATTGGTCCTGATAGCTTACAACAGCTTAGCCAAAGCTCCTTTGTCTTCCAAGTTAACCTGTGTGAAGGCGACAGTGGTGCAGGTCTTCCTGTGGAGTAGACGTCCAGATCCACGTCATCTGCAATCACCACCAGCTGAGCTTTCTTGTTCTCCACCAAGGTGGTGACAGTGTTAACTCCTGCTCAAAGAACAGGTGGTCTCTTAGTGGGGACATCCCCTTTGCTGGCAGCTTCCTTTTCAGCTTGGGCCAACCACCTCTGCTTCTTCTCTTGCTCTCTGGTCTGTACTTGTGGGCCAGCTTAAGCAGCTGAGTAGTTGTTTGGTGGTCCAGGGCCGGGTGAACTGGTTAATTGCAGGAGGCACTTTCAGCCACTTAAAAAGGATGGCTCTCTGCCACTGCAACCTGATATAGTGGGGCCATTTCACAAAGCAGGTGAGGTCTCTTTTGGGCTGGATGTCCTGTCCAGTGCCAAAATTCTTAGGCCTTTTCCCAAACAGGGGATTCACCACTTTCTTGGCCACCTACTTCATGACAGCAGGGGCCAGAGCCACCTTCTTCCCCTTGGCCTTCTTTCCTTTTGACATCTTGGCTTGCAGGAGGAGAGAGAGGCTGTATTTCTGTGGGGTCAGTGGTAATATCCCCCTTATAATTTCTGATTGTGTTTATTTGAATCTTCTCTCTTTCTTCTTTATTATTCTAGCTAGCAGTTTACCTATTTTATTAATTTTTTCAAAAAAACAGCTCCTGGATTTGTTGATCTTTTGAATGGTTTTTTGTGTCTCAATCTCCTTCAGTTCAGCTCTGGTTTTGATTATTTCTTGTCTTCTGCTAGCTTTGGATTTTGTTGGCTCTTGGTTCTCTAGTTCTTTTAGTTGTGACATTAGGTTGTTAACTTGAGATCTTTCTAGCATTTTCATGTGGGCATTTAGTGCTATAAATTTCCTTCTTAACACTGCCTTAGCTGTGTCCCAGAGATTCTAGTATGTTGTATCTTTGTTCTCATTAGTTTCAAAGAACTTCTTGATTTCTGGCTTAATTTCGTTATTTACCCAAAAGTCATTCAGGAGCACGTTATTCAATTTCCATGTAATAGTATGGTTTTGAGTGAGCTTCTTAGTCTTGAGTTCTAATTTGATTGCACTGTGGTCTGAGAGACTGTTATGACTTCAGTTCTTTTGCATTTGCTGAGGAGTATTTTACTTCTGCTTACTTTTTCAATTTTAGAGTAAGTGCCATGGGGCCATGAGAAAAATGTACCATCTGTTGTTTTAGGGTGGAGAGTTCTGTAGATATTTTTCAGGTTCATTTGATCCAGAGTTGATGGCAGGTCCTGAATATCTGTTGATTTTCTGTCTCAATGATCTGTGTAATATTGTCAGTGGAGTGTTAAAGTCTCCCACTAGTATTGTGTGGGAGTCTAAGTCTCTTTGAAGATCTCTAAGAACTTGATTTCTGAATTTGAGTGCTCCTACGTTGAGTGCATATATATTTATTTAGGATAGTTAGCCTTATTGAATTGAACCCTTTGCCATTATGTAATGCCTTTCTTTGTCTTTCTTGATCTTTGTGGTTTAAAGTCTGTTTTTTCAGAAACTAGGATTACAACTCGTGCTTTTTTCTGTTTTTTTGTTTTCTTGGTAAATTTTCCTCCATCCCTTTCTCTTGAGCCTATGTGTGTCATTGCATATGAGATGGGTCTCTTGAAGACAGCATATTATTGGGTCTTGGTTCTTTATCCAGCTTGCCTTTTTATGTTTTTTAATTGGGGAATTTAGCCCATTTACATTTAAGGTTAGTATTATTATGTGTGGATGTGATCCTGTCATGATGATGCTAGCTGGTTTTTTTGCAGACTTGTTTTTGTGGTTGCTTTATAGTGTCACTGGTCTGTGGTACTTCAGTGTGTTTTTGTAGTGGCTGGTAATGGTTTTTCCTTTCCATATTTGGTGCTTCCTTCAGGAGCTCTTGTAGGGCAGGTATGGTGGTTATGAATTCCCTCAGTATTTCCTTGTCTGAAAAGGACCTTATTTCTCCTTCACTTATGAAACTTAGTTTGGCCAGGTATGAAATTCTGGGTAGAAATTTCTTTTCTTTAAGAATGTTGAATATAGGCCCCCAATTTCTTCTGCCTTATAAGGTTTCTGCTGAGAGGTCCCCTGTTAGTCTGATGGGTTTCCCTTTGTAGGTGACCTGGGCTTTCTCTCTGGCTACCCTTAACATTTTTTCTTTCATTTTTATCTTGGAGAATCTGATGATTATGTGTCTTGGTGATGATCTTCTCATGGAGTATCTTACTGGGGTTCTCTACATTTCCTGAATTTGAATGTTGGCCTGTCTAGCTAGGTTGGAAAAGTTCTCCTCTTTAATATCCTGAAATATGTTTTCCAAATTGGTTTCATTCTCCTCATCTCTTCCAGGTACACCAATCAGTGGTAGATTCAGTCTCTTTATATAATCCCATATTTATCGGAGGTTTTGTTCATTTTTTCATTTTTATTCTCTATTCTTGTCTGCCTGTCCTATTTCAGAAAACAATCTTCAAGATCTGAGATTCTTTCCTCCACTTGGTCTAGTCTGCTATTAATACTTGTGATTGCATTATGGAATTTTTGTAGTGTGTTTTTCAGCTCTATCAGGTTGGTTTTGTTCTTCTCTATACTGGCTATTTTGTCTGTTAGCTCTTGCAATGTTTTTTCATAATTCTTAGCTTCCTTGCATTGAGTTAGAACATGCTTCTTTGGCTCAGTGAAGATTGTTTTTATCCAGAATCTGAAGTCTACTTCTGTCATTCCAGTCATCTCAGCCTCTGCTCAGTTCTAGACCTTTGCTGGAGAGGTGATGTGGTCATTTGGAGGGAAGAGATCACTCTGGCTTTTTGAATCTTCAGTGTTCCTGTGCTGATTTTTTCTCATCTTTGTGAGCTTATGGTGGTTGTTTGTTTGTTTGTTTGTTTGTTTTTTCAGTCTGGCCACTTTTCTATAGGGCTGCTGTGGGTTTTGCTGAGTTTCCACTCCAGCCCCTAGTTGCCTATGGATTTTTCAGTATGTGGCAGTATCAGCAGTGAAGGCTGCAAAAAAGCAAAGATGGCAGCCTGCTCTTTCCTCTGGGGACTCCATCCCAGAGGGGTATAGACCCGTTGCCAGCCCAAATGCACCTGTAGGAGGTGGCTGGAGACCCAGGTTGGGAAGCCTCACCCAGTCAGGAGGAACAGGATCAGGGACCTGCTTAAAGAAGCAGTCTAGCCATGCTTTCATAGAGCAGTTGTGCTGTGCTGGGGTACTAATTCTGCCCTTAGTCAGCTTGGGCTCTCCAAAACCTGGAGGCTGGAATGGCTAAGTTGCCAAAACAGCAAAGATGGCAGCCCACCCCTCTGTCTAGGAGCTTTGTCCCAGGAAGTTTTCAAACCTCTGACAGCCAGAAAACATCAGTGAGAGCGGCTGGAGGCCCTAGTTGGGAAGTCCTACCCAGCAAGAAGGAATAGATCAGGGACATGCTTAGGGAGGCAGTCTGACCACACTTTTGTGGAGCAGCTGTGCCATGCTGGGGTACCGCTTCAACCCTGGTCAGTTTGGGCTCTCCAAAGCCCACAGACTGGAACAACTGAGTTGCCCAAACAGCAAAGATGGTGGCCTGCCCCTCCTGCTGGGAGCTCAGTCCCAGGGAGAAATCAAATCACTGTTGGCTGGAGAATACAGGCAGGGGTGGTTGGAAGCCCTGGTTGGGAGGTCCTGCCCAGAGATGAGGAAGAGATTGGGGTCCCACTTAAAGAAGCAGTCTGGCTATGTTTTGGTAGAGCAGATGTGCTGTGTTGGGGAATCCTATCTTCACCCAATCTGTTTGAACTCTCCAAAGCCAGCAGGATGGAATGGCTGAGTTGCCCAAACAGTAAAAATGGTGGCCCGCCCCTCCCTACAGGCACTCAATTCCAGGGAGAAATCAAAACTGTTAGCCAGAGAATATGGGTGGTGGTGGTTGGAGGCCCTGGTTGGAAGGTCCTGTCCAAAGATGAGGAGTGGATCAGGGTCTCCCTTAAAGAAGCAGTCTGATTTTCAGGTTGGGTGGGGCTCCCAGTCCTATACCCTCGATTCATCATCAAAAGTGACCCAGGCATTTAAGTATTGAAAGAATATTTGAGTAGTTAGAGTCCCTGACCCAGGTAGACAAGCATGAATGGATGCCAAAATGAAGAACTCTAGAGAGGACCTTAGGCGTCCAGTGGAGAGGAAGGGAAGGCAACAATCAGTTGGCATGTTATATATCTAAATGGCATAGTCCAGAACCAAGAAGGCACCAGATACTGTACTTCCTGTCTTATATTGGATTTGAGGTGAAAATCCCCCGACCTGTGTTGAAAGACAATTTACTTCTCATAAAAAATGAATAAATAATCATATACCAATACTTCATTTTTACTTAATGAAATTTAGGTTCTTAGCCCTGATGTATGACCAAACACCTATGGGTGCTTTATAGGTATCATCATTCCTTTAAGTCAAATAACAAAGCTGTATTTTAGGGACAATTATTTCTATTTCACAAATGCAAAAACTGAGAGTCAGAGACATTATGCACCAATAATACAGCTGTTTGGCAGGAGGCCCAGGATCTAATTATTTGACTCTAGTCACTCCATGACTCTGTGATCAGCATAGATTGAAGCTCAAGTGGTGTGCACAATGAAAGCAAGGTAAGCTCCACTGAACTCTGCCTCAGTCAGGAGGCAAAGAGCATAAATGTTGCTCAGTATTTGGCTTCATTCCTCAGATCAGAGTATGTTCAGAGAGTGACAAAGAGAATTGTGAGGGATCTAAATGGTATTTCACAGTGGAATGGCCAAAGGAACTATGAGAGTTTAAATTTAGAAAAAGGAAGGTAGAAGAGGCATCATAGGGGGTCAAATATGTTAACATTTTTATATAGATATTGGATGGTTTGCACCATTAAACTCAGGCGGGACCAATTGGGAAGTTTAAAAAATAGATTTTAATAACAGAACCAACACCAAAGGCAATAAGGCCTGACACTAGAGTAATTGAGGTGCAATTAATGAAGATCAATTAAGGAAGAGATGGAACACATTCTTTCATGAGCTACAGGTTCTCAACTATTGGTTTATTATCCCTCAGAATTCACATAGTCAAAGAATTCAGTTCCACTATCAGAGAAAATTAATTCTTATTCCAAAGTAAAAATAAATTATAATTTTAGGAATTTGAAGACATTGGTACTAATATTTATTATTTAGGTAAATGTTTCAAACCTTAAGAACAGCAATAACATTGTTAGTAGAAAATTGTGTTTTTATTAATAGTATAACTAGTGATATTGAGCAGAAAATCTCAATCTCATGTTAATATGACTCTTGAAAACTACAAAAGTTGCAAGGAAGGATATGTAATAGGGAGATACATTTAGAAAAGTAATTGAAGATAGATTATGAAGCTCCATGTATATCATGCTAAGAAGTTTGACATAGATTCCATCAGTATTTCAGTTATAAGTATTCCTCTGGAAAGTGGGAAATACCTTATTGATAATACTAAGTAGAAATATAAATTTAAAAATGGAATATATGTTAAATATATACATGATTACAAATATGTGAGTACTACTTATATATGCCTCAAAGTCAAAATAAATCAAAATGGATTGTGAGGCACTATTAAAGTTAAGGATTTGTAGGTGATTCTTTCTTTAGTTGTTAAATATGCAAAACATTAAAATAAAGTATATGCAAAAAGAATTTATAAATCTGTAGAATTTACCTAAAGCGATTGCTGTTTAGCTGAAGTTAATGGCAAGAAAAGACATTGACTCTGTCAAATGCTGTATGCTTTAACATAAATTATTTCCTCACTTCTATTTTCTGATTCTGATGAATATGCTTTTTTTTTCTAATTTTCACTGAATCTTTAGTATGCCCTGAAATTATTACATTGGACTACAGAAACTTATCTGTCTTTTCATATTATTTATTATTAATTCTGCTTTGTTATGATTACCTCCAAACACAGAAGCTTTGCCTTTGCCACAACACAATGGCAAAACATCTGAATAAGGCAATAAGCCCCTTAATGAAAACATAGGCAAGAATGCAACGAAACAATGATCAAGAGGGAGCACTTTGGTTTAGTATTTTCATTATTGCAAATCATAGGGATTTGCTTACCTTGGAGCACAGAATATACTTCTTTTTACCTATTGTCTTAAGAAAAATACCGAGTAATGGGAATATTTTAAAATGTATTGTATTTTGACATGATCTCCACCTTAGGCTTGATCCAGTTTGTAGAGTTACTAGATCATTTTCCCCTTGTTTATTTTATTTTAAAATTAATGTACAGTAACCATGACCCTTTTAGTGAACAGATGCACAAATTTTAATGAAGGTATAGATTTGTGTAACCACCATCACAATTAGGATACAGAATAGCTGCATCACTCCAAAAGACTGCTTTGTGCTACCCCTTTGTAGCTTCACCTCTGTCCACTCCAAACCCTGGGCAAACACTAATTTTTTCTCCTGTATATTATTATCTTTTAGAGAATGTCATATTCATTAAATCATGCATTAGATAACTTTGGAGACTAGCTTCTTTTACTCAGCACAATGACTTGAAAATTTATCCATATGTTTGTATTCATTCCCTTTTTTGCTTAGTAGTATTCCATTGCATGAATGTATTATGGTTTATCATTCACTTGAATGATATTTTTGTTGCTTCCAGTATTTGACAATTATGAATAGCGATGTTATAAACATTCCTGTCCAGGTATTTGTGTGAACATAAGTTTTCATTTCCCTAGAATAAATACCTTGGAGTAGTGTTGCCAGATCATATAGTAAATGTATTTTTAAGTTGATGAGAAACTACCAAATTATTTTCCAAAGTGACTATGCCAGTTTGCATTCCCATCTGCGACGTATAAAATCACAGGTGCTTCATCTCCTTGCCACCACTTGGTCTTGCCAATTCTTTTTAATATAACCAGTCTAATAAATGTGTAGTAGTATCTCATCATAGTTTTAATTTGTAAACTTTATAAATTGATTTTTGAGATTTTAATTTTAATTTGTAAATGTTTAATGTTTAATGATGTTGAAACACTTGTATTTAAAGTAATTAATGATATATTGTGGCTTATTTGCCAGTTTATTTTTTGTTTTCAAAAATTAATTTTTTAAAGTTACAAATTAATTTGTAAAAATTAACTTTAGTCTTAAAATTAATTTGTAAAATTTTAATTTTAATTTGTAAATGCCTGACGTCTAACGATGTTGAAACATTTGAATTTAAAGTAATTACTGATATATTATGGCTTGTTTGCCATTTTATTTTTTTGTTTTCTATTTGTTCTCTCATTTGTTTCTTTTTTCTTTCTTTCCCTGCCTTCCTGTGGGTTACTTGAACATGGCCATTCATATATCTCCTTTGGTGAAATGACTATTCAAATATTTACACATTTTAAAATTAGGTTATTTTTCTTCTCACTCCTGAATTGTAAGAACCTTTCTGTTTCATGTATACATCTTTTTATCCAATACAATGTTTTCAAAAATTTTCTACAAGTCTGGCTTGATTTCGTTTTCTTGGTGGGGTCTTTTGAAAAGCAAAAGTTTTAAATTTTGAGAAGTCCAATTTTTGATTTTTCATTTATGTATTGTGCTTTTGGTATTGTAGTTAAAAAAAAAAACTTAGCTTTCATACCCAAGATCACAGACATTCTTTTGTGTTTTCTTTCAAACAATTTGTAGTTTTAGCTATTGCATTTATGTCTATATTTATCTTGAATTAATTGTTTTGTGTGCCATGAGGTAACTGCATAAATTCTTCCTTTCACATATGGATGTTCAATTGTCTCAGCACAATTTGTTGAAATATAAATGATTTTCCTTGGCACTTTTGGCAACCAGCCGACATACACCTTTAAGTAACCTGGTTGGGGACCTGTCACATTACAGCCCACCCTCTCCCCCAGCTCTTACATTCTTTCTGCAATCTTGCACAAAAGTCCCTGAGTGGGGTAAGACGGGAAGAAACATATGAATTTATAATATATAGCCATGGCTTTTACATACAGGCCATATCCACAATAGCATAAAAAGCACACACTGCATACACAACAGCATAAAAAGCAGAAGCTAACTACAATTATAATGCCTATTAGCAAAACATACTTCAACGTGTAGGTAGGGTGTGTAACTAATTTGAGAATAAGTCAAAGGAACCTAATTGGGTTATATCATGGATCTGGACCAAAAAAATAATGTAAAACATCTGTGACATTATTCACTTCATCTGGGATATAGGTGCAACAGGTAGTGTCTATAAGGGCACATGTTTTTAGGTCTCCAGTATGTTGGCAATTGGGCCTCCAGGTGGAGACAATCACCAGTGAACCGGGGTTGCATTATCGGTGCTGTTGAACTGGTCACTCCAGTTCTGTCAGGAGAAAGGCAGAATATTCTAAAGTGTACCATTATCATTTGATAGAGGGAGATATTCGTATACTTAACAACCAGACTGGTTGCTGACAGCTGCTGTAGTCACAGCCCAGTATAGAAAGACATTACCAGCTGCCATGGGTAGCAGGAACAACAGCTATTGGCAAAAACACAGGTGTTTAGTAGGGACCCTTGTAGGTATATCCATTACTTGAACATTACCACCATATTTTCTCCCATTTGCCCTTTTAGGAAGCCCACCATGGACTTCAGGCTTGTCTTACAGTGCCATGTATGGCTTCCCTCCCTAGAAGCAGGCAAAATAGCAATCAATTGGTAAATTTCTGGCCTTGCCCACGTTATCTGCACTATGATCATTCCATTGAAACCTCACATTGTATTCCAAAATATATGCAATTATTTACCAACTAAAAATAAAACTTAAAAAAATTTATTTACAATGTGATACAAAGCATATAAAAATATATCCATAGCAGATAAACTCCCGGAAACACATGTGCCCAATTTCAATAGTTGATGTGTGTGATGGTAGCCAGATTTGACAGAAATGTTTCTTTTGAATTTTCAAGTGTTTCCCCAGCCTGCTTATATAATTTTTTTATTTAGAAATAAAATAAGCCCTTTCTTTACTTATACTGTTATTACAGTGCTTTCCATGAATTAATGTCTTCATTTTTTCCTTCTTTATGAGGCCTGCTTTCTCTGGACAGAGAACCTAAACTTTATCTCTTATTTCACAGAGCCAATTTATTACTGTAATCATGCATTCATTCATTGGATAAGTTTTTTTCAGCACATTATGTACAAGAAGTCGATATTTGTAATACAGGGATAGGATGCAGTTATGGAAGACAATGTATTCATTGAGGAGAATGAACAGTAAAAAAACAAATAACAACAAAAATCATAACCCAGTATAAGTGAAGGCAAAAGCTGATGTCTATAATACAAATGAAGGTTACCTGATTCACCCCTGGCAGTCAGAGAAGGCTTTGGAGGGAAATTAGTCTTGAAAGATGTGTAGAAGTCACCCAGGATAATGACGGTGGGAGGTGGTAGCTGTCTATGCAGGAGAAAAAGTGGAGCAAAGGCCAGAGAAATTAGAGTACATCAAGAAGACTCTAAATAGTTCAAGAAGTTTGAGTCAGTGTGAGTGGTGAATGGAGACATCCTGACAGACAAAGAGTCGTATGCTGGAACATAAATGATATTGTATGCTTTGCTAACAAGTTAGGTTTCATTGTGAAGGCTTGAGAGAGTACTGAAAGACTGAAATGAATCTCTTTTGAATCATCTGCTTTTTATTTACCAAGATATCACTTACACAAATGTGTTGTGAACAAGAATGAAGGCAGTGAAGTAAATAGGTCAATAAAATAGAAAGGAAAAACGACTAGGTCCTTGACTGAAGTAGGGATGCTGAGAATAGTAAAAAGGAGATAAAGAGATAAAATTGGGAGTTAAGTTGTAGATAGGCCCAATAAGATTTTATGAGTTGTGATAAAATAAGAGGAAGAAGACTAGGAGGGCTCACAAGTTGCAGACACAAGAGACTGGGTGGATGGTGGTGTCACTCCCCAGATACACAATATGGAAGGAAAGAAAAGAATGAATGAATTTGTTATGGGGAAGGCTGGGTTTGAGGTACTTGTGGAATTTCCACTGAAGACTCCCAATAGATCATTGAATTGTGGTCTAGACATCTTCTGAGAGATCTGTCTACAAGTCTAGGTATGAGAGGCATTTTAATGTGCTTATTACATACAGAAAAGAATGTAACTAATTTCCCAGAGAGTTGAGTTGAACCATTCTCTTTTTATGCAGAGGACACATCAAAACAAAAACAATCCTGTGGGATATCAATATTTACAAATCAGGCAGAGGATGAAGTTACTGTGAATGAGTCTAAGGAATAGCCAAGGAAAGCTGGGAATGTGTGAAATAAAATCCTATAACAAATTAATATTCACATTTCTTTCAACAGGAACAATTCACAAAGATGGAGATTGGAAACCATACCACAGTGACAGAGTTTATTATTTTGGGGTTAACTGAGGATCCTACACTTTGTGACATCTTCTTTGTGATATTTCTAGGAATCTACATTGTCACCTTAATAGGCAATATCAGCATAATAAAGAAGCTGTTCCCAACTTCACACTCCCATGTACCTGTTCCTCAGCCACTTGGCTTTTGTGGACATAGGGCTTGCCACAGTAGTCACACCTATAATGCTTATGGGATTCCTAAGACGTGGAACAGCCCTCCCTGTCACTAGCTGTGAAGCCCAGCTCTGTTCTGTAGTCATGTTTGGGACGTCTGAATGCTTCCTACTGGCGACCATGGCCTATGATCGCTATGTGGCCATCTGCTCACCCCTGGTGAACTCCACCCACTTGTCCCCCATAATCTGCATACTCTTAGTGGGGGTTTGCTACCTGGGTGGATGTGTGAATGCCTCAACATTTACTAGTTGTTTATTGAGTCTGTCTTTCTGTGGACCAAATCAGATAGATCATTTTTTCTGTGATTTCTCTCCTTTGTTGAAACTTTCCTGCTCAAATATCTCCATTCCTGAAATTATCCCTTCCATCTCTTCTGGATCTATCATTGTGGTCACAGTATTTGCCATAGCCATCTCCTACATCTACATCCTCATCACCATCCTGAAGATGCGCTCCGCCGAGGGGCGCCACAAGGCCTTCTCCACCTGTACCTCCCACCTCGCTGCGGTTACTCTCTACTATGGAACGATTACCTTCATTTATGTGATGCCCAAATCCAGTTACTCAACTAGCCAGAACAGATTGATATCGCTGTCCTACACAGTGGTAATCCCCATACTGAACCCCTTTATCTATAGTCTGAGGAACAGAGATGTAAAGGAGGCACTAAGAAAGGCAACTGTCAGAATATATTCTTAGGATCAATTTGTAGCATTTCAGACGACCTATAAAGTTTTCATTATCGGTATCACGTTTAGGACCTACCAAATACTACTTAACTGATTGCTTAAAATAAAATTATATTTATTTGTTCTAACTTTCATTTTTAAATACTTGTAGACCAATTGGGAGACCTAGATGTCAGTAATAATGATAGTAATAATTATTACTATTATTAAACTCTTGTAGATGCCAAGCATTTTTCCTTTATTTAATTTATTTCACAAACAATAGCTTTTACTTACTCTGTGCCAGGCCCTATGCTAAGCATGTTACATATGTTAACTCATTTATTCCTCACAACAACCCTATGAAGTGATTCCACTATTTGTATTTCACAAATAAATCATCTGGGCATAGAGACATTAAGTGGAATGTCCAAAGTCATGAAGTTAAATGTGGGACCAGTAAGTATTTGAATCCAGAAAGTCTGATTCCAAAACCATTATTTTTTTTTCATTTAATTTTCTCAGCAATCCTATGATGCAGGAATAAATTTCCCACAATTTACTGTTGAGAAAACTGTATTGAAAGATACAATAGTTTTTCCAAATAGATGTAAACTCAAGTCCTCCCTTTCCAGGATCCATGCACTTAACCTATATCAAACTATGACCATCAGCCTAATGACATCAGCATTGCTACTGAGCTAGAGGATTTGGACAGGACAATCAAGCTTAAGCTGGAACTTTGTATCAATATTTTGAACAAACCCTACCACTAGATGGTCTAGGTTGTGTAGACTCTGAATGAGGGTGAAAATTTGAGAAATGGATTGGTTGCCATCTTTTAGGAGATCAGATCTTAACACCACGAACACATGATTTAGCTGGTACTTTATCCATATTTTTAAGCACATTAAAAACAAATAGTCTCCTTTGGCATAATGTAATATTTATTTGCAGCAATTAAAAACAGTGTCCTTTAATTTTCTTTCTTTCTTTTTTTTTTTTTTTTTTGAGACGGAGTCTCACTCTGCCGCCCAGGCTGGAGTGCAATGGCACGATGGGCTCACTGCAAGCTCCGCCTCCCGGGTTCACGCCATTCTCCTGCCTCAGCCTCCAGAGTAGCTGGGACTACAGGCGCCTGCTACCATGCTCGGCTAATTTTTTTGTATTTTTTTAGTAGAGACGGAGAATTAAAAACAGTGTCCTTTAATTCTAAGGATTGCAATTAATGTGTTAACAATAATTGTAGTTCTATAGGTCTGAATTGATAGAGAAATTAGAACCTGTTAAAAAAACAAACAAAAAACCAGAAATGTTGTTGCATATCACATTAACTAAATCTTTTTCTTGGAGAATGATTTATTTTCATTTACGTTATCACCATAAGACTAGAAAGGATGAGGAGAAGTCTGCTGGAATACAGAAACTACCAATTCAAAGCAAATATCGAGAAAACTGTTTCTGGCATCTGGGAAGAAGACTTAGAATCCAGTTGTCCTTTTTACCTCAGTGTAATGGAGAGAGAGAAGTGAGGGTTGGGAAATATAGAAAAGAAATTTTTTTTATTATACTTTAAGTTCTAGGGTACATGTGCACAACGTGCAGGTTTGTTACATATGTATACATGTGCCATATTGGTGTGCTGTACCCATTAACTTGTCATTTACATTAGGTATTTCTCCTAATGCTATCCCTCCCCCAGCCCCCCACCCTATGACAGGCCCCGGTGTGTGATGATCCCCTTCCTGTGTCCTAGTGTTCTCATTGTTCAGTTCCCACCTATGAGTGAGAACATGTGGTGTTTGGTTTTTTGTCCTTGTGATAGTTTGCTGAGAATGATGGTTTCCAGCTTCATCCATGTCCCTACAAAGGACATGAACTCATACTTTTTTATGGCTGCATAGTATTCCATGGTGTATATGTGCCACATTTTCTTAATCCAGTCTATCATTGGTGGACATTTGGGTTGGTTCCAAGTCTTTGCTATTGTGAATAATGCCGCAGTAAACATACGTGTGCGTGTGTCTTTATAGCAGCATGATTTATAATCCTTTGGGTATATACCCAGTAATGGAATGGCTGGGTCAAATGGTATTTCCAGTTCTAGATCCTTGAGGAATCACCACACTGTCTTCCACAATGGTTGAAGTAGTTTACAGTCCCACCAACAGTGTAAAAGTGTTCCTATTTCTCCACATCCTCTCCAGCACCTGTTGTTTCCTGACTTTTTAATGATCGCCATTCTAACTGGTGTGAGATGGTATCTCACTGTGGTTTTGATTTGCATTTCTCTGATGGCCAGTGATGATGAGCATTTTTTCATGTGTCTGTTGTCTGCATAAATGTCTTTTATTGAGAAGTGTCTGTTCATAACCTTCACCCACTTTGTGATGGGGTTGTTTGTTTGTTTGTTTTTTGTAAGTTTGTTTGAGTTCTTTGTAGATTCTGGATATTAGCCGTTTGTCAGATGAGTAGATTGCAAAAATTTTCTCCCATTCTGTAGATTGCCTGTTTACTCTGATGGTAGTTTCTTTTGCTGTGCAGAAGCTCTTTAGTTTAATTAGATCCCATTTGTCAATTTTGGCTTTTGTTGCCATTGCTTTTGGTATTTTAGACATGAAGTCCTTGCCCATGCCTATGTCCTGAATGGTATTGCCTAGGTTCTTTTCTAGACTTTTTATGGTTTTAGGTCTAACATATGAGTCTTTAATCCATCTTGAATTAATTTTTGTATAAGGTGTAAGGAAGGGATCCAGTTTCAGCTTTCTAATAAGGCTAGCCAGTTTTCCCAGCACCATTTATTAAATAGGGAATCCTTTCCCCATTTCTTGTTTTTATCAGGTTTGTCAAAGATCAGATGGTTGTAGGTGTGTGGTATTATTTCTGAGGCCTCTGTTCTGTTCCATTCGTCTATATCTCTGTTTTGGTAACTGTACTGTGTGTTTTGGTTACTGTAGCCTTGTAGTATAGTTTGAAGTCAGGTAGCGTGATGCCTCCAGCTTTGTTCTTTTGGCTTAGGATTGTCTTGGCAATGTGGGCTCTTTTTTGATTCCATATGAAGTTTAAAGTAGTTTTTTTCCAATTCTGTGAAGAAAGTCATTGGTAGCTTGATGGGGATGGCATTGAATCTGTAAATTACCTTGGGCAGTATGGCCATTTTCACGATATTGATTCTTCCTATCCGTGAGCATGGAATGTTTTTTAATTATTTATTTATTTATTTATTTATTTATTTATTTATTATTATACTTTAAGTTTTAGGGTACATGTGCACATTGTGCAGGTTAGTTACATACGTATACATGTGCCATGCTGGTATGCTGCACCCACTAACTCGTCATCTAGCATTAGGTATATCTCCCAATGCTATCCCTCCCCCCTCCCCCCACCCCACCACAGTCCCCAGAGTGTGATTTTCCTCTTCCTGTGTCCATGTGTTCTCATTGTTCAATTCCCACCTATGAGTGAGAATATGCGGTGTTTGGTTTTTTGTTCTTGAGATAGTTTGCTGAGAATGATGGTTTCCAGCTTCATCCATGTCCCTACAAAGGACATGAACTCATCCTTTTTTATGGCTGCATAGTATTCCATGGTGTATATGTGCCACATTTTCTTAATCCAGTCTATCATTGTTGGACATTTGGGTTGGTTCCAAGTCTTTGCTATTGTGAATAATGCCGCAATAAACATACGTGTGCATGTGTCTTTATAACAGCATGATTTATAGTCCTTTGGGTATATACCCAGTAATGGGATGGCTGGGTCAAATGGTATTTCTAGTTCTTGATCCCTGAGGAATCGCCACACTGACTTCCACAATGGTTGAACTAGTTTACAGTCCCACCAACAGTGTAAAAGTGTTCCTATTTCTCCACATCCTCTCCAGCACCTGTTGTTTCCTGACTTTTTAATGATCGCCATTCTAACTGGTGTGAGATGGTATCTCATTGTGGTTTTGATTTGCATTTCTCTGATGGCCAGTGATGGTGAGCATTTTTTCATGTGTTTTTTGGCTGCATAAATGTCTTCTTTTGAGAAGTGTCTGTTCATGTCCTTCGCCCACTTTTTGATGGGGTTGTTTGTTTTTTTCTTGTAAATTTGTTGGAGTTCATTGTAGATTCTGGATATTAGCCCTTTGTCAGATGAGTAGGTTGTGAAAATTTTCTCCCATTTTGTAGGTTGCCTGTTCACTCTGATGGTAGTTTCCTTTTGCTGTGCAGAAGCTCTTTAGTTTAATTAGATCCCATTTGTCAATTTGGAATGTTCTTCCATTTGTTTGTGTCCACTTTTATTTCGTTGAGCAGTGGTTTGTAGTTCTCCTTGAAGAGATCCTTCACATCCCTTGTATGTTGGATTCCTAGGTATTTTATTCTCTTTGAAGCAATTGTGAATGGGAGTTGACTCATGATTTGGCTCTCTGTCTGTTATTGGTATATAAGAATGCTTGTGATTTTTGCACATTGATTTTATATCCTGAGACTTTGCTGAAGTTGCTTATTAGCTTAAGGAGATTTTGGGCTGAGACAATGGGGTTTTCTAAATATAGAATCATGTCATCTGCAAACAGGGACAATTTGACTTCCTCTTTTCATAATTGAATACCTTTCATTTCTTTCTCCTGCCTGATTGCCCTGGCCAGAACTTCCAACAGTATGTTGAATAGGAGTGGTGAGAGAGGGCATCCCTGTCTTGTGCCAGTTTTCAAAGGGAATGCTTCCAGTTTTTGCCCATTCAGTATGATATTGGCTGTGGGTTTGTCATAGATAGCTCTTATTATTTTGAGATACGTCCCATCAATACCTAATTTATTGAGAGTTTTTAGCATGAAGGGCTGTTGAATTTTGTCAAAGGACTTTTCTGCATCTATTGAGATAATCATGTGGTTTCTGTCTTTGGTTCTGTTTATATGATGAATTATGTTTATTGATTTGTGTATGTTGAATCAGCCTTGCATCCTAGGGATGAAGCCCAGTTGATCATGGTGGATAAGCTTTTTGATATGCTGCTGGATTCGGTTTGCCAGTATTTTATTGAGGATTTTAGCATTGATGTTCATCAGGGATATTGGTCTAAAATTATCTTTTTTTGTTGTGTCTCTGCCAGGCTTTGGTATCAAGATGATGCTGGCCTCATAAAATGAGTTAGGGAGGATTCCCTCTTTTTCTATTGATTGGAATTGTTTCAGAAGGAATGGTACCAGCTCCTCCTTGTACCTCTGGTAGAACTTGGCTCTGAATTGGTCTGGTCCTGGACTTTTTTTGGTTGGTAGGCTATTAATTATTGCCTCAATTTCAGAGACTGTTATTGGTCTATTCAGGGATTCAACTTCTTCCTGGTTTAGTCTTGGGGGGGTGTATGTGTCGAGGAATTTATCCATTTTTTCTAGACTTTCTAGTTTATTTGCATAGAGGTGTTTATAGTATTCTCTGATGGTAGTTCGTATTTCTGTGGGATCGGTGGTGATACCCCCTTTATCATTTTTTATTGCATCTATTTGATTCTTCTCTCTTTTCTTCTTTATTAGTCTTGCTAGCGGTCTAACAATTTTGTTCATGTTTTCAAAAAAGCAGCTCCTGGATTCATTGATTTTTTGAGGGGTTTTTTGTGTCTCTATTTCCTTCAGTTCTGCTCTAATCTTAGTTATTTCTTGCCTTCTTCCAGCTTTTGAATGTGTTTGCTCTTGCTTCTCTAGTTCTTTTAATTGTGATGTTAGGGTGTCAATTTTAGATCTTTCCTGCTTTCTCTTGATGGCATTTAGTGCTATAAATTTCCCTCTACACACTGCTTTAAATGTGTCCCAGAGATTCTGCTATGTAGTGTCTTTGTTCTCATTGGTTTCCAAGAACATCTTTATTTCTGCCTTCATTTCGTTATGTACCCAGTAGTCACTCAGGAGCAGGTTGTTCAGTTTCCATGTAGTTGAGCGGTTTTGAGTGAGTTTCTTAATCCTGAGTTCTAATTTGATTGCACTGTGGTCTGAGAGACAGTTTGTTATAATTTCTGTTATTTTACATTTGCTGAGGAGTGCTTTACTTCCAACTATGTGGTCAATTTTGGAAGAAGTGTGATGTGGTGCTGAGAAGAATGTATATTCTGTTGATTTGGGGTGGAGAGTTCTGTAGATGTCTATTAGGTCTGCTTGGTGCAGAGCTGAGTTCAATTCCTGGATATCCTTGTTAACTTTCTGTCTCGTGGATCTGTCTAATGTTGACAATGGGGTGTTAAAGTCTCCCATTATTATTGTGTGGGAGTCTAAGTCTCTTTGTAGGTCTCTAAGGACTTGCTTTATGAATCTGGGTGCTCCTGTATTGGGTGCATATATATTTAGGATAGTGAGCTCTTCTTGTTGAATTGATCCCTTTACCATTATGTAATGGCCTTCTTTGTCTCTTTTGATCTTTGTTGGTTTAAAGTCTGTTTTATCAGAGACTAGAATTGCAACCCCTGCCTTTTTTTGTTTTCCATTTGCTTGGTAGATCTTTCTCCGTCCCTTTATTTTGAGCCTATGTGTGTCTTTGCACATAAGATGAATCTCCTGAATACAGCACACTGATGGGTCTTGACTCTTTATCCAATTTGCCAGTCTGTGTCTTTTTATTAGGGCATTTAGCCCATTTACATTTAAGGTTAATATTGTTATGTGTGAATTAGATCCTGTCATTATGATGTTAGCTGGTTATTTTGCCTGTTAGTTGATGCAGTTTCTTCCTAGCATTGATGGTCTTTACAATTTGGCATGTTTTTGCAGTTGTTGGTACCGGTTGTTCCTTTCCATGTTTAGTGCTTCCTTCAGGAGCTCTTGTAGGGCAGGCCTGGTGGTGACAAAATCTCTCAGCATTTGCTTGTCTGTATAGGATTTTATTTCTCCTTCACTTATGAAGCTTAGTTTGGCTGGATATGAAATTCTGGGTTGAAAATTCTTTTCTTTAAGAATGTTGAATATTGGCCCCCACTCTCTGCTGGCTTGTAGTGTTCCTGCCAAGAGATCAGCTGTTAGTCTGATGGGCTTTCCTTTGTGGGTAACCTGACCTTTCTCTCTGGCTGCCCTTAACATTTTTTCCTTCATTTCAACTTTGGTGAATCTGACAATTATGTGTCTTGGAGTTGCTCTTCTCGAGGAGTATCTTTGCAGCGTTCTCTGTATTTCCTGAATTTGAATGTTGGCCTGCCTTGCTAGATTGGGGAAGTTCTCCTGGATAATATCCTGAAGAGTGTTTTCCAACTTGGTTCCATTCTCCCCATGACTTTCCGGTACATCAATCAGACGTAGATTTGGTCTTTTCACATAGTCCCATATTTCTTGGAGGCTTTATTCGTTTCTTTTTTACTCTTTTTTTCTCTAAACTTCTCTTCTCACTTCATTTCATTCATTTGATCTTCAATCACTGATACCCTTTCTTCCAGTTGATCAAATCCACTACTGAAGCTTGTGCATTCGTCACGTAGTTCTCATGCCATGGTTTTCAGCTCCATCAGGTCATTTAAGGACTTCTCTACACTGGTTATTCTAGTTAGCCATTCGTTAATCTTTTTTCAAGGTTTTTAGCTTCTTTGTGATGGGTTTGAACTTCCTCCTTTAGCTCAGAGAAGTTTGATCATCTGTAGCCTTTTTCTCTCAACTCGTCAGTGTCACTCTCCGTCCAGCTTTGTTCCATTGCTGGCGAGGAGCTGCATTCCTTTGAAGGGGAGAGGCACTCTGATTTTTAGGATTTTCAGCTTTTCTGCTCTGTTTTTTCCCCATCTTTGTGGTTTTATCTACCTTTGGTCTTTGATGATGGTGACGTACAGATGGGGTTTTGGTGTGGATGTCCTTTCTGCTTGTTAGTTTTCCTTCTATCGGTCAGGACCCTCAGCTGCAGTTCTGTTGGAGTTTGCTGGAGGTCCACTCAAGACCCTGTTTGCCTGGGTATCAGCAGTGGAGGCTGCAGAACAGCGAATATTCCTGAACAGCAAATGTTGCTGCCTGATCATTCCTCTGGAAGCTATATTCCTGAACAGCAAATGTTGCTGCCTGATCATTCCTCTGGAAGCTTCGTCTCAGAGGAGTACCTGGCCGTGTGAGGTGTCATTCTGCCCCTACTGGGGGGTGCCTCCCAGTTAGGCTACTTGGGGGTCAGGGACTCACTTGAGGAGGCAGTCTGTCTGTTCTCAGATCTCAAACTCTGTGCTGGGAGAACCACTACTCTCTTCAAAGCTGTCAGACAGGGACATTTAAGTCTGCAGAGGTTTCTGCTGCCTTTTGTTCAGCTATGCCCTGCCCCTAGAGGTGGAGTCTACAGAGGCAGGCAGGCCTCCTTGAGCTACGGTGGGCTCCACCCAGTTCGAACTTCCCAGCTGCTTTGTTTACCTACTCAAGCCTCAGCAATTGCGGGCGCCCCTCCCCTAGCCTCACTGTCACCTTGCAATTCGGTCTCAGACTGCTGTGCTAGCAATGAGCGAGGCTCCGTGGGCATGGGACCCTCCGAGGCAGGCACGGGATACAATCTCCTGTTGTGCCCTTTGCTAAGACCATTGGAAAAGCACATTATTAGGGTGGGAGTGACCCGATTTTCCAGGTGCCTGATTAGGAAACAATCTACAATACTCCAGTAGACAAAGGATAAAGATTTGAATATTAGTGATAGAAAAATACAAAATACAGAGAACAACCTTGAGAAAGATTTAGGGGAGATAACTGGTAGAAACTGTTGATTGTTGGATGGGGGATTAGATAGAAGGAATAATTTGGATAACTCCTATGGTTCCAACTTAGGTGAGGAAGTGCTTTTACTGACACCAGTCTCCCATTTAAGGTCCCAGGGTAGATTAGGAGAGTAGTGTCTATAAAATCTGTAAATTCTCTCAGTATACCCACTGCCATCAGAGGAACAGTTATTGTGAGATTTAAAGGCCAGCTTTAAGGATAAAAGTTTCTTAATTTCACAGAGACCAGTCTTCTCCAATTTCTGAATTCAACTCTAAATGCCCTGACTCCTTCCCCCTTCTGCCCTGCTTTTTCACCATAATAATGAACATTCGTAAGTGGGCAGCTTTTTGTTTTTTTCCTGAGGTCCTAACCCTGGTCCTTATCTTTTGATAAACAACATCTCCAGTTGTCCTGTAAAAATTTCAGGTGCATCCTGATTCCCACGACATCTTGGAGCATTAGTTATGCAAACTCTATGGTCCTGAATATAAAGATTAGCTTCCTTTGGATACTTTGGCTTCATGTCTCAAAGGTTAAAGTGTTCACAGGTCTCCTATATTTTATGCCATGTATCATCTAAGCCTTCATAATTGTCAGTTAATTCAAGTCAAAGGCTAGTGATAAACATGAACTTTCTGATCTGTTAAGATTTATATATCCTTGTTGGTATGTTTATGAATAATTCAGGGAGAAAGTAGAGGACTGACCACAAACATTGATAATTTCCTGCCATTGTGATCTCAAAGCCAATGAGGGATATTTGCTCAATGCCTGAAAATTGTTTGACATGTAGATATAAGATAATCATTTATCCATTTATTTCAAAAATATTTGTTCAGCATTTATCATAGTCGAGAACTGAGTAAGCACTGAAGGTATATTGATGAATAGAACAGACTTTGCATGAAATTTAGATCTCAGCAAAAACACTAGAAAATGAATCAACATTATAAATACAGAATATGGTAAGTGATGTGGAAGAAATAAATCAATAAGGTTAATATGACTGTTAAGAGTAAATGTGATATAGGTGGTATTACTGTAGGTAAAGTGAAAAGGAAGGCCATGTGGAGCAGGTGATATTTGAGTAGAAAATGGAATGATCAGAAGGACCCATAGATGTGAAGAGTGGAGTCAGGGAAGCTGCCAGACAGGAAACAGGAAATGCAAAGATCCTGATAATCTCAAAAAATAAAAAGAAGGCAATGATAAACCAGATGGAGAGAGGTATACCAAAAGGGTTAGATCATGTTTGGGGGACATCATATGCCATGGAAAAGTGTTTGGATTTTATGCTGAAAGGAATGGGAAGCCTCTAAATGTTTTCTAAATGGGCGTAGCCTAATTACAATTCACACTTTTAAAGAATACCTCTATTGTTGTATGTAAAAATTGACTATAAAAACACATTTTATTATATTACATTATTTCATGAGTCAGAAATTAAGATTGGGTTTGGCTTGGCAATTTTACTCTAATAGCATGAATGAGGATCACTTAGTCATATTCAGATGGCATCTTTGCATGTCTACAGAGTCAAAAATGGCATCATTCAAATGCCCAGCACCTTCACAGGAATGGTTTGAAAGCCTCTCCCTCTCCAGGTAGTCATAGGATCATTCTATATGGTCTCACTAGCAGTTTAGTTGGATTTCTCACATAGTGGCTCAAGACTTTAATAGCAAGTGTTCCAAGAGATTAAAAGAAATCTGCAGTATTTCCTATCACCTAGCCTCAGGAGACGTAGACATCTTGTCCACCTTTGTCTACTGGCAAAGCAAATTAGTAATTTCAGTCCAGATTCAAGGGAAGGGAAATTAGATTCCACCTGTCAATAAGAGAAGTAGCAATGATGTCACAGCCATCTCCAGCCTACCACAATCCCTCTGGCCACAGTTATTTGTATATTTCCTACATGTCAAATTACTTTTATACGTCCTACAGTCCTCTAAAATATCATACCATTACAGCATCACAATTAAGTCCATCATCGTGGGATTTAAACCAAGTTTAGGCATGAGTGAGGTTCCTTGGGCACAGCTTCTCAAATACAGTCCCTCTTGATTGAAAGACATGCGAACTAAAGAGACAAGTCATCTGCCCTATATATTACCCAACAGACACTGTTGATGCTGGTGTAGAAAAACTGCAGTGAACACTCCCATTCATAAGGGTGGAATATAGGAGTCATGTAGCAATCACTGGCCAATTGCAATTCCCAAATCCAACTAGACAGATGTTGCCATTTTCTTGATCAGGGCCCAATCCTGCTCCTTGTTAATAAATCTCTATGTCTCTTGGCTCTGCCTTCTGACTTTTTGGTTCCATCCTCTGAGTTATCCTTCCTTTTCCAGGAAAAAAATAGCCTATGTTATAGCTGAGTAGTTTTCCTGGCCTATTTCCTAATTATTGTAGGTCAAGGGTCCAAAACCTCTTTTCACTTCGCACAAAACCTCTTTTCACTTTGCACTATCCCTGTCCCTTTCAGTCTAAGCTGTTATCATTTCTTCAAACACACTGTGGGAGTCATCATGAAAATACAAATGAAATATTAATGAGATACTACTCTTCACCCCACTAGGATGGCTAGAATTTAAAAGTATGATAATAAAAAGTGTTGGTGAGGATGTGGAAAAATTGAAACCCACATATACTGGTAGGTATGTAAAATGGTGGGATCATTTTGGAAAATAATCTTCCAGTTACTCAAACTATTAAACATAGAAATACCCTATGATCCAGAAATTCTCCTAGATATATGCCCAAGAGAAATAAAAGCATATGTCCACAAAAAAACTCATGCGTGAATGTTTATAGTAGCATTATTTACAATAACCAAAAGGTAGAAGCAATGCATGGATCCATTAACTTACAAGTGAAGGAAGAAAATGTAGTATATCCATATAATGGAATATTATTTAGCCATTGAAAAGAATGGAGAACTGATATATGTCTCAACATGAATGAACCTGGACAACATTACACTAAGTAAAAGAGACTAGTCACAAGAGACCACGTATTATCTAAGGCCATACATATGAAATGTCCATATAGAGACAGAAGGTAGACTGGTGGTTGCTTATGGCTGGGGGGATAGGAATATGTAAGGTGATACTAAAGGATACAGGATTTCTTTTTGAGATGATTAAAACTTTCTAAAATTGACTATGGTGAGGCTTGAAAACATGTGTGCATATGCTACGAACATTAAATCATACACTTTAAATCTGTAGTTTGTATGGTATGTGAACTATATCTCATGGAGGTTGTTAAAAACAACATGGGCTTTCTTTGTATCAAATTATAAACTACTGAATTGGACAAAACTCACACTCATAAATCTCTTCCAGTTAATTCTTCCTCTGGAGGTTTATGAGGTTTCTGCCAGAAGCCTTATGATTTCAAAAGCTTTGTTTTTGGCCGGGCACAGTGGCTCACGCCTGTAATCCCAGCACTTTGGGAGGCCAAGGCGGGTGGACCACGAGGTCAGGAGATTGAGACCATCCTGGCTAACACAGTGAAACCCCATCTCTACTAAAAATACACACACACACACACACACACACACACACACACACAAAATTAGCCGGGCGTGGTGGCAGGTGCCTGTAGTCCCAGCTACTTGGGAGGCTGAGGCAAGAGAATGGCGTGAACCCAGGAGGAGAAGCTTGCAGTGAGCCGAGATAGCGCCACTACACTCCAGTCTGGGCCACAGAGTGAGACTCCATCTCAAAAGAAAAAAAAAAAAATCTTTGTTTTTTAGAAAAAAGAGGGTCTCTAAAACATGCCATTAAGATTCTTAGAAGGACATAGATTAGCTTTAAGGGTCAGTGAGGCCTTAGATCTTTCTGAGGTCTCAGCAGAGGATCTTACAGCCCCAACCTGAATATGATCTTTGACCTGAAGTCACTTCGTACCATGAAAATCTTTCTGGAAGATATCAGGGATGAGAAATAGCCTTATTTTCAAAGCCAGCAAGATCTAGCTTTCTTACATTTTTTCTAAATTTTTCTTTGAAAAAAATTTTCCTTTAGTTCACAGATCTCTGGTTATAGTTTATCATAGGCAACTATAAGAAGCCAGGTAGCACTTTCTGCACTCTTCCTGGAAACCTTCCCAGGCAAATCTAAGAGTATATAAGATACCCTTTCTCTTTTCCACTTTGTCACAGGTGGCAATATTATCAAACTTCATCACTACTCAGCAAATGTGTTCTTTTATTAAGCTCTTAAAAATATTTTCCTTACTATTTTTCAAACCCTTACCATCTATTACTGTTGAATGTAGAAACATGTTAGGTCATAGAGAAATTGAGGTTGCATACATAAATTTTGGAGTAAACAATATTTAAGTGGTGCTATGGTTTGAATGTATGTCCTTCAAAATTCAAGTCTGCCAATGTGATAATATTGAAAGGTGGGGCCTTTAAGAGGTGATTGGGCCACGAAGGTTCATCTCTCATAAATGGAATTAAGTATCCCTTTTAAAAGGCTTGACGGAAGGAGGTCACCTCCTCTTGCCCTTCTCACTTCCCCCATGTATCACCACAGTATTCTTTCCTTCCAGAGGATGCAGCCCTCACTAGACACCAAATGCCAGTGCCTTGATGTTGGACTTCCAACCTCCAGAATTGTGACAAAAAATTCATATTTTTAATAAATTACCCAGTCTGTGGTATGCTGTTATAGCAGCACAAAATGGACTAAGACAAGTGGTATTGTCTTAAAAATCATAAAATTGCATGAGGTCAATAAGTGGCTATAAATGTAAGAATATATAGGATAAGTTATAAGACAGTCTAACATTTAAAGGTCTGGTACAGTTGCAATCTTCAGGAAAGATGAAGACAAATGGACAAGAGAGGTAAGGAAAAACCCAAATTGGGAAAGTGAGATTGCAGAATACAAAAAAAGAAAGTGATTCAAAATAGGAGAAGGTGGTTACTTGTTTAATGCTTCTGAGGTTTGGCAGAGGGGTGGGTGTAGGTAATTTAGCAAGAGCAGTTTCAGAGTGGGTTGAAGCCATGTGGGAAGGTACTTGAGATGGAACTGATAGGTGAAAATAATTTCAGCAAAAGGGTAGGCCGTGAGGCCGGAAGTGGGGAGGATATTTCAGGAACAGTGAGTAACTCACTTTTGCAGGGTCATTGAGTAAGTGGAGGAGAATAGAGAGTTATAATGCTGAAAAACTAATATGGTTATACTAAGGAATTCTTTAAAATCTAACTAAACATTTATGAATGTGAGCAGGATGGCTAAAAGTAAATAAATAAAAGTCTGACTAAAAATTTGAACTTGAATACATTAAGTCCCATCTGGTGTGGATAATTTATTGATGATAAAATCAGGTATATGTGTGTGTGTGTGTGGATATATATATGTATATATAGGTATAAATGTATATATAGGTGTATATATGTGTGTGTATATATATTTATATATGTATATATATTTTTATATATAGGTATATATATTTATATATAGGTATATATATGTATATGTATTTATATATATAGGTGTATATATATATATATATATATATATATATATATATATATATGGAGACCTAGGATATTACTGTATAATACTGTAGACTTTATAAACACAGTATACATAGGCTACACTAATATACCTTACCTTATTGTAACTTTTTTACTTTATAAACTAAATTTTTAAAACCTTTCTGACTCTTAATTTTTATTTTTATTTTTCGGTCTGTCACTCAGGCCAGAGTGCAGGGGCATGATCATGACTCACTGCAGCCTTGACTTCCCGGTCTCAGGTGATCCTCCTACCTCAGCCTCCTGAGTAGCTAGGACTACAGGCATATGTCACCATGCCTGGCTAATTTTTGTTGTAGTTTTTGTAGAGACAGAGTTTCACCGTGTTGCTGCGGCTCGTCTCAAAATCCTGGGCTCAAGTGATCCTTCCACCTTGGCCTCCCAAAGTGCTAGGATTACAAGTGTGAGCCACTGTGCCTGGTCTTTTTGACTCTTTTGCAATAACACTTAGCTTAAAACACAAATACATCATACAGTGGTAAAAAAATTTTTTTATATATATATACCTATTTATAAATATATATACCTATATATAAATATATATATTTACAGTATAATTTTACTTTTGTAAAAAGAAAAGTATGTTTTTACAAAACTTACTTTTACAAAGTTACAAAACATAATTTTGTAAATTTACATAATTATGTAAATTTACATAAAATTGTAAAATTAAAAACAATTTTGTAAATTTACATAATTATGTAAATTTACATAAAATTGTAAAATTACAAAACATAATTTTACAAAATAAAAATTAGGAAGAATTAACACAGGTGTGAGCAAGCAATAAATTGTGGAAGATAGAATATTTCCTGGTTATCTGAAGGAAACACATGACTGGATAATTGAGAGGAACTGAGTAAAGGGCAATTTACAAAGTTGTGGGCAGAGCTTAGGAAAAGCTTCGAGGGTAATGTTGTATCCTAGGGGTAGTGATCAGCTCAAGATCTGAAGGAACAAGAAGAGTGGGCAATTAACAGGAACCTAGAGCGATGTGATGAGAGGACCACCTGCCAGGAGCTGTGGCATTTGGTGGAGGGTCACAGCCAATCCAGGTGACGTAGAGGAAGAACAGCCAGGGAAGTACCCAAGCCTCAGACTCCTCTGCCAGTGTCTCCCACTGATTAGCCAAACCAGAAGCTACAGGAGAGGGAGTCTGTTGATACAGACCATGGGGATCAGCCTCTTTGGATTATGTCAAGGTGCAAATGGGTAGGAATAGACCTGGAAAGACAAACAAGAGAAATTCACCACATTTGAGATTTAACATTTTTTCTATCCTTTATTTTCTGATGTATTTATGAATTTTTAAATGTATAAAAACATGAGCTACTTTTGTAGTACTAAAATATTTTCAAGTCCTAAAGCTAAATATTAGACTAAAAGCAGGAAGAACATTTCTGCACCTGTCATAGGAGTTCCAACAAGATTATATACACCAAAAAATAAGTAGTGTCAGAATTGGAAGTGCAAATGGAAAGGAGGTATAGTACTGGAAAGTCATTATAGAAGTGTGTTGCAGGCATTCCCTTGGGATAAAATAACCTAGGGGTAGAAATGTCCAACCATAATATGATTCATTAGGTCACTGGAAGAAGTGCTCCCACTCCGTGTCCTACACAGATATCCCTTTCTACCTGAATATTTACTATCCCAATATTCCTTACCTCGCATTGCAAAATGGTAACTCAAAATTAACTATCAGAAGAGAAAACAGCTGTAATTAAAAATCCATCTGTGTAAATCCATAAAACAATGTGTAAGTTGTTTGTGAGACTATGAAAGAATATAGAATGTGCTGCAGCTACATCTCAGCTGTTCTTCTAAGGGGACTCCATTTCATACTTGAGTTCTTTAAAAACGTCCATCGTTACTATCATCTCTGCATATTTTAAGAGGAAATTTGTTCTAATAAAGTGGAAACGTCTATGAAGAAAGTGGGTGAAACTAAAAGGCCCTAGAAATGTCTGCACATTCAAAATTTTTGTGATAAAGTATATAGATAAAAATGAATAGGTCAAAATGAAAGCTTATCTATACACATACATCCATGTCTTCAGCATATTATTTTTATGCTGAGTCTAAAGAATAATTGCTGAAGAACTTCTGTCTTAAAGTATGTTAGTAAAGAAATCTAAACATTTGTGTGAATATATAAATTGCTTTTACAATCTATAAGTACATATTTTAATACATATGATACATAAAACTTTGTAATACAGTCATGCATAGCTTAACAATGGGGATATGTTCTGAGAAATGAGTTGTTAGGCAATTTCATCATTGTGCTAACATCATAGGGTGTACTTACCCAAACCTAGATGGTATAGCCTACTACACATACAGGCTATATAGTATAGCTTATTACTCCTAGGCTCCAAACCTGTACTGCATGTTGGTATACTGAAAACTGTAGGCAATTGCAACAAAATGGTAAGTATTTGTGTATCTAAACATATCTCAACATACAAAAGGTCAAGTAAAAATATGGTATAGAAAATTTAAAATGGTACACTTGTATAGGGCACTTATGAATGGAGCTTGCAGGAATGGAGGTTGCTCTGTGTGAATCAGTAAGTGAGTGGTAAGTGAATATGGAGGCCTAGGACATTCCTGTATAACAGGCTACACTAATACACCTTAGCTTACTGTAGTTTTTTACTTTATAAACCAAATTTTTAAAACCTTTCTGACTCTTAATTTTTATTTTTATTTTTCGGTCTGTCACCCAGGCCACAGTGCAGGGGCGCGATCATGACTCACTGCAGCCTTGACTTCCCAGTCTCAGGTGATCCTCCTACCTCAGCCTCCGGAGAAGCTAGGTCTACAGGCATATGTCACCATGCCTGGCTAATTTTTGTTGTAGTTTTTGTAGAGACAGTTTCACCATGTTTCTGAGGCTCGTCTCAAACTCCTGGGCTCAAGTAATCCTTCCATCTTGGCCTCCCAAAGTGCTAGGATTATAAGTGTGAGCCACTGTGCCTGGCCTTTTTGAATCTTTTGTAATAACACTTAGCTTAAAACACAAATACATCATACAGTGGTTTAAAAAAATATTTTCTTTCTTTGTATCCTTATTCTATAAACTTTTTTCTATTTTTAATTTTTTTAATTTTAAACTATTTTGTTAGAAACAAGACCTAAACACACACTAGCCTAGACCTACACAGTTATGATCATCAATGTCACTGTCTTCCACCTCCACATCTTGTCCCACTGGAAGGTGTTCAGGGGCAATAACATGCATGGAGCTGTCAACTCCTATGATACAATGAAGGACCTGCCCAAGGCTGTTTTACAGTTAAGTTTTCTCATATATATGTAAAGTAGAGTAGATATATAAAGCAGTGATATAGTCATTTATTATCATTATCAAGTATATGTATTGTACATAATTGTATGTGCTATACTTTTATATGATTGGCAGCACAATATTATTTAGACCAGCATCACTACAAACATGTGGGTAACACACTGTTCCACATTATGATGGCTATGGTATTACTAGGTGATAGGAATTTTTTTAGTCCCATTATAATTTTATGAAACCATTATATACGTGGTCTATTGTAGACCACAACACTGTTATGTGGTGAATAACTGTACATAAAGTCATATGTGAATTCAATATTTCAGCTTCAATATGTAAACTTCAAACATAAAAATTATGATAGTAGCACCCAAGAACATGAGGCAAGTGGTAAAAGACTCTTTGTACCTAGAAGCCAGGGCTGAGATGGATATTCTTTTGTGTCCTACTCTTGTCAGGACCATTAAGGCTGCTGCTTTTAGGCCTGAATGGTACACATCTAGGGGTTTCTGACGAGTGAGTGTGCCTCTAGACAAGGCCCAAGTGTCTAGAGATTGCGGCAAACCAGAAATGGGACAAGGCTAGTAGCCACCAAGACATGGCCATGTGGGAAGCATACCGTCTTGTGGGTACATAGCCCATATGATAATTTTCCTGTTTTGGTTTTGTTTTTGTTGTTGTTTTTGAGACAGCGTCTCGCTCTGTCGCCCAAGTTAGAGTGCAGTGTCAGAATCTCAGCTCACTGCAACCTCCGCCTCCCGGGTCCACGCCATTCTCCTGCCTCAGCCTCCCGACTACAGGCGTGTGCCGCCACACCCCGCTAATTTTTTGTATTTTTAGTAGAGATGGGGTTTCACCATGTTAGCCAGGATGGTCTCGATCTCCTGACCTCGTGATCCACCCGCCTTGGCCTCCCAAAGTGCTGGGATTACAGGTGTGAGCCACCGCGCCTCGCCAATGGTCTTCTGGTTTTAGAAGAAGGTAAGAATGAAACTTCTTTTATCATCAGCTTAACATAAAGGTTGACATTCTTAGAGATAATGGAGGAAGCTGATACAAAAGAAAACCAGAAACTAAACCCAGAATATAAAAACAATTCCAGACTCTTGGTAAGGGAGAAGCCTGCCCCACTGGAGAATCATAAAACAGAGAATCCGCTATACAATTGAGGGTCATAAGCCTGCTATTTTCATTTTCTCTAGACAAAGAAGTACATCTTAGTAAAAAACTTTGCTATTGAGAGTTATGTGGATGATGGTATTTGGAGCTTAAAGGGTCAACAGAACTCTTGGTTATCTTTCCTGACATGCACCTTGCATATGATGCAGTCTGCCAAGCCTGGTCTTTACTGCCTATACCTGCTGATTTACCTGATCCTCTGGCCTGAGAGGAACATAATTTTTGACCTTATGAGTAATCAAAGATCTGACCAATTAGACATCCAAATAGATGTATATTAATTATCCAAAAGGCCTGTAAGACTTCCCCAGATTTCATCAGGTAGAATATTGTCCTCTCCTGTATATTCCCCTAACAGTCATTCCAAATTTGAGATTGAACGCACCTAGGGGTTTGTTTGGAAATGGTAGAATTTTTTTCACTACGACTGGAGAAGACAATCAGCCTTGAATGGGCAGGAGCCAGGAATGCTAAACATTTGCAATACACACACACAACAAAGCATTTTCTTGCCCAAATGTCAAGGAAGCTACTGTTAAGAAACATAACATGTAACACTTTGTTCACACCATTTGAATAGAAAACATTGTATTTTTTTTTTATTTTACTTTAAGTTCTAGGATACATGTGCAGAACATGCAGGTTTGTTACATAGGTATACATGTGCCACGGTGGTTTGCTGCACCTATCAACCCATCATCTAGGTTTTAAGTCTCACATGCATTAGGTATTTGTCCTAATGCTCTCCCTCCCCTTGCCCCCCTGCCCCCCATCCCCCGACAGGCCCTGATGTGTGATGTTCCCTTTCCTGTGTCCATATGTTCTCATTGTTCAACTCCCACTTATGATTGAGAACGTGCAGTGTTTGGTTTCCTCTTCCTGTGTTAGTTTGCTGAGAATGATGATTTCCAGCTTCAACCACATCCCTGTGAAGGACATGAACTCATACTTTTTTTTACAGCTGCATAGTATTCCACAGGGTATGTGTGCCACATTTTCTTTATCCAATCTATCATTCATGGGCATTTGGGTTGGTTCCAAGTCTTTACTATTGTAAATAGTGCTGCAATAAACATACGCATGCATATGACTTTATAGTACATTGATTTATAATCCTTTGGGTATATACCCAGTAATGGGATTGCTGGGACAAATGGTATTTCTGGTTGGAACATGTATTTTATTACTGTGAACTTCTTAAAAGAAAAGTACGTGACACATACAACTTCATTTCTTTAGTTCATACCCCAGTGCTAGGAATATGAAAGATATTACATAAATATTTATTGAATTAGAGTTAATATTTAACAAATAAATATTTGTTGAGTGCTCACTCTGTACCAGACACTGTGCTTTGAGCTGAGGATAATTAGGTCAGCCTCCCACATCACTATTTTCCCCACCCACCAAAGTTTCTACAACTGTACTTCCAACTCCCAAAGGCCTGTTAACTCTTATCTTCTTCATGTCTCAGCTTAAATGTCATTTTGCAAGTGAAACTTTCCTTGATCCTCACAAATGATATCATGAAGAATTAGGGCAGAGAAAAAAGCCAGAGGCTGGGGCTTTTGGCAGTGTGACAGGATGGGCACACAGAGGTTGGGGGTCAAAGATGTCAAGGCAGCTAAGACTCGACAGACCAAGATCCTGCAGAGGAATAAACTGTAGAGAAGTGAGTCTGAAATGTGATGTGTAACTTCCCATTAAGAGGTTTAACTACTCCTAAGCTGCACATGGGCTGGCAGAATATCAAAACACTAAGCAGGAAGTAGCCTGTGGGAGGCTGAAGATCTGAGCAGATTTCAACCTTTTGAAATGCTGATATGATAGAGTTTGATAAAAATACCATTTAAGATGGAGGGGACTAAGAATACTCCAAGCTTTTATTTGAGACTCCTAAAGAGCTACACCTTACCTGGAAATAAGACCAAGCTAGTAGTATATCATCCCCAAGAAAGTGCAATGTCTGACCCACATTGGAAACACCACCTCCATTCTCTTAGGATACAAGTTTAGGAGTTATAATGTATACAGTGACATAAGTTATTTCTCTATGTGAATGACCTCTGTGGGCATGACATTTCCATTTTCTCGAAGAGATCAATCCAATGCTGTTTTTTCCTGCTGGAAGAAAATTAAATACATTTTGGAAGAAGATACTTTCACTAGAGCTTCGAAAATTTTCATCTTCATTGCCCATCATCAATTTAGAAAAGCTATGCCAAAAATTGGGCCAAATAAACAAAATTTAGACACTGCAAAAAATGTTTAAGAAAAATAGAGGAATGTTATGAAGAATCACAACAGAAAGCTACATATAGAACAAAGAAAGAACGGGAGAGAGAAAGAATATCAAAAGAACCAAGATGAAATATTAGAAATGAAAAACAAATAAAGAATTCAGTAGATAGTCTTAATCATAGATTGGACATAGCAGAAATGAAGATCGGTAACTGAAAGATAGGTCAGTAGAAAACAGTTTAAAAGAGTGCAAGAGATATATAGGAAATTGTGAAAATATCCAACATATATGCAATTGACGTCCAAGAAAACAGGATAAGGACAATGGAGTAGAAAAAAATAATCACTGATAAACCTCCCAACCGATGAAAAACCATGAGCTACAAATTCAAGAAACTGCAAATTCCAAACATAATAAGTGCAGAAACAGCCACACTTACACAAATCATAAAAAGACTACACAAAGCCAAAAACAAAAGAAACTGTTAAAAGCTTCCAGGGGGAGATAAAAGACATATTCTCTCTCAAAATAAAAGGGAAAATAACTTGATGGGGATGGCACTGAATCTATAAATTACCTTGGGCAGTATGGCCATTTTCACGATACTGATTCTTCCTACCCATGAGCCTGGAATGTTCTTCCATTTGTTTGTGTCCTCTTTTATTTTGTTGAGCAGTGGTTTGTAGTTCTCCTTGAAGAGGTCCTTCACATCCCTTGTAAGTTGGATTCCTAGGTATTTTATTCTCTTTGAAGCAATTGTGAATGGGAGTTGACTCATGATTTGGCTCTCTGTTTGTCTGTTATTGTTGTATAAGAATGCTTGTGATTTTTGCACATTGGTTTTGTATCCTGAAACTTTGCTGACGTTGCTTATCAGCTTAAGGAGATTTTGGGCTGAGACAATGGGGTTTTCTAAATATCCAATCATGTCATCTGCAAACAGGGACAATTTGACTTCCTCTTTTCCTAATTGAATACCCTTTATTTCTTTCTCCTGCCTGATTGCCCTGGCCAGAACTTCCAACACTATGTTGAATAGGAGTGGTGAGAGAGGGCATCCGTGTCTTGTGCCAGTTTTCAAAGGGAATGCTTCCAGTTTTTGCCCATTCAGTATGATATTGGCTATGGGTTTGTCATAAATAGCTCTTATTATTTTGAGATACGTCCCATCAATACCTAATTTATTGAGAGTTTTTAGCATGAAGGGCTGTTGAATTTTGTCAAAGGCCTTTTCTGCATCTATTGAGATGATCATGTGGTTTTGCCTTTGGTTCTGTTTAATTGATTTTTGTATGTTGAACCAGCCTTGCATCCCAGGGATGAAGCCAACTGGATCGTGGTGGATAAGCTTTTTGATGTGCTGCTGGATTCAGTTTGCCAGTATTTTATTGAGGATTTTTGCATTAATGAAAGGGAGTTTATTAAGGAGAATTGATTCACATGATCACAAGGTAAAGTCCTACGATAGGCCATCTGCCAGTTGAGGACCAATGAAGCCAGTGGTGTATCAGTCCAAGTCCCAAACCCTCAAAAGTAGGGAGGCCCACAGTACAGGCTTCAGTCTGTGGCCAAAGGCCCAAGAGCCCCTGGCAAACCATTGGTATAAGTCAAAGAGTCCAAAAGCTGAAGAACTTGGAGTTTGATGTTTGAGGGCAGGAAGCATCCAGCACGGGAGAAAGATGAAGGCCGGGAGACTCAGAAAGTCTGCTCTTCCATCTTCTGCTGCCTGCTTTATTCTAGCTGCACTAACAGCTAATTAGATGGTGCCCACCCAGATTGAGGGTGGGTCTGCCTCTCCCAGTCCACTGACTCAAATGTTAATCTCCTTTGACAATACCCACACAGACAGACCCAGGAACAATACTTTGCATCCTTTGATCCAATAAAGTTGACACTCAATATTAGCCATCACAGAGGGGCATCCCCTAGTGTAACACACCTGGCATCTTTCCAAGCCTTCACTCCCTCCTCCCCTGGAAGGAGTAAATTAGCTGATGGTGAATTTTTAGGGGAAAACTAGATATGCAATTGTATGCATTTTCTAGAGCTACCATAAGAAAGCATCAATTTATTCTCATAGTTCTGGAGGCTGGAAGTCCAAGATCAAGGTATTGACAGGGTTGGTTTCTTCTGAAGGGTGTGAGGGAGAATCTGTTCCAGGCCTTTTTCCTAGCTTCTGGTGGTTTTCTGTCAATCTTTGGTGTTCCTTGGCTTGTAAAAGCATCACCCAGATCTCTGTCTTTATCTTCACATGCAGTCCTCCCTATGTGTTGCGTAAGTCCAAAATTTCCCTTTCAACAAGCACATTAGTCATATTGGATTAGGGGCCTACCCTGCTCCAGTATGGCTTCATCTTAACAAATTATGTCTACAATAAACCTATTCCAAAATAAAGTCACATTCCGACATACAGGTGATTAAAAGCTCAATATATGAGTTTGAGAGGAACACAATTCACTCCCAAACAGCATCCCAGCCCTTCTTCCTCCTTTCTCTTGGGAGAAAGCCTTGCCTCAATGTTCTTGACTGCCCTTGGACATACTGTATGATGATGGGTAAAGGCTGACTCTCATTGGGAAGACCTGAGTGTCTTCCCAGAGACAATATTTTCAGTGACAGAAAGAAAGAGTGTCAAATTCTGGGATTCAGAACACAAAAACATATGTGTCCATGAACATAAACCACATTCTCTAATATCAACTCTTTCATTTCTACAGGCAATGTTTTGTTCTCACATATACTTTCTCTTTTTTTTCATTCTTCAGTTGATTCAGAACTTGGGAGGGGAAAATGAGTTTAAATATCAATCCTCTCCCAAAAGGACTGTAACAGTTCCAGATGCAGCCATACCCTCTATGTCTGGGTGATTGAATTAATTGAGCCCCTTAGAGTTGAAGAACAGAGGACAAATTTCTGCATGGACTTATCATAATCAGTTGGGAAACACTTAAGCCTCCAGGCAAAAGAGACTTAGATGAGGATAGATTAATATGTGACCTATCTTTCTTTTGAGAGAAGGAGAAGGAGGTAGGGAGGCTGACCATTTAGACAGGTACACAGTGAGGGCCACCCCAAGTCTGTTGGAGTACTAGTCCTCACAAAGAGGTGACATTTGTGAGGTGACCACATTAAGAAAAGAAACAGAGGAGAAGAAACAGTTTTGGGAGAAATATGATAAATCTGGTCACAGCACGCTGAGTGTGAGGGTCTTAGGGAAAAGGCCAGTGAAGTCTATCTGTCCTCCGAGGAAGGTTGCATTTGGAGATAGGGATACTGTTAACCACATAGGGGACAGCTGACCCCATGGGAGAAAATGAGGTCACTCTTGGGTTCCATGGGGAATGGCGATAAGGACAGAGATCTGAGGATGTACCCTGGTGAAGAGTGAAGTGCGGAGGGTGAGACGAAGAGGAGGCTGGCCAGAAACAGTCCATGAAAACCTTCAACCACCAGAGTTCAGTGTTCTCACCATAATGCTAAGATGGCTCTTTCTCAGACTGAAGTCACACCTTTGAGTGCCCTCTCTTTGGAAAGGGGCATGTCTATGCTAATGTTAACCCCAGAATTATTGCATTGGGGGGATTATAGGCCTATAATTAATGCAAGTAAAGAGGTATAAACAGGGAAACAGGAACAGAGAAATTGCACAATATGGCTTCCAGACAGAAGAAGAGAAGATTTCCTTGATCTGGTCAGTGAGGAACCCAGAAATGGAAGGTCAGACTGTAAAATGAATAGTCCCTCCCTAGTGTCTCAGGATCTGTATGACATCATTACTATGCTAATAATGCAAATATATTAACTAAAATGTTAATCAGAAATTGTTGTGGAAGAAGCACTGGAGGCAGGGAATCAATTTAGAGACAATTGCCTTAATCAGACTGGGTCACGAGCCCCTACAAAAAGGGCAGTTGAAGAAACAGTGATGATGGACACCTTTTTGAGGGACACTGTTAAAATATGGGGCAGATATATGTTTTGTCTGGATCATAATTTCATGTCTTCTATCTATAAGCTATTGGTCAAAGAAAGTCTCACTATCTAAAGAAATGTCTGCTTTCAAAATCCAACTCTACTGCTCATCTGTTAAGGCTTCATTTATAAAAAGAGTTAGCTGAGATTTGTTCAGAGTTTCTTCTGTGCTATGTGCCTTGTATCTCTTAATGGCCAAATACAGGAATCATAATTTTTGCTCTGGCTTACATAAAAGAAAAATAAATAGAAGCTTTTTGACACTCACATTGCCATTTTGGAAAGTTTAAACATCCATGGACCACAGCAGAGTAGTACCTTTAAAGAAAATAACCTGAGCTGCCTGACTTGTCAACATTACCACTGATTACACATCTATTGGAAATTCCTCTCCCAGATGTCGTTTTATAAGATGGGATTTAGAAAAAATTGATCTTTGAAATATGTCTCTTTGTGTCTCTATTGAATTAGAACTCTGTAATTGGCGATTGGGGGACATCTTATTAGAAGCTCTTTTCTGAGGTATTCTTACCTTGACAAATCCATGTTGAATTTGATTCCAGGCTGGGTGCAGTGGTTCATGCTGTAATCCTAGCACTTTGGGAAGCCCAAGGTGGGTGAATTGCTTGAGCTCAGGAGTTCAAGACCAGCCTGCCCAACATGGTGAAACGCCATGTCTACCAAAAGTACAAAAATTAGCCAGATGTGGTGGTGCACACCTGTAGTCCCAGCTACTAGGGAGGCTGAGGCAGGAGAAGCGCTTGAACCCAGGAGGAGGAGGTTACAGTGAGCTGAGATGAGATTGCGCCACTGCACTCCAGCCTGGGTGACAGAATGAAACTCCATCTCAAAAAAAAAAAAAAAAAAAATCGACTCCAGCAGATATCCATATAAATTACACAATTAACTTTGTACATGGAAGTAAGCATTGGCTTTCTATATTTATACAAGCACTTCACTATATAAGTGATACAGTCAATGATAAATATAATTAGAATATTAAGGACAAATGTCTCCGAAATCATTGGTTTAGTTATTTATGGATTATACTGATTTAATTCAGGAAAACCAATGTGTTCTTGCCATCAATTTTCTCATGGCCTCTTTCACCTCCTTATTCCTGAGACTGTAGATGAGGGGGTTCAGCATGGGAATCACCACCGTGTAGATCACAAATGCCACCTTGACCTGATCCGCTGAATAGCTTGACTTGGGCATCACATAAACAAACAAAATGGTCCCATAGAACAAAGTGACTGCAGTGAGGTGGGAAGCGCAGGTGGAGAAAGCCTTCTTCCTTCCCTCAGTAGAGCACACCTTCAGGATGGAGTGAAGGATGTAGATGTAGGACACGATTATGGTAAACAGCGTGCTGATAAGGACAGATGCAGAGGAGATGGCAGGGGATATTTCAGCAATGTAAACATGGCCACAAGAAAGCTTCAAGAGTGGGAAGAGGTCACAGAAAAAGTGGTTGATTTTATTTGGACCGCAGAAGGACAGGTTCATCAAACAGCCTGTAAAAGACGAAGCGTTCAGGCATCCACCCAGGTAGGAGGCTCCCAGTAGGAGGAAGCAGACGACTGGGGGCATTTGGATGGAGTAAAGCAGGGGAGAGCAGATAGCCACATAGTGACCAGCAGGAAGCACTCTGTGGTTCCAAACATGACATCAGAGCCAAGCTGTGCTATACAGCCTGTGACAGGAATAGTCGTTTTCTCTCTTAAGAAATTGATGAGAATGATTGGCGTAACTGATATGGAATACCCAATGTCCACAGAAGCCAAATGGCTGAGAAAAAGGTACATTAGCGTGTGAAGCTGTGGGCTGCTTTGGATTAAGAGGATTATGCTAATATTTCCCGGTATAGTAACTATATAAACTGCTAGAAAAAACACGAAGAAAATGGCACATAGCATAGGATTGTCTGTTAATCCCAAAATAATGAACTCTGTCACTGTTGTATTGTTTTCAGTCTCCATCTATCCGTTTAACAGCGCCTATTAAAACCAGACCAGAGGAAATTAAGTTGGTTGAAATGACCCCACAGTTAATGTATATGCCTAAATGTGATCTTATTCAATTTTTAAAATGGTAACTTTGCCTTATAGAGTTTTTTTGCTCACAAATTTTCCTTTCAGATTCCATAAAATAAAACTGAAGACTCAATTTTCTTGGGATCCAGCCATTTTACCCCTATTTGTACACTTTAGAGTAAGTCTAATCACCATGTGCACAGGAGATACATAAAAATGTTTACAACAACATTTATTAAAATAACATAAACTGTTAACATATTAATAAATGTTCATAGAAAAGTCAACTCTAGACCAGGCATAGTGGCTCATGCCTGTAATCCCAGCACTTTGGGAGGCTGAGGGGGGGTGGATCATTTGAGGTCAGGAGTTCGAGACCAGCCTGGTCAACGTGGTGAAACCCCACCTCTACTAAAAACACAAAATTAGCCAGGTGTGGTGGTGGGTGCCTGTAATCCCAGCAACTCGGGCAGCTGAGGCAGGAGAATCGCTTGAACCCGGGAGGCAGAGTTTGCAGTGAGCTGAGATCGTGCCACTGCACTCCAGCCTGGGGGGACAAAGTGAGACTACCATCTCAAAAAAAAAAAAAAAGTCAACTCTTAATTTTCCATGCCCATCCCAAATATGTCTTTCTCAGTGCTCTCTATCTCAGTAAATGCTGCCTCGAGTTACACAATTAATTGGGCCTAAAAGTTGATTTTGACGTCTCTTTCTTTCTGACTTGCTCCTTTTCATAGAGTAAAAAAACAACATCCTTAGTTATAATAATTGACAACAAGAGCTAGATGATGTCTACATTTAAGATGAAGAGGTCAAATAATTTTTATTATTGTTAAAAGCTAAACATCCTAGATATTTTGCAAAATATCCAAAGACTTATCTCCTATACCATACCTTGTCATACATATGGGATTGTGTGAAGCAATAAGAAAAACCTAGGTATCATTATGGGCTAGGATTAAATGGAAAGTGAATGGAACTATTCGGGGATGTTTAGGTACGTCTTAGTTCCACCAGTTCTAACAGGCACCTATAGAGAAATAAGAAGTGTGGGAGTATTTGATGGGGACGGGAAAGTTAAACAGGTAGGGGAAGAAGTAGCCAGATAGAAAAGGTAGGAAGTCATATCGAAAAGAAGATTAATTGGCATTTCAAAATGATGGTCCCTTTGTTCACAATACAGCACATGATCAAGGAAAGGGGAGAATAGAGAAGTCATATTCATTCTTTCCCATGACTCTGATCTAAAGACCAACATATTCTTCAGAATAATTTGCTTTTTTTCAAGAAAGCCTATGTGAAGAATAATTTAAAAAACATACATACATAAATATCAGCAACCATGCTCTTACCCAAACACATTCTATCAAATTTCATTCAATCTAAATTACATGAGAATCATGACAACAGTATGGTCTAGTGGAAATAATACTAGGATTGTGTGCCTGAATTATTAAATTCTGGCTTTTTTTATATGTACAAACACCCAAACCAGATAATGAATTTAATATTTTTAAAGAAAATAAGTGCATGAAAGACACAAATGTTTTAAAGTTGAGTACAGTTGCCAGCATGGAAGACAAAGTGACCTGCAGAGACACCATGGACTTTGCAGCCATGCAAACCTGGAATCAGAGTTTTTAGTTCTGCCTCTCACAGTCTACGGAATCACAGGCAGGTTACAAAAACTTTATGATCTTCTGTTTCCTTACCTATAAAAAGATAATAATACATACTTCATATGATTCTTGTGTTAAAATATACAACGTGGGAAAACACCAAGCACTGTTTACACAATAAGTAGATGCTCAATTACTAAACTTTTGCTTGAAATAATCAACCTGTTTCTGGTACAGATAAAATAATCAAATATTCCTTAATCCTAAAAAATAAGTATAAACTCGTGATACATTTATTATAACACTGGGGATAGCCTCAAAGGAATTGTTATCATACATCAAGGCCATATTTAAGTGAGGTTTGGGTCATTTGGGATATTATTTACTTCAACTGTAATTACAAATTAATCACTTGTTTTGGAAAATTACATTGAGAATCCATTGGGGCAAAGAAATTATATGTACACATCTATTGGGACAGCGAAATAACCTGCCCACATGATCATATAAAGGCTTATGAATGAAGTATTTTCTACACACCCAAGCATTCCATGCATTTTTAAATTCAGTGATTTGAAAAAAAGAAATTATAACATTTTACTATTATTGAAGTTGCACTTCAGATCAACATGATTAATATGGTTGCAGCAATCTGTGGCACTTCTGAAATGTGGCTGTATTCAGTGGCCCAAGTTTTAAGGTCACTTATGTTTAGAAATCATCTGGGTTTGCCAGTTTAGTTTACAAACGTGTATAGAATAGAATTGCAATATTATTTTCAGCATGATGAGTAGCATACACTTTTTAAAAATTATTTGTGCTTTCCACATCTCATAGACTTGTTCTAGGACACTTGATACTTGGTGGTGGCACATATTTCTCTCACACACATTCTTCCCTTTCCTCATTGCCCACTTTAATCCACTAATATGTATGCTTTCCAATAGAACAATGATGCTTACACTAAAATTTTTTGTGACCCTGTCACACACAGCTGCCACATTGACTGGGAGGTTGCCATGGCACAACTGACTCTCATGGTGTTCCTGAACTATGGCTACATAACAGAATATTCTCTAGGTTGAAGGCCAAGTTCCTTTGGTCTTGTCCTTGAAGAGCCCGTACGTCAGCCCCTCCACATCAAGGGGATCTAACAGCTCAAACATATATGGATCTAATTTTATTATTTTGCATGTAGCTTTTCAGTTTTATCAGCATCATTTGTTGAAGAGTTTTTTTCCCCTCTATTGGCTAGTCATGGCACTCTGCACAAAGATCATTTGAGCATATATGCCTGAGTTTATATCTGGAATTCCTATCTATTCTTTTGGTTTCTGTCTGTCTTTATGCCAGTATCATACCATTTTAATTACTGTAGCTTTGTATTTTGAAATCATGAAGTGTGATGCCTCCAGCTTTGTCCTTCTTTCTGAAGATTGTTTTGGCTGTTTGGGGTCTTTTATGGTTCCATATGAACTTTGGGACAAATTTTTCAATTTCTGTGAAGAATTCCATTGGGATTTTGATAGGGATTGCCTTAAATATGTAAATCATTTTGTGTAGGATGGACATTTTTAACAATATTAAGACTTCCAATTCATGAACACAAGATGTCTTTTCATTTGTTTTTGTCATCTAAAATTTCATTCATCAATGTTTTGCATTTTCAGTCTACAAGTTTTTCACTTTCTTAGTTAAATTTAAACCTATGTATTTCACTCTTTTTGATGTTTTTGGAAATGGGATTATTTTCCTAATTTCTTTTTCTGATAGTTCATTGTTAGTGTCTAGAAAAGCAATTGAATTTATGTGATGATTTTGTGTTCTGCAAATTTAATGAATTCATTTGTCAGTTCTGATGGCTTTTTGGTTGAATCTTAATGGTCTTCTACATACAAGATCATGTCATAGGCTTACAGAGATAATTTTACTCCTTCCTTTTATATTTTAACAGCTTTATTTCTTTTCTTCCTTCATTCCTCAGTATTTCCAGTACTATGTTGAGTAAAACTGGTAAAAATGGACATCCTTGCCTTGTTCCTAATCTTAGAGAAAATGCTTTTAGTTTTTCACCATTTAGTATGATATTAGTTGTGAGTTTATAATATATGGCCTTCACTACTTTGAAGTAAATTTTTTCCATAGCTAATTTGTTGAGAGTTTTTCTCATGAAAGTGTGTTGAATTTTGTTAAATGATTTTTCCGCATCTATTGAGATGATTCCTTTTTAATTCATTTGGGGTTTTTTTGTTGTTGTTTTTTGTTTTTCTGAGACAGGGTCTCACTCTCTCCCCTAGGCTGAATGCAATGGCACCATCACTGGTCACTGCAGCCTCGACCTCCTGGTCTCAAGCAATCCTCCCACCTTAGCCTCCCAAGTCACTGGGACTACAGGCATGTGCCACCATGCCCAACTAATTTTTTTATTTTTCTAGAAATGGGGGGATCTCACTATGTTGCCCAGGCTGGTCTTGAATTCTGGACTCAAGCAATCTGCCTGCCTCAGATTCTCAAAGTGCTGGGATCATAGGTGTGAGCCAACGTGCCCAACTTGTTTTTTTTTTTATGCTTTATTCTGTGTCACATTGCTGTATCACATTGATCAATTTGTATATTTTGAATCAGCCTTGAATGCCAGGGATAAATTCTATTTGTTTATGGCATAGAATTTCTTTTTTTTTTTTTTTGAGACAGAGTTTCATTCTTGTTGCCCAGGCCAGAATGCAGTGGCACGATCTCAGCTCACTGCAACCCCCACCTCCCTGGTTCAAGAAATTCTCTTGCCTCAGCCTCCCAAGTAGCTGGGATTACAGGTGCCCGCCACCACACCCAGCTAATTTTTGTATTTTTAGTAGAGACGGGGTTTCACCATGTTGGCCAGGCTGGTCTGTAACTTCTGATCTCAAATCATCCACCTGCCTCGGCCTTCCAAAGTGCTGGGATTACAGGCATGAGTCACTGTGCCCGGCCAGAATTCTTTTTTTCTTTTCTTTCTTTTTTTTTTTAATGTGTTGTTGAATTTAGTTTGCTAGGAATTTGTTGAGAATATTTGCATCTATGTTCATCAGGGACATTGGAATGTAATTATATTTTCTTGCAGTGTTTTTGTCTGGCTCTGGAATCAGGATAATGCTGACCTCATAAAATGAATTTGGAAGTATTCACTCTTCAATTTTCAGAAGAGTTTGAGAAGGATTGGTGTTAATTCTTCTCTAAATATTTGGTAAAGCCCAGGTATTTTATTGGTTGGGAAGTTTCTGATTACTGTGTAATCTTCTTACTTATTGACTAATTCAGATTTTCTGCTTATTTATATTCAGTTTGGGCAAATTGTATAGTTGGTGTTAAAAGTAGTCTCTTAGGATCTGTTTTATTTCTGTGGAATCAGTTATAATGTTTTCTCCTTATTTCTAATCTTACTCATTTGAAACTTCCTTCATTCTTTTCTTAGTGTAGCTAAAGGTTTGTCAGTTCTGTCTACCTTTTTAAAAACCAATTATTAGTTTTGTTGATTTTTTCCTTTTTTCTATTTCATATATTTCGCTCCAATCTTTGTCATTTTCTTCCTTTTGCTAACTGTGGGCCTAATTTGTTTTTCTTTTTCTATTTCCTTGAGGTGTAAAGCTAAGTTAATCCAGATCTTCTTTGTCTCTGTAAAATTGCCTTTTAGTACTGTTTTGGCTGCATCCTACAAGAGTTTCTACATTCTGTTTTGTCTTCATTTGTCTCAAGATAATTTTTATTTGTCTTTTTGATTTCTTCTTTGACCCACTGGTTATTCAGGAGTGTGCTATTTAATCTCCATATATGTGTGGATTTTTTTTTTGTATTTTCTTTTTTTTTTTTATTATACTTTAAGTTTTAGAGAGCATGTGCACATTGTGCAGGTTAGTTACATATGTATACATGTGCCATGCTGGTGCGCTGCACCCACTAACTTGTCATCTAGCATTAGGTATATCTCCCAATGCTATCCCTCCCCCCTCCCCCCACCCCACCACAGTCCCCAGAGTGTGATATTCCCCTTCCTGTGTCCATGTGATCTCATTGTTCAATTCCCACCTATGAGTGAGAATATGCGGTGTTTGGTTTTTTGTTCTTGCGATAGTTTACTGAGAATGATGATTTCCAATTTCATCCATGTCCCTACAAAGGACATGAACTCATCATTTTTTATGGCTGCATAGTATTCCATGGTGTATATGTGCCACATTTTCTTAATCCAGTCTATCATTGTTGGACATTTGGGTTGGTTCCAAGTCTTTGCTATTGTGAATAATGCCGCAATAAACATACGTGTGCATGTGTCTTTATAGCAGCATGATTTATAGTCATTTGGGTATATACCCAGTAATGGGATGGCTGGGTCAAATGGTATTTCTAGTTCTAGATCCCTGAGGAATTGCCACACTGACTTCCACAATGGATGAACTAGTTTACAGTCCCACCAACAGTGTAAAAGTGTTCCTATTTCTCCACATCCTCTCCAGCACCTGTTGTTTCCTGACTTTTTAATGATTGCCATTCTAACTGGTGTGAGATGGTATCTCATTGTGGTTTTGATTTGCATTTCTCTGATGGCCAGTGATGATGACCATTTTTTCATGTGTTTTTTGGCTGCATAAATGTCTTCTTTTGAGAAGTGTCTGTTCATGTCCTTCGCCCACTTTTTGATGGGGTTGTTTGTTTTTTTCTTGTAAATTTGTTTGAGTTCATTGTAGATTCTGGATATTAGCCCTTTGTCAGATGAGTAGGTTGCGAAAATTTTCTCCCATTTTGTAGGTTGCCTGTTCACTCTGATGGTAGTTTCTTTTGCTGTGCAGAAGCTCTTTAGTTTAATTAGATCCCATTTGTCAATTTTGTCTTTTGTTGCCATTGCTTTTGGTGTTTTGGACATGAAGTCCTTGCCCATGCCTATGTCCTGAATGGTAATGCCTAGGTTTTCTTCTAGGGTTTTTATGGTTTTAGGTATAACGTTTAAATCTTTAATCCATCTTGAATTGATTTTTGTATAAGGTGTAAGGAAGGGATCCAGTTTCAGCTTCCTACATATGGCTAGCCAGTTTTCCCAACACCATTTATTAAATAGGGAATCCTTTCCCCATTGCTTGTTTTTCTCAGGTTTGTCAAAGATCAGATAGTTGTAGGTATGCGGCATTATTTCTGAGGGCTCTGTTCTGTTCCATTGATCTGTATCTCTGTTTTGGTACCAGTACCATGCTGTTTTGGTTACTGTAGCCTTGTAGTATAGTTTGAAGTCAGGTAGCGTGATGCCTCCAGCTTTGTTCTTTTGGCTTAGGATTGACTTGGTGATGCGGGCTCTTTTTTGGTTCCATATGAACTTTAAAGTAGTTTTTTCCAATTCTGTGAAGAAAGTCATTGGTAGCTTGATGGGGATGGCATTGAATCTGTAAATTACCTTGGGCAGTATGGCCATTTTGACGATATTGATTCTTCCTACCCATGAGCATGGAATGTTCTTCCATTTGTTTGTATCCTCTTTTATTTCCTTGAGCAGTGGTTTGTAGTTCTTGAAGAGGTCCTTCACATCCCTTGTAAGTTGGATTCCTAGGTATTTTATTCTCTTTGAAGCAATTGTGAATGGGAGTTCACTCATGATTTGGCTCTCTGTTTGTCTGTTGTTGGTGTATAAGAATGCTTGTGACTTTTGTACATTGATTTTGTATCCTGAGACTTTGCTGAAGTTGCTTATCAGCTGAAGGAGATTTTGGGCTGAGACAATGGGGTTTTCTAGATATACAATCATGTCATCTGCAAACAGGGACAATTTGACTTCCTCTTTTCCTAATTGGATACCCTTTATTTCCTTCTCTTTCCTAATTGCCATGGCCAGAACTTCCAACAGTATGTTGAATAGGAGTGGTGAGAGAGGGCATCCCTGTCTTGTGCCAGTTTTCAAAGGGAATGCTTCCAGTTTTTGCCAATTCAGTATGATATTGGCTGTGGGTTTGTCATAGATAGCTCTTATTATTTTGAAATACGTCCCATCAATACCTAATTTATTGAGAGGTTTTAGCATGAAGGGTTGTTGAATTTTGTCAAAGGCTTTTTCTGCATCTATTGAGATAATCATGTGGTTTTTGTCTTTGGCTCTGTTTATATGCTGGATTACATTTATTGATTTGCGTATATTGAACCAGCCTTGCATCCCAGGGATGAAGCCCACTTGATCATGGTGGATAAGCTTTTTGATGTGCTGCTGGATTCGGTTTGCCAGTATTTTATTGAGGATTTTTGCATCAATGTTCATCAAGGATATTGGTCTAAAATTCTCTTTTTTGGTTGTGTCTCTGCCCAGCTTTGGTATCAGAATGATGCTGGCCTCATAAAATGAGTTAGGGAGGATTCCCCCTTTTTCTATTGATTGGAATAGTTTCAGAAGGAATGGTACCAGTTCTTCCTTGTACCTCTGGTAGAATTCGGCTGTGAATCCATCTGGTCCTGGACTCTTTTTGGTTGGTAAACTATTGATTATTGCCACAATTTCAGCTCCTGTTATTGGTCTATTCAGAGATGCAACTTCTTCCTGGTTTAGTCTTGGGAGAGTGTATGTGTCGAGGAATTTATCCATTTCTTCTAGATTTTCTAGTTTATTTGCGTAGAGGTATTTGTAGTATTCTCTGATGGTAGTTTGTATTTCTGTGGGATCGGTGGTGATATCCCCTTTATCATTTTTTATTGTGTCTATTTGATTCTTCTCTCTTTTTTTCTTTATTAGTCTTGCTAGCGGTCTATCAATTTTGTTGATCCTTTCAAAAAACCAGCTCCTGGATTCATTGATTTTTTGAAGGGTTTTCTGTGTATCTATTTCCTTCAGTTCTGCTCTGATTTTAGTTATTTCTTGCCTTCTGCTAGCTTTTGAATATGTTTGCTCTTGCTTTTCTAGTTCTTTTAATTGTGATGTTAGGGTGTCAATTTTGGATCTTTCCTGCTTTCTCTTGTGGGCATTTAGTGCTATAAATTTCCCTCTACACACTGCTTTGAATGCGTCCCAGAGATTCTGGTATGTTGTGTCTTTGTTCTCGTTGGTTTCAAAGAACATCTTTATTTCTGCCTTCATTTCGTTATGTACCAAGTAGTCAGTCATTCAGGAGCAGGTTGTTCAGTTTCCATGTAGTTGAGCGGCTTTGAGTGAGATTCTTAATCCTGAGTTCTAGTTTGATTGCACTGTGGTCTGAGAGATAGTTTGTTATAATTTCTGTTCTTTTACATTTGCTGAGGAGAGCTTTACTTCCAACTATGTGGTCAATTTTGGAATAGGTGTGGTGTGGTGCTGAAAAATATGTATATTCTGTTGATTTGGGGTGGAGAGTTCTGTAGATGTCTATTAGGTCCACTTGGTGCAGAGCTGAGTTCAATTCCCGGGTATCCTTGTTGACTTTCTGTCTCGTTGATCTGTCTAATGTTGACGGTGGGGTGTTAAAGTCTCCCATTATTAATGCGTGGGAGTCTAAGTCTCTTTGTAGGTCACTCAGGACTTGCTTTATGAATCTGGGTGCTCCTGTATTGGGTGCATATATATTTAGGATAGTTAGTTCTTCTTGTTGAATTGATCCCTTTACCATTATGTAATGGCCTTCTTTGTCTCTTTTGATCTTTGTTGGTTTAAAGTCTGTTTTATCAGAGACTAGGGTTGCAACCCCTGCCTTTTTTTGTTTTCCATTTGCTTGGTAGATCTTCCTCCATCCTTTTATTTTGAGCCTATGTGTGTCTCTGAATGTGAGATGGGTTTCCTGAATACAGCACACTGATGGGTCTTGACTCTTTATCCAATTTGCCAGTCTGTGTCTTTTCATTGGAGCATTTAGTCCATTTACATTTAAAGTTAATATTGTTATGTGTGAATTTGATCCTGTCATTATGATGTTAGCTGGTTATTTTGCTCGTTAGTTGATGCAGTTTCTTCCTAGTCTCGATGGTCTTTACATTTTGGCATGATTTTGCAGCGGCTGGTACCAGTTGTTCCTTTCCATGTTTAGCGCTTCCTTCAGGAGCTCTTTTAGGGCAGGCCTGGTGGTGACAAAATGTCTCAGCATTTGCTTGTCTGTAAAGTATTTTATTTCTCCTTCACTTATGAAGCTTAGTTTGGCTGGATATGAAATTCTGGGTTGAAAATTCTTTAAGAATGTTGAATATTGGCCCCCACTCTCTTCTGGCTTGTAGGGTTTCTGCCGAGAGATCCGCTGTTAGTCTGATGGGCTTCCCTTTGAGGGTAACCCGACCTTTCTCTCTGGCTGCCCTTAACATTTTTTCCTTCGTTTCAACTTTGGTGAATCTGACAATTATGTGTCTTGGAGTTGCTCTTCTCGAGGAGTATCTTTGTGGCGTTCTCTGTATTTCCTGAATCTGAACTTTGGCCTGCCTTGCTAGATTGGGGAGGTTCTCCTGGATAATATCCTGCAGAGTGTTTTCCAACTTGGTTCCATTCTCCCCATCACTTTCAGGTACACCAATCAGACGTAGATTTGGTCTTTTCACATAGTCCCATATTTCTTGGAGGCTTTGCTCAATTCTTTTTATTCGTTTTTCTCTAAACTACCCTTCTCGCTTCATTTCATTCATTTCATCTTCCATTGCTGATACCCTTTCTTCCAGTTGATCGCATCGGCTCCTGAGGCTTCTGCATTCTTCACGTAGTTCTCGAGCCTTGGTTTTCAGCTCCATCAGCTCCTTTAAGCACTTCTCTGTATTGGTTATTCTAGTTATACATTCTTCTAAATTTTTTTCAAAGTTTTCCACTTCTTTGCCTTTGGTTTGAATGTCCTCCCGTAGCTCAGAGTAATTTGATCGTCTGAAGCCTTCTTCTCTCAGCTCGTCAAAGTCATTCTCCATCCAGCTTTGTTCCGTTGCTGGTGAGGAACTGCGTTCCTTTGGAGGAGGAGAGACGCTCTGTGTTTTAGAGTTTCCAGTTTTTCTGTTCTGTTTTTTCCCCATCTTTGTGGTTTTATCTACTTTTGGTCTTTGATGATGGTGATGTACAGATGGGTTTTTGGTGTGGATGTCCTTTCTGTTTGTTAGTTTTCCTTCTAACAGACAGGACCCTCAGCTGCAGTTCTGTTGGAATACCCTGCAGTGTGAGGTGTCAGTGTGCTCCTGCTGGGGGGTGCCTCCCAGTTAGGCTGCTCGGGGGTCAGGGGTCAGGAACCCATTTGAGGAGGCAGTCTGCCGGTTCTCAGATCTCCAGCTGCGTGCTGGGAGAGCCACTGCTCTCTTCAAAGCTGTCAGACAGGGACATTTAAGTCTGCAGAGGTTACTGCTGTCTTTTTGTTTGTCTATGCCCTGCCCCCAGAGGTGGAGCCTACAGAGGCAGGCAGGCCTCCTTGAGCTGTGAATCAAGCCTGGGCAATGGCGGGCGCCCCTCCCCCAGCCTTGCTGCCTCCTTGCAGTTTGATCTCAGACTGCTGTGCTAGCAATCAGCGAGACTCCGTGGGCGTAGGACCCTCCGAGCCAGGTGTGGGATATAATCTCGTGGTGCGCCGTTTTTTAAGTCAGTCAGAAAAGCGCAGTATTCGGGTAGGAGTGACCCGATTTTCCAGGTGCGTCCGTCACCCCTTTCTTTGACTCGGAAAGGGAACTCCCTGACCCCTTGCGCTTCCCAGGTGAGGCAATGCCTCGCCCTGCTTCGGCTCGCGCACGGTGCGTGCGCCCACTGGCCTGCGCCCACTGTCTGGCACTCCCTAGTGAGATGAACCCGGTACCTCAGATGGAAATGCAGAAATCACCCGTCTTCTGCGTTGCTCATGCTGGGAGCTGTAGACCGGAGCTGTTCCTATTCGGCCATCTTGGCTCCTCCCTCATATGTGTGGATTTTTAAGTTTTCCTTCTGTTATTGATTTCTAGTTTTATCTCATTGTAATCCAAAAAGATACTTGTTAAGATATCAATCTTTTAAAATTTGTTAAAAGTTATTTTGTGACCAAACATGAAATAAATCCTGTAGCATGTTTCATGTGCAGTTGAGAAAAATATGAATTTTCGATGCTGTTGGTTGGAATGTTTTGTATGTCTGTTAGGAAAATTTGGTGTATAGTGTTGTTCAAGCCTCCTGTCTCCTTGTTGATTTTCTGTCTAGATATTCTATCCATTATTGAAGGTGGCTGTTAAAGTCTTCTTCTACTGTTATTGTATTAATTTATATTTCAGGTGCTCTGATGTTGTGTGCATGTATTTATAATTGTTATATCTTCCTGATACATTGGACTTTTTATTATTATATAGGGACCTCCTTTGATTCTTATAACAGTTTCTGACCCAAAGTCTGATATATGTATGGTCAACCCTACTCTCTTTTAAAAAAATTTTTAAAATTATTTTAGATTCGGGGGTACATGTGCAGGTTTGTTACCTGGGTATATTGCATAATGGTGAAGTTTGGGCTTCTAGTGAATTTGTCACCCAAACAGTGAACATTGTATCCAATAGATAATTTTTTAGACCTAATACCTTTTGGAGTCCCCAGTATCTATTATTTCCATCTATATGCCTGTGTGTACCCTTTGTTTAGCTCCTACTTATAAAGGATATGCACTATTTGATTTTCTGTTTCTGAGGTATTTCACTTAAAATAATGTCCTCCAGGTTCATTCTTGTTGCTGCAAAAGACGTGCTTTCATATTTTTTATGGCTGGGTAGTATTCCATGGTATATACATACCACATTTTCTTAATCCAATCAACTGTTGATAGACACTTGGGTTAATTCCATGACTTTGTTATTGTGAATAGTGCTGCAATAAACAAACAAGCTCAGTGGTCTTTTGTTATAATGATTTATTTTCCTTTAGGTAGATACTCAGTCACGGGATTGCTGGGCCAAATGGTAATTCTGTTTTTAGTTCTTTGAGAAATCTCCATGCTGTTTCCCTTAGCAGTTTTACTAACTTACATCCTCATCAACAGTGTATAAGCATTCCCTTCTTCTCTGCGTCCTCATCAACATCTGTTATTTTTTGACTTTTTAATTATAGCCATTCTGACTAGAGTGAGATAGTGTCTCATTGTATTTTTGATTTGCATTTCTTTAATGATTAATGATGTCGAGCATTTTTTCATATGCTTTTTCATATGCTTTTTTCATATGCTTGTTGGCCATGTGTATGTCTTCTTTTTAGGAATGTCTGCTCATGTCCTTCACCCACTTTTTAATGAGGCTAGTTGTTTTTTTCTTGTTGATTTGAGTTCCTTACAGATTCTGGATATTAGCCCTTTGTTAGATGCATAGTTTGCATATATTTTCTCCCATCCTGAGGTTGTCTGTTTACCCTGTTGATTATTTATTTTACTGTGCAGAAGCCCTTTAATTAAGTCCCATTTGCCTATTTTTGTTTTCGTTGCATATTCTTTTGTGGTCTTAGTTACAAATTCTTTGCCAAGGCCAATTTCCAGAAGAGTTTTTGCTAGGTTTTCTTCTAGAGTTTTTACAGCTTCATGTCTTACATTTAAGTATTTAATCCATCTTGAGTTAATTTTTGTATATAGTGAGAAATAGTGGTCCAGTTTCATCTTTCTGCAGATGGCTGGCCATTTTTCCCAGCACCATTTATTGATTAAGGTATACTTTTCCCATTGTTTATTTTTGTTGACTTTGTCAAAGATCAGGTGGTTGTATGTGTGTGATTTTATTTATGGGTTCTTTATTTTGTTTCACTGATCTATGGGTCTATTTTTGTACCATGATGATTTGGTTATTATAGCCTTGTAGTATACTTTGAAGTGAGGTAATGGGATGCTTCCAGCTATATTACTTTGCTTAGTATTGATTTGGCTATTTGGGCTTTTTTTTTGTCCCATATGAATTTTAGCATTTTTTCTAATTCTGTGAAATACTACACTGACAATTTCATAAAAATTACATTGAACCTGAGGATTGCTTTGGGCAACATGGTCATTTTAATGTTGGTTCTTCCAATCCATGAGCATGGGATTTTTTTTATTTGTTTATGTCACCTACAATTTCCTTCATCAGTGTTTTGTAGTTCTCCTTGTAGAGGTCTTTTGTCTCCTTGGTTAGGTGTATTGTTAGGTATTTTAATCTTTTGTGGCTATTGTAAATGGGATTGAGTTCTTGATTTGGTTCTAAGCTTGAGTGTCATTGGTATATAGAAATTCAGCTGATTTTTGTACATCAGTTTGTATTGAAACTTTACTGAAGTTGTTTATCAAGTCTAGGGTCTTTTGGAGGAATCTTTAGGGTTTTCTGGTTACAAGATCATGTAATCAGTGAACAGAGATAGTTTAAACCTGACAAAATCCTGAATAGACCCATAGCTAATTTCATACTTAACGGCCAAAGACTAGATGCTTTTCCCAGATATGAGGAACAAGACAAGAATGTCTGCTCTTGCCACTTCTAGTCAACATTGCAGTGGAGGAAGTAAGGCAATTAGCAATAACAAGAAATAAAAGGCATCCAGATTGAAAAAGTAGAAGTAAAACTGTATTTGCAGATGACATGATTTCATAGAAAACATAAACATATAGAAAACATAAACATATAGAAAACATAAACATATAGAAAAAATATAGAAATCCATTAAAATTATAGGGATGAATAAATGAGTCCAGACAACTTGTAGGATATAGGATAAATATAAAAAGTCAATGGTATTTCCTTGCACTAGCAATGCAAAATCTAAAAATGAAATTAAGAACACAATTCCATTTACAGTAATATCAATTTTTTAATGCTGATAGGAATGAAATAAAACCTAATGAGTGAAAAAGTCCTATGCTTATGAATTGGAAGTCTTAATATTATAAAGATGGAAATACTCCCCAAATTTATCTGTAGATTAGACAAAATCCCTATCAAAGTCCTAGATGGTTTCTTTATAGAAATTGACAAGATTATAAAATGTATATAGAAATGCAAGTGACCCCAAATATCCAAAACAATCTTGAAAAACAAGAACAAACTTGAAGAATTCACACTTCCCAATTTTAATACTTACTATAAAACAACACTAATCAAGGCCAGGCACAGTGGCTCATGCCTGTAATCCCAGCACTTTGTGAGGCCAAGGTGAGTGGATCACTTGAGGTCAGGAGTTCAAGACCAGCCTGGCCAACATGGTGAAACCCCATCTTGACTAAAAACACAAAAATTAGCCAGGCATGGTAGCAGGTGCCTGTAATCCCAGCTACTCAGGAGGCTGTGGCAGGCGAATTGTTTGAACCCGAGAGGCAGAGGTTGCAGTGACCCATTGTGCCACTGCACTCCAGCCTGGGCAATGGAGTGAGACCCTGTCTCAAAAACACACAACAGCGACAAGCAACACTAATCAAGACAGTGTGTACTGGCAAAAGGAAAGGCATATAGATCAGTGGAATACAATTGAGGTCAGAAATGAACCCATGTGTCTATGGTCAACAGGTTGTCTATAAGGGTGTCAAGAATATTCAGTGGGGTAATGAATAATCCTTTCAATAAATGGTGCTGGGTCATTTGAATATCCCCATGTAAAAGAATAAGGTTGGACCCTTATCTTAACCCACATACAAAAGTTAATTCAAGTGGATCAAAGACCTAAATGTAAGATTTAATACTACAAAACTCTTAGAAGAAAGCATAGGGGAAATTCTTCATGATCTTGGATTAAGCAATAGATTCTTAGTTATGACATCAAAAGCATGAGCAAAAAAAAAGAAAAAAGAAAGATAAATTCCACCATATTAGAGTTAAAAACTTTTTTGCTTCAAAGGAAACTATAAAGAAAGGGAAGAAACAACCTACAGAATGGAAGGAAATATTTGCACATAGTATATCTGATCAAGGATGTTATCCAGAATCATTTAAACAATCTAAATTCAATACAAATCCCCCAATTAAAAATGGGAAGAGAATTTGAATATGTATTTCTCTAAATTAGACATACAAATGATTAATAAATATATAAAAGATCCTTGATGTCATCTGTCATTAGAAAAATATAATTCAAACCCAGAATAATATATTGCTTCACACTCCCTATAACCATGTGAACAACGTAGCCTCAAAATTCCTTCACCAGCATACATCATCTAATCTTCCACAATTCACTTCAGAACTTCCCTACCAGGGCCATGATCTGTCAGCAGTAATAGCACTTTCCACCACTGTGAGGTTCATAAATTAGAAGCTGTTTATTTTTATGCTCTAAATCAATTTAAATAGCATTTGAATTATTTGTTCCTTGAGTATTTAAACAAATTAATTATTAAACTATCTGCTCTAATGCTTTGTGGGAGAGAACAGGAAAACATGTCTTTGACGGATTTCTCAAAAATTTCCATGGAAATTGGTATGTCAAAAAATGTCTGTTGCTTTTGGGGTCATTTTGTAAGCTTATTTTTTCCATAAATGCATTCATGTTTTTTTCTAATTTTCAAATTTGTTTGAATAAATTTGAACAAAGTATTCTCTTAAATTGCTTTTAATTTTCTCTATTTTAATCACATCCTCATTTTCATTTTCAACTTTTTGTGTTTGTACTTTCTCCCTCTTTTCGGATTAATTATACTAGTCAACTCGATTTTTTTCTTTTCCTTCTTCCCTTCCTCCCTTCCTCCTTTCCTCCCTCCCTCCCTTCCTACCTTCCTCCCTTCCTTCCTTCCTCCCTTCCTTACATTCTCTCTCTCTTCCTTGCTGTCTTTCTGTCTTTAGTATCATAATTTTCTTTCTTCCCAAAAAGCAACTGCTATCATTAAAATACAGTGTTCTAAAGCAATATGTACCCTGAATGGATATGTGTACATACACACATGCACACACACATAAACACACACACATAACATTTAAAAACATTTTAAAACTGCATCCTCTCTGTAGTAGGAAAATGGTGAGGCCAGGACATATCAGGAAATTAGACAATACTTTAACCACTTTGTGCACAAAGTGATATTAATTAGAAGTACTCCACTTTTCTCACCTTTATTTATCAATGCTGTGTAATTTTTTTAAATGTTCAGGCTCTTTTTTTGTCTTCTGAGGGAAAACCCCAAATACACTGCCTAGTGTTTTTCTTAGGGCTATCTGCATTTCTTTGTTTCTCAGACTGTACACGATGGGGTTAAGCAGAGGCATCAGTATTGTATATATCATGGCCGTCAGCATGTCTTCATCGAAGGAGTTGCTGTTCTTGGGCCTCAAATAGACAAAGCAAGCAAATCCATAGTGTATGGACACAACAGTGAGGTGGGAGGAGCAAGTTGAGAAGGCCTTAGACCTCCCCTTTGCAGAGGGCATCTTTATGACTATGAACACAATGAAGACATAGGAAATCATAATTAAAATACAGCTGCCCACCAACACAAAGGCAGAGAGCACAAAAATAGCCATTTCATGATAGAAAGTGTAATTACAAGCAAGGGAGACCACTGGTGAGATATCACAGAAATAGTGCTGGATAGTGTTCAAGTCGCAAAGAGACAAGTTGAATACAGTGACGATGATGCACAGAGAAAACAGGAACCCAACCATCCAAGAAGCCATCATCATCTGCAAGCAGATCTTTCTTGTCATAAGGGTGTGGTACTGCAGTGGGTTGTGGATGGCCGTGTAGCGGTCGTAGGACATAGCGGCCATGATGAAACAGTTGTTGGATGCAAAGCCCAGAAAGAAAAACATCTGTGTGGCACACTCAGGAAGAGAAATGGTCTTGCTCTCTGATAGAAAGTCCACCAACATGCGAGGGATTACTACCACAGTGGTACAAGTTTCTGAAAAGGACAGGCCACAGAGGAAAAAGTACATAGGAGTGTGAAGGTTGTGGCTGAGCTTGATGGCCCCCATTATGGACACGTTTGCAGCTAGGATGGTCACATGTAGAAGAGAATCACCACAAAAAGTAGACTCTGCAGGTCTGAAAAACTGGAAAATCCCCACAGAAGGAATAGGCTCACTGCAGTGTGATTGCCCATCCTCCTGGTGGGCACGGCCACTGTCTATCAATGGTGCAGAGGGGCTCTTGGTCACAAGTCTGAGATCACTGTATAAAGCTTCTTATGCACTGATTTACCTGTATTTTATTCAGGGGACCTGGGCAAGTGTCAGGCAACTCTTAGAGAACCTGAGGAAAGGGAGTTAAATGCACCTGGAAAGAGGTCAAGGTCAGGAGCCTGAGTGAAGAGAAGAATGATTCTAATATGATAATATGTATAGATGACATAGAGTGGGCCCAAATACCTATACCTGGATTTTACCCCAAAAGCACTGTTTATCTCTCTTTTCTCCATTCTGGATCTGCAAGGAAGACACAAAATATGAATGAAAGTTTTTTGATCTCACCTACTGGATTTTGAGATGCTATATTTATCAAATGCTTTTTGTGATTTAGCGGTACCCTAGCACTCATGGGCGCTTAAAATAAACTGTTGATTGAATGAATAAAATAATTCCATCATTTAAAATTAATAAAACACTTAGAAAATTCTGAGAGATCAGTAAATATTTCCAAAAGAACATTCGCGTTTCTTTCAATGCAATCCTATCTTCATCAGTGCTCCCCAAAGTGTAGTGGTTCTGAGGGTGACATTTATGTCAACAACTAGAGCAGACAAATCAATTTAACATGTTTTATCTTCTGGGTTTCTATATGTGGTAATAATTAAAGCTTGAGACATGCAATATCAATTTTTTTTATTACAATAGTTCTTAAGACATACCATTAATTTTTAAGTTCTTAACATCTCTTTGAAGTTCTTTGAACATTTTTTGAAGTGTCTAATATAATATAATGGACTAACTTAGATTTAATATAATTTTGAAGATACTGACTCATTCCAGAATGTCATATTCTGATCAATTTTTGTGTTTTTAGCAGAACCTCCAGAACATTTGCCAGCTAATGTACTTAGGTAGTTTGCTTTGCAACAAGCCTGAAAAGAACTAAATCAAGTTCCTCAGATAAATTTTGCCAGTAATATTTCTATTTTGATTGTTCAACATATAATCTGCTTAGGAGATGAGGGCAGAAAAGTGATATGAAGACTCTTCATAGAATTTTTATTTTAATTTCAGTCACGGTTAAAGGTGGAGGGAAAGAAATGAGGAAGCAGGTATGAGAATGAAGGGCTGGGAGAGAAAAAAGAAATACTGGCTGAAATTATTTTGAAAGATTCATCAAGACTAATGACAAAATAAGACAAAACAATTGTATTGTTAGTTGAGGAGTTGTCTTCTATGTGCATTGCATTTACAGGCAAAGAATACAAGAAGAGTCAGGGCAGGTAACCAGCACCTACTCAATGCCAATAATGTATTAGACAATATGCTAGGATTAGACAAAACTGTCTCATGTAATTCTTACAAGGCTATGTGAAGAATTTTTGTTTTCATTTTACAAAATGTGAAAGCAAGGTAGGGAGTGGTTACACGACTATCAAAGGCCATGAATTTATTCCATATATATTGACTAGATGCCAATAATGTGTCCAGCAGTTGTATGCATAGGAAGCACAACATGGAACCAGACATGTAGGATTTCTGTGATGTGAGAGTGCATAACTACTGTCGTTTGTGGAATTTGAAAGCCCTCTCTGAGGAGGTGAAACACTTAAATGGAGAATAGAGTGACAATATGTAAACAATATATGATGATCAGGGGGAGAATACTGCAGGTACAAAGCACAGATAACACAAAGACCCTTAGGTGGAAAACAAATATACCCAAGCATTCTTCAACCAAGACTCATATTGTTTATTTTTTAGTTTACTCCTCCACAGACTCTTTCCTCTGAAGGTTTCTCAGATGATTTACCTCTAAAGGAAAATCTTTCCCATTTTTATTGTTTCAGAACCACTTACTTTGTATGACTCTCCAATTTCAGCCTCTGTCAAAAAAGGATCTCCAATTTCAGCCTCTGTCAAAAAAGGATCTCCAATTTCTTCTGGGACATCTCCAATTCCAGAATGTCCTCCAAGTATTGAATACAGATGTTTAGAGCAAAATTGGCCATATTCCCTTACATATCGGGTTTTCCTCCTGTGTTTCCTATTTGAGTTATTTACAGACATTGGAGAGTTACCATTAGGTTGCATTTCTTATTCCTTCCACATCTTTTACCCCAATGAGTTACTTCCAAAATTCCAGATATCTGTTTTCCAACATCTTAACCTTCTTTTTAGCCCCTCTGCTGTTGCCCTGTATCTGTCCCATAGGGTGAGCATGGTATCTCCTTCTCCCAGTTCTATCCTTCACCTACTGCCAGCTTATTTATGTCACACCTGTGACCATGCTATGTCTCCTCATTATAGATGTCTTTTGGATCCCTTTTGCCTACAAGCTAGATGATACTAATAACCTATACTCTTTATTATATGTTTTGGTTACACAGTCTTGTATATACTCATAGCTACCCTAACATATAAGTACTATTACAATGACCTTATTTGCAATTAGGAAATTGTGGCTCAGAGAGGTACCTGATTTGCCAAAAGTGAGATAGGTGGTAATGTACGTGCGTGACATATTTACAGCAAGGCAGTGAGAGTCTAGAGGACTACATGTTTAGCTAGTTGATTCAAAGGGGAATTCCACCTAGCATGGCTTCACGATCTTACCTGTCTATCCTCATTTCCTACCGCCAACTTCTCCTACAAAAGAAACATCCCACTATTTCCCAAATACAGCATGTCCTTTTGGGGCTCATCTACTATATCCATGTTATTTTCTCTAAGTTGCAATGTCTTTCCTGCCCTTGTCTGCCTCCTAAAAACATAGCTTTCTCAAAATGAAAATTTATCACTTCTCAGAAGACTCTCTAAATTAGCCTAGCTATGTTATTCACCTTTTAGATTCAGATACCATTTTATTGTAATAAGACATTTTTTACAAGCTTGGCTTCTATACTAGACAGGACAAAGACCTGTGTAAAATTTTGTCTCCCCCAACTTTCAGCCTAAGCTGAGCGCAATGTTGGCTTTGACTAAGGTTAGTTCAATGGCTATAGGATAAAATAGGATCTCATATTCTTCAGAAAGCCTTCCATGATTATTCCATGATTATTACTTCAATTCATCTATTAATTCTTCCCCAATACATTGTTTGAGCTCTTTCGCATTTATTTTATTTAGACATGCACTAAAGATAGTTGGCTGCTTTCTAAGTGGATTTTAAGTATCTTGTCGCCTAGCAATGTGAATGCAATAGGTGCTTTCTAAATGCTTGCCTAATTGCACTAATGAACGTTGAATAACATCGAAAACAAACAAACAAGTTCTGAAAACTTCAGCAGTGGTTTCTTAGAGCCTAGGAGAAAGAAACTATCATTTTTACATTCTAGACACTCCCCTTATTTACTATAATATTAAATCATGCTTGACTTATAAATGGTCATATTAGAATCACTAGGAGAGCTTTATCAAAGAATATATTTCCACATACACACACACCCACAAGTTATTGGCAAGTATCTCCAAGGAGAAAATCTCCAGGTTATCAGGATATGTATAGTTTGCGCAATCTTTCTCAGTGATGTTGGTTGGGAGCATTTGACTTTTGTGATACTTTTCACATATGTTGATGGTAAAGTCTGCTTTCCTCGTTATTTAAGTATAGTAATGACAAAAGGTATGTCCATATGACATTACCTGCTTCCTTCCCAATGACCCTGGCAGCTTCTGGCGAACAAGATGCCCCTAACATTGTGTCAGCCTTTCTGTTTGGTTTGCCCAAGTCTTACCCTCTTTCTATACCTGGCTTTTGCCTTGAGTTTGCCATCCTGGTCTCTGTTTTTAGTTCTTCAAAGCCCTCCTCATGCAGTTTTCTGGGTTCTGTCTTTACCAACAATAAGAAACAGACAACATTCTTAATTTCCAGCTGTCTGTGCTCATAGTTTCTTCAATACTACTGAAGAATAGTAGAATATTCAAAATACTTCAATTTCTAACAGGCTATAAACACCCACAGATACTTGATTATTAGAACATATAGAATGAAATTATGTACATTGTAAAAAGTAAAACAAAAAAACCCCAAACTCTAAAATTCCTACCTTCTAAAGAAGGAGAATCACCTTCCAGTTTCTTAAAATCATGAAGTACTTAAGCTGTAGGAATAATGTACAGTCTCACAACTCAGGTGCGGCTTTCTGCAGTTCTTCCTGTCATTTCACTTATCATTCAAGGATAAGTGTTAAAGCAACTTTTCCCCTTGAATGCCTATGATCAGTCCCCTCTGAATTTAGAGTCACCTATACATAAAAGGTAGTGTTGTCTTCATTTCTTGGAGATGGAGCTCAGAACCATGAAGATTTTAATGAGAGTCCTGGGACCACTGAGACCACTATCTTGCAACTACTGATTTAGATACCACAAGTCTTGACCTCTATATCACTCTGTGATGCTCACAAATATGTTTTCTTAAATCCTCACACACCATAGGAGCTTTTCAATGATATTTGCTCCTGTTCTTCTGAATAACAGTAGAAATGATTGAAATTCAACTTGTTAAAAATATACCTTAGAAAGTAGAGGATGCCTTTGGGCGTATTTTACTTCCTGCACAATAGCATTTATTTTATGATTCTGAAAATTTGCGAGGTCTTTCAGGTCTTTTCAACCTTATTCACAGGGCAAGGGAATGGGTCATCATTAGACGCTATTGCCTGGGGAAACAAAAGAAGGAAGGCAAGAAGAAAACAAACACACAGTATGATCACTGTGATTTTTTTTTCTCATGGGACAACTTTGCTGTAGAAGACCTTGCTGAAAAGGAATATCCACTATTATCCAAACCTCCAGTTACTGCACTGCCATCTGTAATATTCACAGGTGGCTTCGAATTGCCCCTGTCATCAGATTGTCCCTCAGGGTCTTTGCCATCTGTAACAATCTTCTACCTAATGTATTATCAAGTCTTGTCTCCAATATCTGTTCTCATCCTCTCAATACTTCAGGCAAACCAATGCACTATATTCTAATCAAATTCTGCATTTTCCTCATTCTGTTTTCTGTTCCTTCTGTCTGAAAAATCTCTGTTCTTGATTTTACCCAACCGAAATCTTGCTCATTCTTCAAGGTTCAGAACAAATGCCACATCATCCAAGAAACCCCTAGCTTGCATAATGTATAAAAACTGAGACAGAAATTGTTGTCATTAAGAAGGAATTCTATAACGGGAGGCACTTACTTTGGGTAACTTGCATTGGGTACCAGAATATCAATACTAACAGAGTCAGTGTAACAGTGTAGGTAGCTGTACATAATAAATAAGACTTGTTGAAACTAAGCAGACATTTTACTGACTTTCCTGGATCTCCCTTACCAGAGCAGTAAATACATCCCCAAGCTTCTTCGAGAGCCAGCTTCTAACATATATAAACCTCTCTTTTGAGAATTGCTCTTAGCCAAAAGGAAGATAAGTGACTGGAAATAGATGGGAGTGCATGCCCTCACACCCAGGGTGGCCCATAGCCAAAAATGGAATGCTATGGTGATTTTAAAACAATGGCAGAAATGTCCTATTGTTGCAAGCTAGAACCACTCCAAAGTGCCAATCATGCTCCAGTACTTCCTGGGGAATCAGACTGAAGCTACTTTCAGCTGACTCCACACCTTTCTCTGGCATATTCCCATGCTTTGTCCTGCTTCTCTCTCACTCTTAGTTTTCTCCTGAGATCACTCTTTTACTAAATCACACGCATTTGAATTGGTAAGGTTCTGCTTTTGCAGAACTTACCATAAAACAGTCTTAATAAATACACAGGAATAAAGACTGCTTATACTTTTTAATACACACTCAAAATTTAAAAATAATAAAGTATATCTAGTGACTAAAGATAGTGAAAAACAAAACAACAACAAAAACAAAAACAAAATAATGAACTATCAACAGTACCTACCCTCTCCCATCTTGAACCACTGTCTGTTTTGTATTCTGCAATGTCACACTCCTGCTTTGGGCCCTTTTCTACCACTTTTGTCTTTTTCATGTTTGGTAGGGAGTGAAACTTCACCAACTTGAAGGAGCACCTCACAGTGACCATGGCCCTTCTTCAGCTCTCATCACCAAGGACCACATAGTTACCGAGGTTGCCAACCCCAGCTATATGAGTCAATCAGACACAATACACACTGAGACCCAAAGTCACCATATGCCCCTTCATTTGGTACCTCATTCATTCCAGTAGGTCTAGCCCCCTGCAGGTGAAGGTCTTTACTTTTAAAAGTCAGTTCATGAATTTTGGAGGGGATGACTGCTTCTTCAAATGCATAGACACCTACACAAAGTTACAAGAATCACAGAGAATCAGGAAAACATGACGCCACCAAAAGAACACAATAAACTTCCAGTAATTGTCCTCAAAAAAATGGAGATCCACAAGTTGACTGAAAAAGAATTTGAAATAATTGTTCTAATGAAATTCAGGGACTAGAAAAGAATACAGATAAACAATTTAACAAAATAAGGAAAAAAATAAAAAAATAAGAATTCAAGAGATAGGAAAACACTAAAAGAAACAAATTTTGAGCTAAAAATACAATAACTGAATTAAAAAATGCAATAGAGTTCTTCAACAGCGGACTCACTCAAGAGGAAGAAAAAATCAGGAAAATCAGACAGGTCATTTGAAATTATCAGAGGAGAAAAAAGGAAAAGAATAAAAAAATGAAGAAGTCTTTGGGCTATGTGGAACACTTCAAGAGAGCTAACTTTGTATTAGGGGAGTTCCAAAAGGAAAAGAGGGAGAGAATGGGGCAAAAAGTTTCCTGTAAGAAATTATGGCTGAAAACTTCCCAAATCTGGGGAGAGACCCTCATCCCACACTGTATATAAAAATTACCTCAAATGGATTAAAGACTTAAACATAAGACCTAAAACTCTAGAACTACTAGATTAAAACATAGGAGAAAATCTCCATGACATTGATCTGGTCAATGAGTTTTTGGATATGACCCCCAAAACACAAACAACAAAAGCAAAAATAGATAAATGGAATTACATAAAACTAAAAAGTTTCAGCATGGCAAAGGGAAAAATCAGCAGAAAAAGGAGACAACTAATGAAATGGGAGAAAAGGCTGGGCACAGTGGTTCATGCCTGTAGTCCCAGCACTTGGGAGGCTGAGGCGGGCAGATCACTTGAGGTCAGGAGTTTGAAACCAGAAACATGGTGAAACCCTGTCTCTACTAAAAATACAAAAATTAGTTGGGTGTGATGGTACATGCCTGTAATCCCAGCTACTTGGGAGGCTAAGGCAGGAGAATCGCTTGAACCTGGGAGGCAGAGGTTGCAGTGAGCTGAGATCACACCACTGCACTCCAGCCTGGGCAACACAGTGAGACTCCATCTAAAAAGAAAGAAAGAAAGAAAGAAAGAAATGAGATAAAATAAAACAGTCATGGTTTTAGGTCTAACGTTTAAGTCTTTAATCCATCTTGAATTGATTTTTGTATAAGGTGTAAGGAAGGGATCCAGTTTCAGCTTTCTACATATGGCTAGCCAGTTTTCCCAGCACCATTTATTAAATAGAGAATCCTTTCCCCATTGCTTGTTTTTCTCAGGTTTGTCAAAGATCAGATAGTTGTAGATATGTGGCGTTATTTCTGAGGGCTCTGTTCTGTTCCATTGATCTATATCTCTGTTTTGGTACCAGTACCATGCTGTTTTGGTTACTGTAGCCTTGTAGTATAGTTTGAAGTCAGGTAGTGTGATGCCTCCAGCTTTGTTCTTTTGGCTTAGGATTGACTTGGCGATGGGGGCTCTTTTTTGGTTCCATATGAACTTTAAAGTAGTTTTTTCCAATTCTGTGAAGAAAGTCGTTGGTAGCTTGATGGGGGATGGCACTGAATCTATAAATTACCTTGGGCAGTATGGCCATTTTCACGATATTGATTCTACCTACCCATGAGCATGGAATGTTCTTCCATTTGTTTGTATCCTCTTTTATTTCCTTGAGCAGTGGTTTGTAGTTCTCCTTGAAAAGGTCCTTCACATCCCTTGTAAGTTGGATTCCTAGGTATTTATTCTGTTTGAAGCAATTGTGAATGGGAGTTGACTCATGATTTGGCTCTCTGTTTTTCTGTTGTTGGTGTATAAGAATGCTTGTGATTTTTGTACATTGATTTTGTATCCTGAGACTTTTGGGCAAGGACTTCATGTCTAAAACACCAAAAGCAATGGCAACAAAAGACAAAATTGACAAATGGGATCTAATTAAACTAAAGAGCTTCTGCACAGCAAAAGAAACTACCATCAGAGTGAACAGGCAACCTACAAAATGGGAGAAAATTTTCGCAACCTACTCATCTGACAAAGGGCTAATATCCAGAATCTACAATGAACTCAAACAAATTTACAAGAAAAAAACAAACAACCCCATCAAAAAGTGGGCGAAGGACATGAACAGACACTTCTCAAAAGAAGACATTTATGCAGCCAAAAAACACATGAAAAAATGCTCACCATCACTGGCCATCAGAGAAATGCAAATCAAAACCACAATGAGATACCATCTCACACCAGTTAGAATGGCAATCATTAAAAAGTCAGGAAACAACAGGTGCTGGAGAGGATGTGGAGAAATAGGAACACTTTTACACTGTTGGTGGGACTGTAAACTAGTTCAACCATTGTGGAAGTCAGTGTGGCGATTCCTCAGGGATCTAGAACTAGAAATACCATTTGACCCAGCCATCCCATTACTGGGTATATACCCAAAGGACTATAAATCATGCTGCTATAAAGACACATGCACACGTATGTTTATTGCGGCATTATTCACAATAGCAAAGACTTGGAACCAACCCAAATGTCCAACAATGATAGACTAGATTAAGAAAACGTGGCACATATACACCATGGAATACTATGCAGCCATAAAAAATGATGAGTTCATGTCCTTTGTAGGGGCATGGATGAAATTGGAAATCATCATTCTCAGTAAACTATCGCAAGGACAAAAAACCAAACACCACATATTCTCACTCATAGGTGGGAATTGAACAATGAGAACACATTGACACAGGAAGGGGAACATCACACTTTGGGGACTGTTGTGGGGTGGGGGGAGGGGGGAGGGATAGCATTGGGAGATATACCTAATGCTAGATGACGAGTTAGTGGGTGCAGAGCACCAGCATGGCACAGGTACACATATGTAACTAACCTGCACATTGTGCACATGTACCCTAAAACTTAAGTATATTAATAATAAATAAATAAAGACAGAAAGAAAAGAAAACAGTGACTCAGTTTAGAATATGGTTAGCACTCACATTTGCATCATTTGATCAATTCAGGTTTTTGAATGAACACTTACAACAATGATGTTTTTGAGACTCTGATGAGAATCAGAATGGCCAAAGTGATTGACTTTATGTCACTGTTTAGCACTGTCCAATTTGCTTCTATTTCTCATCACTTTGCATAGTTTGCAAATATTTTCTCCCATTCTATAGGTTGTCTATATACTCTGTTAAGAGTTTCTTTTGCTGTGCAGAAGCTTTTTAGTTTAATTAGATCTCACTTGTTCATTTTTGTTTTTGTTACAATTGCTTTTGAGGACTAAGCCATGAATTCTTTGCCAAAGGCAATATTGAGAGGTTATTTCTTAGGTTTTCTTCTAGGATGTTTGTAGTTTGAGGTCTTACATTTAAGTCTTTAATCTGTCTTGAGTTAGTTCTTGTATATGGTAAAAGGAAAGGATCCAGGTTCATTCTCCTGCAGACAGCTAGCCAGTTATCCCAGCACCATTTATTGCATAGAAGTCCTTTTCCCATTGCTTGTTTTTGTTGGCTTTGTCAAAGGTCAGATGGTTTTAGGTTTATGACTTTATTTCTGGGTTATCTATGCTGTTCCATTGGTCTATATGTCTGTTTTTGTATCAGTACAACGCTGTTTTGGTTACTGTAGCCTTGTAGTATAGTTTGAAGTCAGGCAGTTTGATACCTCTGGGTTTTTATTTTATTTTATTCTTTTTTTTTTTTTTTTTTGCATAGTATTGCTCTTGCTATTTGGGCTCTTTTTTGGTTCCATATGAATTTTGCATATGGAACCAAATATACATTTTTGGCTGATTTTTTTTCTATTACTGACTCAATTTTGGAACTTGTTATTGATTGTTCAAGTTTTCACTTACTTACTGGCTCAATCTTGGGAGGTTATACATTTCTAGGAATTTATCCATTCCCTCTAGATTTTCTAGTTTGTATGCATAGAGTTGTTCATAATAGTCTCTGAGGATCTTTTGTATTTCTGTGGGATTTATTGTAACGTCATCTTTGTCTTTTCTGATTGTACTTATTTGGATCTTCTCTTTTTTCCTTGTTAATCTAACTTGTGGTCTATCAATCTTGTCTATTCTTTCAAAAATCATTTTTTTGTTTCATTGACCTTTTATATGGATTTTTCCATCTTAATCCTATTCAGTTCTTCTTTAATTTTAGTTATTTTGTTTCTTCTCTCTGCTTTGGGGCTGGCTTTTAAAAAAATTCTAGTTCCTCTAGGTGCAATGTTAGATTGTTAACTTGAGATCTTTCTAATTTCTTGATGAAGGAATTTAGCAAAAACAGCTAACCAAGGAGATGAAAGATATCTATAGGCAGAACTACAAAACACTGCTGAAAGAAATTAGAGACACAAAATGGAAAAAAAAAAATCCATGTTCTCGGATTGGAAGAATCAATATTATTAAAATTGACATTCTGCCCAACGCTATTTACACATAGCTATTCTTATCAAACTACCAAAGTCATTTTTTCACAGAATTAGAGAAAGCTATTTGCATCATACTTACCAATGGAGCAACCCTAATCTGAAAATCTAAAATCCAAAATGCTCCAGTGAGCATTTCTTCTGAGTATCATGTCAGCACTGAAAAAGTTTCAGATTTTGTAGTATTTTGGATTTTAGGTTTTTGGATTAGTGATACTCAACCTGTATAATACAGGATCTAACATTTATGTCATCAAAGCAACAGAAAAAGAGGAGAAAAATGATGAAAGCTGAAGGAATAATGACTTACAATTTTTCAAATTTAGCAAAGACCCATACATTTAATAAATTTTCAGCAAACACCAAACAGGATAATTCTAAGGAAATCCACGCTTAAATACATCATAATCAAAATTCTAAAAATTAGAAACAAAGAAAAACAATTGGAAGCAGTGAAAAAGAAATGGCACCTTACCTCCAGCAGAAAACCATTCAAGTGACAGCAGATTCCTCACCTGGAATCACAGAGGTCAAAAGAAAAGTTTTTTATTTGCAAAGGAAAGAAACGGTCAAGTGTGAATTCTCTATCTAGCTAGTATCTTTCAGGGATTAAGGGGAAATGAGACATTCTCAGATGAAGGAAAACTAACAGAATTTATCACCAGCTGACCTACCCTAAAAGAATAGCTAAAGAAAGTTCTCAAAACAGAAAATAACTAATCAAAGAAGGAATCTTGAAACAGCAGGAAGGAAGAAAATAAAACAGGAGATGTAAACATATAGATAAATACATTTCTCTACTCCTCTTAAGTTTTCTAAATTGTTTTTTATTGTCATAGCCAAAATTATAACACTGTCTGATGTGGTTCTCAATATAAGTAGAGATAACTTTTAAGACACAATTATATTATAAATGGGAAAGGGTAAAGAGACAAAGAAGTATAAAGAGGGAAAAGACTTCTACTCTTCACACACATTTATATGGTCATGGAACAGACTTTGTCATTGTCAGTAAGTTTACCAACTTCATCACATCAATTTCAAACACCCCACTCTGAGTATCACCTCCAGGTCCATTCAAAATGTATTTGGTCTCACTGGAAGCACCAATCATTGAAGTAACTACGTTTTCACAGTCCAGTGTCCACCCTCTATTGTGTCTCAATATCCTTTTGAACTTCTTAAAAGAGAGGGAGCTCATCTGCAACTACCTATAGTTTTGAGGTAATTTCAGCCTCAAGAGAATGAGCTCAGTTAATCTGCAACTACTTACAGTGTTTAATCTTAACATCCTGGCATCCAAGTGAGAAAGTCAGACCCACTGAAAAAGCAAGTGTCAAACAATAAAAGAACTAGCAAATACTACCAAATAAAAAATTCTATCATTTACCAAGTAATACTTGAGAAGTACTATCAAGTATCAGAAGGCTGCCATTGAGGGAGAAGGTATGTCATTACTTTCTATAGGAAAAGGATTGCTCATGTGTAAGTCCCCTGAATGGCCAAATGAAATATTTGCTACTTTTTGAAAGATCTTAACATTTAAAATATCTCTACAAATTATACTGGTGAATAACTATCAGTACTCTATTCTTTGTCAACCTGAATATGACAAACATACTCTATGAAGCAGTTCTTAAATCAATGTGATTTAATCAATTCTTCATATAAATTAACTTGATAAAATAATGAAAGAATGCTAAATCTCTGACTCCGTTAATTAGTCCCAGGATTCTATCAGAGGGTTAAGAAACATGAATCTGGAAAAAATCTTATATTTATGTAAAAAAATACATTAGAGACCCAAATGAATTCAAAACATGATATAAGTACCAACCAGTATGATATGTGAGGTATGACCAATGGAACAGTATAGAGAACCCAGACATAAGACCACATACGTACAACAATCTGATCTTTGGCAAACCTGACGAAAACAAGCAACGGGGAAACGATTTCCTATTCAATAAATGGTGCTGGAATAACTGGCTAGCCATGTGCAGAAGATTAAAACTGGACCCCTTCCTTATAACCATATACAAAAATTAGCTCAAGATGGATAAAAGACAAATGTAAAACCCAAAACTATAAAAACCCTGGAAGACAACCTAGGCAATACCATTCAGGACATAGGCACAGGCATAGATTTCATATTGAAGACATCAAAAGCAATCGCAACAAGAGCAAAAATTGACAAGTGTGATCTAATTAAATGAAAGAGCTTCTGCACAGCAAAGGAAACCAACAACAGAGTGAACAGGGAACCTACAGAAAGGAAGAAAATTTTTGCAAACTATGCATCTGACAAAGGTCTAATATCCAGCATCTATAAGGAACTGAAATTTACAAGGAAAAAACAAGCAACCCCATTAAAAGGTGGGCAAAGGATGTGAGCAGACACTTTTCAAAAGAAGACATACATACAGCCAACAATCATATGAGAAAAAGCTCAACATCACTGATCATTAGAGAAATGCAAATTGAAACCACAATGAGATACTGTATTAGTCCATTCTCAAGCTATTATAAAGAACTGCCCAAGACTGGGTGATTTACAAAGGAAAGAGGTTTAATTGACTCACATTTCCACAGGACTGAAGAGGCCTCAGGAAACTTACAATCGTGGTGGAAGGGGAAGCAAACACATCCTTCTTTACATGGTGGCAGGAAGGAGAAGTACTAAGCAAAGGGGGAAAGCCCCTTATAAAACCACCAGATCTTGTGAGAGTTCACTCACTATCATGAGAACATGGGAGAAACCACCCCCATGATTTAATTATTTCCACCTGGTTTCGCCCTTGACACGTGGAGATTATTACAATTCAAGGTTAGATTTGGGTGAGGGCACAGAAGCAAACTGTTATCAGATACCATCTCATACCAGTCAGAATGGCTATCATTAAAAAGAAATAATAACAGATGCCGGTGAGGTTGTGGAGAACAAGGAATGCTTATACACTGCTGGTAGTAATGTAAATTAGTTCAACCATTGTGGACGACAGTGTGGGGATTTCTCAAAGATCCTAAGGCAGAAATACATTCAACCCAGCAATCCCATTACGGAGTATATATCCAAAGGAATATAAATCATATATATAAATATAAATGATTTATGCAGACATGTGTCTTTATAATTTTATAATTCATATATCCATATGTTCATTGCAACGCTATTCACAACTGCAAAGACATGGAATCAATCTAAATGCCCATCAGTGATACACTGGATAAATAAAATGTGGTATATATACACCATGGAATACTATGCAGCCATAAAAAAAGAATGCAGTGTTGTTCTTTGCAGGGACATGGATGGAGCTGGAGGCCATTATTCTTAGCAAACTAACACAGGGACAGAAAACCAAATACTGCATGTTCTCATTTATAAGTGGGAGCTAAACGGTAAGAACACATGGACACGCAGAGGGGAACAACACACACTGGGGCCTATTGGAGGGTGGAGGGTGGATGGGGGAGGAGGGAGAGGATCAGGAAGAATAACTAATGGATACTAGGCTTAATACCTGGGTGATGAAATAATCTGTATAACAAACTCCCATAACACAAGTTTACCTATGTAACAAACCTGCACATACAGCCCTGAACTTAAAATAAAAGTTAAAAAAAAAACTTAAAAAAAAAGAAAATATTAAGAAAGAAAAGAAGATTTCAGCCAAAATTTATATGAATAAATTTCAGTTCTGCCACTTACTAAATGATCTTGGGAAAGTTACGTAACCCTCTGAGTCTCATTTTTCTTATTTTTAAAATTGAGATGCAGTAATAATAATGTTTATCTCACATGAACACTATTTTAAATAAAATGATTTATGTTAAAACACCTAGCAATGGATGGCAATGAATGAGTAATCCATAAATAAGAATCTACTTAAAATTGCAACTATTAGCTTCCACTAGCAATGCAAAGGGCATTTATATATCAATAATAAAGAACGAATGTTGCCTGCCAAAGATAATGACAAACTCCAGGAATCATCTCTGTGCAGCAGGGTTTATTTTTGCAGGATTTGGGACCATTTGGAATAAAAGACCAAAAGTACCTCAACACCAGACCTGCACAGGTTTGTCAACATCTTATTGAAAATCCAATGGAGAAAATCCAATAAGATTGAGACAATTAGGCGTGTTTATGTATTCATAGGAAATTATGCTGGCTGAGATAATTCATTAAGATCCAAGGGGTTTCATTAATTCTCTTCATTATTTGTATACAGTTATTATAACTGCATAGATCTAATTAGTTTTGAAACTTGATTTGGGTCAACATAATTATTGTGGGCTATGCTGTACTCATCTGTACCATCTCTGAGAAGCAGCTATGACTAGGTACCAGGAACTTTTTTTAGCATTTTCTTGTTTTTTTTTACATAATTAGTTGCATCTTAGTTGCATGAAGAGCCATAATGCTTTCCCCACATGAAGGTGACCTATGTTTCAATTCAACTCCACTTATGTAGACTTTTTTTCCCAAAATCTTGGACTCTTCAGATAGAGATCCAGTTATTGAAGATACTTCATCCTTTTTCCACTCTATATTTATCTGTAATCCAGTGCTGTCTTTCCAGATAACCCAAGACTCTCTTCCTTGTTCCTAATTTCCATGTGTTTTTAATAAGCGATTTTTACCATTTATATTGTTCTAAAATTGCTTTTATAATTCAAAAATATTTTTTAGATAATTCCATGTATGCATTAATATCCTTCACAATTTTAATGAAAGCATTTTGAAAGCATTGCATTAGTATTTACTTAACTATACTCCAACCAATGCTTCACTGTACCAGCATTTCTCTCAGAAGTATTCCTGGGTCAAAAGGTTTGCACAATTTAAATTATAACAGATTCTGCCAAATTGCCCTCAAAGAAAATTAGCACCATTTAACTCATAGTGCTTTATGTTAACAATCTATTAGATCAGGCTTTTTTTGTTACTTATTTGACCTATCAATTTCTGAAACTCTTGCATGATGATTGTACATTTTTCAGTTTCACATACTCCTATCAGATTTTTCTTTAAATATTTCAACATTGTGTTATTAGGTATTTAAATGTTTAAGACTGCTATGACTTCTTTGTGAATGCCACTTTTCATTTTAATAAAACCTTTAAAAGCAACATTGCCAATTTACTTCCCACCAGGAATCATCTGAAAGCAATTTATTCACTGCTTAAACTGTTAATAGTATTGAACTTACTCATTTTTACAATGAATAACATGATCTATTATAATGTAACTAATTTTGTTTTTTTAAAAAAGCTTAATGGTTGTCATTGTGCATAATTTTGTTTTCTATTTACCATGCTTTCTTTGTCACTGTTGTTTTTGTTGTTTGTTTTCCTATCATTATTTCCTTTAAATTGAATCAACCTTCTTTCCTTCTTTTCACTACTTATAATCTAATCTTATGGAATTTATGCATCATATTTCTATTCTTCCAGTAGTCATAACTCTTAAGGTTCTAACACTTTTTTTTACATTTTCTACTAATGTCTATAATTAATTTGTTTATAAATCCTGACTTTAAATTAGATAAGAATCTTAGCATATCTTTAGCTACCTCTCATCCTGCTCTTACCACTGCCCACCTTGCTAGTTAAATCATCAGGAAATTACCGGCCGGGTGCGGTGGTTCACGCCTGTAATCCCAGCACTTCGGTAGGCCGAGGCAGGTGGATCACCTGAGGTCAGGAGCTCGAGACCAGCCTGGCCAACATGGCAAAACCCCATCTCTAGTAAAAATACAAAAATTAGCCGGGTGTGGTGGTGCATGCCTGTAATCCCAGCTACCTGGGAGGCTGAGGCAGGAGAATCACTTGAACCTGGGAGGCGGAGGTTTCAGTGAGCCGAGATCACATCATTAAACTAGCCTGGACAACAAGAGCGAAATGCCGTCAAACAAAGAAGAAAAGAAAAGAAAGGAAAGGAAGGGAAGGGAAGGGAAGGAAAGGGAAAGGGAAAGGGAAAGGGAAAAGGAAAGGGAAAGGGAAAGGAAAGGAAGGTTACTATAAATGCTGGCTCCATTTTCTTTTTTCTTTCATTTATTTATTTATTTATTTATTTATTTATTTATTTATTTATTTATTTATTTACTTTGAGACAGTATCTCTGTCACCCAGGCTGGAGTGCAGTGGTTGCAGTCTTGAACTCTTGGGCTCAAGTGAGCCTCCTGCCTCAGACTCCTAAAGTGCTGGGATTATAGGCATGAGCCACCATACCCAGTGATTATTTTTCTTTATCAATCCTTCCAAAGACTACTGAATAGTCATTAGTTTTGGTCCCATGCGTCTTCCGAAGATGATTAATTTTTCTAGTGTTATTATGAAGTCATGTAACACATCACAGTCTAAACAGTCCCCATGGGTATCATTCCACTAACTACCAAAGAATTACCCAATATGCTGTTATCTATATTTTACGTATGAGGAATACAAGGATCTAATGGCTTGATGGACTTGCCCAAGGCTACACTATTAGTATGTGTTGGAGTCTTGATTTCAGTTTATGTTTTTTTAAAAATTATTGATCCCCTACCCTTTCTATCATGCTATCACATCATCTAAGCCCTTGTCACTTTTTCTGCGTGCTTTTTGTTTTTCTCTGGCAGACCACAGGATTTGGTCCAATTTTGTCTTTCTTTTTCTTTTTCTTTTTTTTTTATTATTATTATACTTTAAGTTTTAGGGTACATGTGCACAATGTGCAGGTTAGTTACATATGTATACATGTGCCATGCTGGTGTGCTGCACCCACTAACTCGTCATCTAGCATTAGGTATATCTCCCAATGCTATCCCTCCCCCCTCCCCCCACCCCACAACATTCACAGAGTGTGATGTTCCCCTTCCTGTGTCCAGGTGTTCTCATTGTTCAATTCCCACCTATGAGTGAGAATATGCGGGGTTTGGTTTTTTTGTTCTTGCGATAGTTTACTGAGAATGATGATTTCCAATTTCATCCATGTCCCTACAAAGGACATGAACTCATCATTTTTTATGGCTGCACAGTATTCCATGGTGTATATGTGCCACATTTTCTTAATCCAGTCTATCATTGTTGGACATTTGGGTTGGTTCCAAGTCTTTGCTATTGTGAATAGTGCCGCAATAAACATACGTGTGCATGTGTCTTTATAGCAGCATGATTTATAGTCCTTTGGGTATATACCCAGTAATGGGATGGCTGGGTCAAATAACACCATATATCTACATCTATCTGATCTTTGACAAACCTGAGAAAAACAAGCAATGGGGAAAGGATTCTGTATTTAATAAATGGTGCTGGGAAAACTGGCTAGCCATATGTGGAAAGCTGAAACTTGATCCCTTTTTTTCTTTTTCTTTTTGGCTCCTACCAATCACTAGCTTCAAAACTGACACAAAAGAAAGAAAGATGCACTTGCTCGATTTATCTTCTCAACTGGCCTCCTTCACCACTTCATAATTGTTGGAGATAACTTTTTTATTGTCCTAAACTACTTCTTTTTTTCTGGCTTTCTCACTCATCTACATCTCCTGCTAACTTCCTTTCTCCGTCATACCATGAAAATTTTGTCTTCATAAAAGCTAGTATCTTGGAGACAAACTACAGAGACTGAAGCATAACACATCAAGTTTTCAACAAGAATACGGGGGCTAATTGTATCTTTTCCAAACAGACTCCTGTTTCCTTTCCCCTATTTTCCTGTTTTCTTCATACCTGTGTGTGAATTTTTTTGCTTTTGCCAACACTGACTCAGGCAAATCCCTACACGATTTCCCTTCTGTTCCCTCTCATTTCTGGCCAGCTCACTTTTGCCTAAGTTTGTTTCTTTGCTATCTATCTCCTGTGCTTAGTATGTATAGGAACTTTCCCCACTCTTCCTTTCTCCAGTATCGCTGAAATTCCTGGGTATAACTAAACCACTTTCTGGAGTACTCCCATTTCTATTCTAAGACTCAAACAGTGAGAAGGGGCAAAGTGATCCTTCCTTTGCATGATTCATATCATCCCTCAGTTCCAAATCATCTCTTCCCTTTTAAAATTTATTTTTAAAAATACCCTTATTGTTTTTGATTATCCTTGAGGCATTCTCAGATTGTTCTTAATTATTTTACACTTCAACTTACCTTGCATGTACCTTTAGTGTCATCTCTTAGTTGCAACAGGGAATATGCAAGGTGTTTATAAAGGAGGATTCAGTGGTTCCCACTTAGCGATTGGATTAAGTTGGCAGCCTGAGACCATACGGTGTGTCCTCCTGCTCCTGCTCCAAATTTATGATAAGAAGGATGTATTAAACAAATGAACTCATAGCAGTGCTGGAAAACCTGAACAAGGAAAGCTACTTTTAGTGGCCCCAAATTATGAATATTTCTAGAACGATAAAAAGTAGATGGAATTCAATTAAGGAAAGAACCACAACCTAACATGCCTGTTAGGAGAAAACTGCTGAAAAAGTTCTGGAGTAGACCCACTCCAATTTATTCCAAGTAAGAACCAGTTGGTGTTTTCCCCTGGGAGGGAGATGTGAGGGGGTATTTGGGCCCATGGGGCAGGGCAATTCCAGGTGGCTGGAAACTTCAGGGAGAATGAGAAGCAGACAGGTCCAGAAACCCAACTCCTGGGACTCTCTACCAGACAGTACATTCTGTTACTTTCTCTGGGCCACTGGAGGTGGCTGAGAACATTCCTGGTGATGAGTGTTTATGGCACTGTTGACCAAAATTGAGGCTGTCAAGACAGAAAAAAATCTATAAAGGTTTATTGAACCTCAAATGTGTGGATTGACCCAGGAAGACACAGCAACAAAGTTGGAGTGTTCTGAGGTCTGTCAGAAGGTGAAAGGTTTTGACAGAAAAATCTGAAAAGACAGAGAGAGATTGCTCATACTGGAGTTGTTCTCTTTTCATTGGAGGGTACAATACAGAAGTTATAATCATTAGCTATGGATTATATCACAGGGTTATAGGAACACATTAAAGTCACAGCTCTGCAATCAGCAAAATACAGAATGTAGAAAATGCTAAAGGTCTAAATAACCAATTCTTTCAACAAAAATAATTGCTGCAAAAAAGAGAGAAGAAGGTTATAACAGGTAGACCTGAGATTTTCTAGGTATAGAATCATATCATCTGTGAAGAGAGACAGTTTTGCTTTCAGGAGAAATTTTGATACTAATTTCTCAACTTGGGGATTTACAGACAGGGAAAACAATGTATTTGAATTCCAAATCCATGTTTGGTGCAGACTTTGGTCCAAGATTCTCAAGAGAGATTTTTTCCCCTTTAAAAGGTTTAATAGTTTCATGAATGAAAAATTGATTTTATACTACCATGCCAAGCAACACTTTAATATATTCCTGTCTGCAAGTAACTACAATGTACAGTTATTATAATTCCTATCCAGACCCTGGGAGGGTTGAATAGCTGGACTTACAAAAATATAGTGTCTTAGAACCTGCTACATCCCCCATGAAGAGCAAATATTTTAACAGCAAGGGGGCCACATTTTAGCCCCTTAAGAGATGAAAGTAACAAACTCTTAATGACCAGCTTCATGTGGTGAAGAGTGTGTTGATGTGTACTGATAGTTGTGCTGATGCAAGAGCTTGAAGCAAATACCCTCTCCTGAAATTAAGCACTAAGCAAGAGCTCATCATATTTCTGTGTGACAATCAATAAAAACGCTCCACTCCCACATTTTACAAAGGAAAACTCATCATTCTTTCAGTATAGAGTCAAATTTTATTGTCCTATGCTATGTGCCTACTTTAGGCTTGTCAAGTTTAGTGCATCCTAGGCCCACACTAGGTCTTTCTGCACTTTTGACATTAACAGTATACACATTTTAGACAGAATGTAGTGAATTTGGGGTCAGAAAGGCCATATTCCTAGTCAAGTTGCTCTCAAAAGTGATTGATAAAACACAATAGCAATTTAAAGGGAGCTTGCTGTCAAAGAAAGATTGAGACTTTGATTAGGGCTTAGACATTGATTGATTACCTCTTGGGGCTATCACTCCATACCAATAGCCAAAAATGTTTGGCATCAGGATTACAGTAGTTATAGATAAAGCCTCAATAGAGGTTTGAGTTTCCTTCTTTCCATAAGGCTACATTCTTGATTAGTGTACCTAAATATGTAGTGCTTACAAATGTTAAGTTTTTACACCTTCTCTGTTTTGCATTTATATTATTTGTATGTGTTGTATTTTCATACTTTTTTGTACAAAGACAAAAGTTGCCAAAAGGAAATTAAGAGCTTTTGGGCTGACATTTGTTATTTTTAGTGGGTAACTTATAAAAGTTGACAGAAAAATGTTATATTTCTATCTGGTCATAGATGGCATTGACCATCCTATAAATATTTCTCACACACTGACCATGTGCCCAAAACTCGTTGAGGAAAGAGGAAAATGTACAGGTAATCATAGCCACTTTACTCTCCCAAGCATCTACCAGGCATAGAAGTAAAGGAGATTTAGTGTTTCCCTTCTATAAATACAAAAATGATAGGAGAATGCAGAGTCACAAATGCCCCAATGTACAGTATCCTAGATGACTTTCTAACAGCAGGGCTTCCTGAGTGTGACACCCAAATATCTTTCCACTTCTCTCATTCACCAACATATGTTTATAATAACCATGTAGTTACATTTGCAAAATAAGATAAATAAAAATATTTTAGAATATTGGCTGGGCGTGGTGGCTCACACTTGTAATCCCAGACCTTTGGGAGGGCAAGGCAGGCAGATCCCTTGAGCCCAGGAGTTTGAGATCAGCCTGGGCAACATGATGAAACTCCATCTCTGCCCAAAAAAATTATATACATTTGGATGGGTCGTTTGCAAAAAAGTAGGGAAGTGTACCCTTGCAAACAAGGACAACATTGATAGTCAATCTTCTTATAGAAAGTGGTAAAAGTGGTAAGCTCTACAAAGGAGCAAGTAATGTTTGCAGATGCAAATCTTACATGCTAACCACTTTGCTAGCCAGATACACTCTGGAGGAATCAACTAATTGGTGTAGGTGTAATAGGATATGTAATATTGCTTGATCAAGACTCTGCTTCTGTGGTTGTTTCTCCACATCTTCCAAAAGATCTTTGCGAAACACTACATTCAGAAACATCAGATGGACATGCTTGATTCACCACGTCTTGGTTAATGAATAAACTTGTTTTAAATTGGCTTATTGCTGGTCTCTCAAGGCTTCCTATTTTTGTTTGCTTTAGTCTCTCTAAAATTTCAGGGAAAAACTATGAGTCTCAAAATGCTTATAAGCAGGAACAAGCTGATTTTACTACTAGGAATAGTCTTTTTTGAACGAGGTAAATCTGCAACTCTTTCGCTCCCCAAAGGTAAGTTTCAAATGAACTCTATAATTACCTTTGTCTGAACCTTTGCTGGCAATGGACGTCACAACTCCGAGACTCCATGTTCCTTTGGGAAAATAGGAGAAGCAAATATATTTTGGATATCTAATTGTTTTTAAACAATTATTTTGGACTTATCTCCTGCAATCGGCATAGGACACAGGGTGAAACATTTATAGAATGCAACTAATGTATCCAATTAAGTAAACAATCCCTGTTTTCTTCGCTTAGTTTTCCTAAGTGAACTGAGATTGTTCACTTACTTGAACCCATTACATAATCCCATCTTGGTTCATAGAGCAAATTCTGGAAATCAGCATGGATTTGGAAGCATTTTTAATCTTTTACAAAATCATCTTGCTGAGAAATATGAAGCATGTTCACTGTAGTATATTATAAATGGTCTTTTTTCCCCTTCAACTAACTTAAGCTGAAAACAGTTCTTGGAAGATTTCTCCTTGGTCAGACTTGTGCCAACCCTGAGAATCAACATGTTTTCTGACTTTGCTTTACTGAATTTGGGAAATAGTAAATTTTGTATTTAAAGTATTTATGACTCATTCAACTGAAACAGTTAGAAAATAAGCTTTTGTTCCAATGTCATCCTGGCACTGGGTTCAGGATCAAAACACTTACTGTTACATTCATGCTCTGCCATTATCCAGCTGTGTGTCTCCTTGATTCTCAGTTTTCTCATCTGCAATGTGGGGATAACAGTGCTTCATTTATAGGCATAGAGTGGGATTAAATGAGAAGCTGTATGAAAGAGCTTTGAATATTTTAACATGTTGATCTAAATAGCTATACTCTTAAGGATGTGTTCTCAAGAAAAGTCATTTGTTTGTCCATCCAGTGTTTCTAAGTGCTTACTTATGCCAAGAATTAAGCTAAACCTTAGAAATGCAGAGGTGAATAAGGCAAGTTTTTTCCCTTGAGTAGTTCATAGTCCGATGATAGAGGCAAATAATTCATTATCACAATTCTGCATGACAAGAACTATAAAAGGGGTGAAGAAAGCGTGCTACACAACACAAGGGAGAGGCAATCCCACTTTGAGGAAATCAAGGAAGACTTCCTGGTTGAGGTGATCTCCAAGCTGAGGAATAAGAATTACAGAATTTAGGTAGGCAATGAAGCATGGTGATTATGAAGCAAGGCTAGTTCTAATCCTCCTTCAAAATATGGAAAAGGATGACCTCCAGGAGGGACAGAAGATGTGCCATCCTTGAGTTACCAGGTGATGTTAAACATCTTTAATCTAGTCTACCTCTTTGCTGAGGAGTCAGAAAACCCATTGAGGGCAAATAAATAAAAACAACTTTTTCAGGGATAAAGTATTTTACATAAAGAGGGAGGAGTTTTTTCTTCTATTACCTAGCAAACCTCTATCCGAGTACCAACTTGTGAATCAGGACACTTCACTCCACTCTCCTTAAATGACCTGTCACTTTTCATCCCTCAAGAGAATTAAATCCAATAAAGATTTATTGATATCTGAATGTGTGCTGAGCACCATACACCATAGTCTCAGACTCAGTTTCATGGGTGAAATGGAGAAGATATTACCTCAATCCTAGAAGCTATCTAATCATTTAGTTTGTCTCGTTTTTTTCTCAGCTCCCAGTTGTGGGCAGAGTCTGGTTAAGGTACAGCCTTGGAATTATTTTAACATTTTCAGTCGCATTCTTGGAGGAAGCCAAGTGGAGAAGGGTTCCTATCCCTGGCAGGTGAGTCTCAAGGACTTCTATGCATCAAGAACTGTGCTAGATATTATGGATATAGATATTTTTAAGGTTAAGTTTATATCTTTGAGGAGCCTACAGCCTAGTTGGGTTGAAAGACAGAATAGTCATCATGGCATGTGATGAATGTCATAAGAAAAAGTATTTACTTGTACATAGTAAGTCATTTTAGAATCAAATCAAGTATCACAAATAGGATAAGCAAAAATTAGAAAGTATATTGGAGAGGTAGGGTAAAGAATAGGCTTGAAGAAGCTATAGGGGTCAAATAGTTAAGAGTATGAGAAAAGTGGTAGATCCAAACCATTTCCCTAAGAGGCTTAGAGAAATAGGAGTATGTGTTGAAAGGCTCCCCAGCCCTCACCTTGCCTTTCTTCCAAACCTCTTCAGCTGGACTCTGCAATATCTTATACTATTTTACCTTCATTCACAGACACTGTTCATATTGTTAGAGCAACAGGTCTGCATCAACTGTGTTATAAAAATAAGTAAATACATCTCACCACTTCTAACTGCTACCTCTGTTGACACATACTTACAGCCAGTCATCTCAAATTAACTACCTCTCATCTAGACCAGGGTTGCCAGCACCACTCTTCTTTCTGAGCGGTAGTGTCTGGGCTTTATCTTTTCACAGTCCACGATTCTTGACATTTACGAGTGTGATATCTGAGTCTGGTTTTGAGAATAGGCTTCATCACCGTGTTTAGGGGGATCCCAGGGCATGAACTTGCTTTCATTTAAGGTATTTGCAATTTAGGTATCTCTGAAACAAAGGCAGAAGCATATTTGTGGAGGAAGCATCGTCTCACCACAGTGGGTGATCACGGCGGCTCACTGCATTGCAAACAGGTAAGAAAGGCCTAGCCCATGAGTGAAGACCACACCACCATTTCTTCTCCCTTGGAATCATCAGCAATAACCCTATTAAAACATGGACCTGTGTGATAGGTGAGTATTGGTTTAACAGATGAATATCCTAATTGCATGACACAAATGGGGCTGGGTGACATTGTCAGATGGCACTTGGTAGATGACATATATTCTTTTCAGAGGTAAAATTCGTTTTTACTTAAAATAACTGGAAGTTAATAATAGCATCCAAGTCAGAAAAAAAAGAGCATTACAAAGAAGGATTTGTGAAAGTTTTCTTCTAGTTTTCTTAAATTTCAGTGAAAAAATATCTAGTTCATTATGCATCTGAAGAAATGGATAAAAGAAAACAAAGGGAGACCAGTAAAGTAGAAAGTAGGCTCCCTGTCTTCCTTCCCATTGATCCTGCCTCTCTGGGACTCAACCCAACAACTTCCCTTTACCCACTTTCTTGTGTGATCCAAATATCCTATTATTGACAGTGTTCTGGGCGTATACTAGGCTGTAATCAAGATCATGTTCCCATATAGTCATTCTTTCATTTCAAGTCTGCAAACATTTCCTGGATGTTTACTTTGTGCTAGATACCAAAGGTACCAAAATGACTAAGACATGATTTCTGCCCCCAGAGAGTTGACTCTTCTTTTAACAAGAGTCAACCGATCATCTCACAGCAATGTGGCAAGTGGTAGGTAAGAGAGACATTATGTGTTAAGTTAGGTACCTAATTTGGCCAAGAGTCAGGGAAGTATACCTAGAGAAAACATGCCTTTTTCAATTTTGTATAGAAGCATCACTTCTGGGAATGAAGCGTCTCAAAGGATGGCAAGCTGAAGTCTTTATATATCTCAATGCATCCCACCAAGTTCCTTTCAGAGAACATTAGTTAGTTATAATGCAGTCTGTGCCTTATAATATATACTAAGCATAGGATCTCTGACATTGAAGTAGCATACTTACTGGGAATCACAAATCATTCCCAAAGGGTCTCACTGATATTAGGTCAGGTCAACCTCCCAGGGTAGCTGAATAAAGTCCCCTATAGCTGTAGAGCCCTGAACTACAATGTATGTGCCTCTCTAGATATTTTCAAATAACATTGCAAAGTATTAAATTCATCATATCCTTGGCTATATATGAACCCACTCTTCACTAGTCCTCTACTGGAAGTTGGAATCTCTGCATTTTTTTCTAACAGTGTTGGAATTATTCTCACTTTCTCTGCTCAGCAGCCTCACACCCCATATTATTTATCCATATCATTTTAAAGAAGCTAGTGTGTCAACCATTGCAACTGTACTCAGAGGCACAATGAAATTCATTCATTTTACTCTTTGCTTTCCATAGAAACATTGTGTCTACTTTGAATGTTACTGCTGGAGAGTATGACTTAAGCCAGACAGACCCAGGAGAGCAAACTCTCACTATTGAAACTGTCATCATACATCCACATTTCTCCACCAAGAAACCAATGGACTATGATATTGCCCTTTTGAAGATGGCTGGAGCCTTCCAATTTGGTAAACATTTGAGGATCATACTGAATTGTCTACCCCATGTTCTCTATAACCTCTGTGCCATAGCACATTTCCTGCAGTATACGTTCTGGGTCATGCACTTTGAGATAGGAATTTAGGCTGGAGAGTCCTACCTGAAACTCTTTTTGCTTGTGGTTCTGGAGATAGCATTACATGGAGTCAGGAGAAGGTTTTCTTTAATTGACAAGTAACCCCTGGAGGTGCCAGGCAGAGCTATCACAACTCTCATGAGGTCTTTAGGGGACCACCTGGATACCAAGTGGTGAGTGGCTTATAGTGTCCTCTCCTCCATGAATGAGACAAGCCCTACCTTGCTCTTTTCTTCAGGCCACTTTGTGGGGCCCATATGTCTTCCAGAGCTGCGGGAGCAATTTGAGGCTGGTTTTATTTGTACAACTGCAGGCTGGGGCCGCTTAACTGAAGGTAAGAACTTGTGTGCCATTCCTCTTAAGCAGAGGTCAGAACTTTCTGGTGGGCAATCAGAAAATGGAATTTTTAATCCATTTTTAAAAATCGATTGTGCATACATTTCTAAAGATAGGGAATGTCACATTGTACTTAGAAATTCAAGTCTTGCCAAGCGACACAAACACAAATGATGCATCTTCAACTCAGAAAGGGTGAAAGAGTTCCTGCTGGGGCTTCCATCTCTCTGTTTTTCAGGTGGCGTCCTCTCACAAGTCTTGCAGGAAGTGAATCTGCCTATTTTGACCTGGGAAGAGTGTGTGGCAGCTCTGTTAACACTAAAGAGGCCCATCAGTGGGAAGACCTTTCTTTGCACAGGTTTTCCTGATGGAGGGAGAGACGCATGTCAGGTGGGTGGGAGCTGCGGGGCTGTCAGGCCCCAGGCAAGGATTCCCTTGGTTTTGTTTTCTTCTAGTTTTCTTAAATTTCAGTGAAATTTAATTTAATTAGAAAGCATATTGGAGGGGTAGAATAAAGAATAGTCTTGAAGAAGCTATAAGGGTCAAATAGTTAGTTAAATGTGTGAGAAAAATGGTAGATCCAAACCATTTCCCTAAGAGGCTCACCTGTTATCAGGTGAGGGGCTGCAGGAAGACTGATTCCAGGTAAGGCAGGAATCTGGAAAGAAGGGTTAGGAGTACCAAGGGAGGTTACATCAAAATAAAGGGACAGTGGAAACAATCTGTTTTTAGCAGGAAGTGTGATTTAAAAGAGGTCTTCTGCTTTTTCCAAAAGACCAAATAACAGAGATAATGCCAAGAATGAACTCGGGGTTCTCCCATTCCTGAAGGATGGCTGACTCTTTCCTATTTAGAATTTTCCAGTTTGTGGATGTTGGGAACTTTACACTTTTCCTCCATTCTTCCTACTAACCAAGGCCTGAAGTCAGTCTCATTGCTGGCCAAGACTTCTCTGAGTCTGCAGCATGAGAGGAGAGAAAGAAGAAAGTCTGCTGCTTTGATGAAAGCCATGGATGAGGAAAAGGGAGGTGGGATTGTTGGGTTCCAGTGATAGTTGAGGATCATATGGGAATTGTGCTGGGATCTGTATACACAGGACCCTGAGTCTAAATTATTAGAAGTGAGGAGATGTCATTGATCCTCCTCCAGCATCCTTGTGAGGAAACAGTGAGCATTTTGGGGCATAGACACTGACAGTGATGCTAATAGAGGCTTTTTCCCTCTGCAGGGAGATTCAGGAGGTTCACTCATGTGCCGGAATAAGAAAGGGGCCTGGACTCTGGCTGGTGTGACTTCCTGGGGTTTGGGCTGTGGTCGAGGCTGGAGAAACAATGTGAGGAAAAGTGATCAAGGATCCCCTGGGATCTTCACAGACATTAGTAAAGTGCTTCCCTGGATCCACGAACACATCCAAACTGGTAACTAAGCCATCACACAAGGTTAAGAAGCTGCCATTCTGCTAGGGCCAGAGACAGCATCAGCAGAGTCCTGGCAAATCAGAGCACCTGAACCAACAGGCTCTACCTCTGTTCTCAGTGTAGCACACAAGGATTGTGAGGTTTACCAAGTCTAAATAAAACAAGAGTAAAATATGGTATGTGGAGCAGCATGCAGATATTCAATGAAAAATGAATCCATCCATCCTAGACCTTCTCAAACTGGCCTTTAATTGAAACTATCTCAGTTGATGATATGCTTTCACCACTTACTTCTCTGGATTCAGAGTCCAGAGTGCTCACCATTACACGATGGCACCACTTACTTCTCAAAAAAATCCAGCAAACTATAACAGATCAGTAGTTATCAACCAGGGGCAATTTTGTCCCCAGGGACAGTATCAGAAGACATTTTTAATTGTCACAACTGGCAGAGCTGAGGAGTGGCTCTGGTGTCCAGTGGGTAGGGGACTTGGATGCTGCTAAACATCCTACAAAGTACAGGACAGCCTCCCACAACAAAGAATGATCCCACCCAAAAGGTTAATAGTACCAACAATGAGAATCCCTGGCGTAGATCCAGGTATAGTAAGTCTGCAAAAGCCAGGATCTACATGCAGCCAGGCCTCCGTATCTGCAAGTTCCATGTCAGCAGATTCAACCAACTGTGGATCAAAAATATTTGGAGAAAAATAAAAACAATAAAAATAACAGTACAATAATAATGACAATACAAATTTTTAAAAATACAGTGTAACAACTATTTACATAGCATTTACTTTGTCTTAGGTATCGCAAGCACTCCAGAGACAATTTAGAGTGCTACATAGGGGAAGACATGCCTAGGTTACATGCAAATACTATGCCGTTTAATCTAAGGATTTGAGCATCCTCGGATTTTTGGTATCTGCAAGGGTTCTGAAACCAATCCCCCACAGATATTGAGGGATGAGTGTACACCCTTGTGATAAACTGACTAGAGAGCTCATTGCAACTTCTTTGCCTCCTCCAAATCCAACTTAATTGTTTTCTTATCTGGTGGCTTCCAACCTCAAAAAGGCTTTTATCCTTTTCTAAACAAGTTAATTTAAATTAAGTTTAGTAGGAATTTGAGTTTGTTTTCAAGTGTATGGTACAGTGGCAGGTATCTGAGCCCTCAGTTAAAGTTTGACCTATTTAACCCAGCAACTCTTTTATAGTTATGGACAAACTATTTCCATCTCTAGCCTCTGTTCTTATGTAAAATGACCCCTTCCTCTGTGAAACCTCCAGTTAATTACCATTTCATATTAGCCCACTTAATAAAGAGAATTAAATCATTTTAAAACACCAGAGGCCCTTTCCTACTTTATCCATTTATCCCTTCCCTTCTTTCCACAGATAAGATTTTTATTAGTTGCATATTGACTTAAAAATCTCTTGTGCGCCAAGAAGATGCTAACTTCTTGAAGCGTTGTTCAGGATACCACAGGCTTTCAATTGCATCCTTCTTTTCCTTTCCCAGGTAATCGGAGAAAGAGCTCCAGAGGTGGGTATCCCTTGCAGGCTGCTCCATCAGGAGCACAAATTAACATCTAGCATTTCTGAATATCAGTTCCTGAAGTCTTCCTCTCCAAGAGCGCTCCCTGCTCAGTAGGTCTAAAACTACCACCTGGAGCACCTACAGCCATTATGCCCAGCAGAAGCCCCAGTTGCCCTCCCATTTCATTTCTTAGCAATCCAGAGCTCTGTCCCAATTCAGCCAACCTTTGCCAAACACTAGCTTGGAATCAGAGACTCAAGGAAAGAGGGCAAGGCAGTGCCGATGTGGTCAGTAAGCTACACACCTTGCCCTGAAAGTGTCCCTACTTATATAGGGTCTCATCCCCTTTGTTCCATTGCGATCCTGCGATGAATTCACTCTGTGACTTTGGGCGAGCCTTTTCCTAACTCTGGCCCTCATCCATAAAGAAAATAGTGTGGGCCAGATGGTCTCTAAGACACTTTAGTTCAAATCTTTAGTTGTTCTTTGAACCCGTGGAAAGATCTACAAAGAGCAATATAGAAAAATAGTACCCTGAGAGCTCAGAGGAATGAGAGGCTGCTTCTAGCTGAAAACAAATAAACTCACAGGGGAGCTCTGATGCACAGACATCTTTGAAGCTGCAACTGGAAGGAGGAGTAGGATTTTGTCAAGTGGAAATGGAATATGGGTAAAGAAAAATATTCCAGCTCAAGGAATCATCCTTATTAAAGGAAAGGTCTTAAGGATGAAGACAGCAACAAAAGCACAGGGCATGTGATGAGGATTTATAAGGGAGAAGAATAGAAACATAACTTGAGATCAAACTATGGAAACTTTAAATGCTAGCCAAAAAAGTTTGGATACGATTGAGTAATAGAAAGCTGATTAATTAGATAAGTAGGTTTGAACTATATTTTAATAGTGTAAGAACAGCATGTAGGGGATGGGTTGCGAGGGGACAAATGCATGGACGTATGAAATTCTTCATTAGTTTGAGAGACAAGAAATGAAGGTTTGAACCAAGGCAATATCCACAGAATGAAAAGGAAGGAATAGAAACGAGAAATGAGGATTGGGAGCCAATTAGATGAAAGGTTGTAACGAAGAAGGAGGAAGAGAAGATAGTACCAAAGTTTTGAGCATGAGAGACTAAGAGAAGGGCACACAAAAATAATAAAATCAGAAGTGGGTGCAGTTTTGCTGACCCAAGGAATTCTATTTATAGCATATTGAGTTCTGAGGGAGACAGCTAGGAAACCGTCATAAAAAATCAGGTCTGAAGTTCAGAAATGTAGAGATGACATCTGAAATGGAGGGTGTGAATGAACCTGGTCCAAGGGATCATAGAGACAGAGCAGATGAGGACGAAGGCTAGAAGCTGGGAAATACCTGCACTTATAGAATAAAGTATGAGGTCAGCAAAAGAAGAGTAAAGGGCCAGAGGTGGCTCACGCCTGTAATCACAGCAATTTGGGAGGCTCAGGTGGGAGGATCGCTTGAGTCCAGGAGTTCAAGACCAAGCCTAGGCAACAAAGTGAGACTCTGTCTCACAAATAATTTCTTCAAAAAATTAGCCGGGTGTGGCAGTGTGAGTCTGTGGTCTCAGCTGCCCGACAGGCTGAAGCAGGAGGATTGCCTGAGCCCAGGAGGTTGAGGTTGCAGTAAGCTGTGATCGTGCCACTGCACTCCACCCTCGGTGAGAGATTGAGGCCCTGCCTCAAAGATAAAATAAAATAAAATAAAAAGAGAGAGAAGAGTTAAGGAAAGAAAACCAATCATAGAATCTCAAGGTTAAGCAGGATCTAAAAGGAACCAAAAAGGCATCATAGAAGCAAAGACAGGAGAAGATTTCATGAAGAACGAAGAGTACATCAAGAAGAACCAGGAGGCTATGGTGTTTGCAGCTTCTGGAGGGAGGGGCTGCTGTGGTTAACTGGCATAACTAACCCTGACTCTCCTGGCTTTCCCTCCCAGCCTGGTGCAGTGAGCAGGATGTCATAGTCAGCGGGGCTGAGGGGAAGCTGCACTTCCCAGAAAGCCTCCACCTATATTATGAGAGCAAGCAGTGAGTAACCCCCTTTGTACTCCTCCTCCTTACTCCCACCTCCGGTCTGGGCCCACCAATTGGACTGTGATAGTCGTTTTCTGTCTAGAAATAACGCCCTCTCCATGATCTGCCTACAGACGGTGTGTCTGGACCCTGCTGGTACCAGAGGAAATGCATGTGTTGCTCAGTTTTTCCCACCTAGATGTTGAGTCTTGTCACCACAGTTACCTGTCAATGTATTCTTTAGAAGACAGACCCATTGGTGAGTGGATTTTCACAGTGTCAAATGGAAACCAGTGCCAAGTGGGCTTAATGAGGCCTAGTTATCTTATGTCTGGCACTCAGCCATCTGTAAATGCCACACTTCTTGACTTCCGCTTTGAGACTCAGAATTGGGAGTGGGAAGGAACCAAATCTGAGCCTGGGTGATGGCTGCAAGGTCACAGGGCAATTTACTTGCCAAATCTGCTTCCCATCAAACCAGGCTTCCTAGGCCCATTTGCCAGACCTGGTGTCCATGAGGAATAAACTCTAGATATATTCCAGGGCCTCTCAGGATGTCCAGACAGCTCACTGCTTTCCTAGCTGTGAAAATGACCTTTCCCTGCCTCATCAAGCTAAGAAGGAAAATACAAATAGACAACCATGAGAAGGAGACAGGTTACTTACAAGAAACAGAAATGGAATGGTGTTTCTGTGGTTTCTCAGCTGGAGGTGATTTTGTACCCCCAACCCTCAGGACACATTTGGCAATGAATGAGAAGCATTTTTCAGTTGTCACAAGGGCAGGAATTGTCACTGGTAGAGGCCAGAAATGCTACCAAATATCCTACAAAAGATGCAGGATGGCAAGAACACAAAGAAGGTTCTGGCTCAAAATGTCAATTGTGACAAGACTGAGAAACTTTGGATTGGACAATCCTGAAATATCATGGCAAATTCAGTTCTTCTTAAATCATTGAATGGGAACTATTTTCTAGATTCTGAACAAAGAATCCTTTTTTCTCATCCTGCAGGAAAATTTTGTGGAGAAAGCCTCCCTTCATCCATTCTTATTGGCTCTAATTCTCTAAGGCTGAAATTCGTCTCTGATGCCACAGATAATGCAGCTGGGTTTAATCTTACCTATAAAGCTCTTAAACCAAACTACATTCCTGGTAAAACCATTTACTTTTAATCACATACTATCTCCACCTTCTGTAGAAGCTTAGGCCCCATAGGAATTAGGTGAGTGGCAGGGATCCCTCTCCCAAGGCCCAACTGACTCCACATGGGAGAGGGGCACAGGCCAACTAGAGAACAGGGGGCAGTCTCCCCCTCAACCCTGAGTTCACCCTGCTAGCTCGTAGTGATTGCCCCTCCAAGTGAGTCGAGAGGGCCTGATGAGTTCTGGAGAATCATGCACTACGTCTTTTCTTGTTCGCAGTGTCTGAAAATGCAATTGATATGCATCATTTTCAGGAGACAGGAGGGAGAGCAGTGAGAATTCTTCTTTATTTGAATGGTGCCATCTGTTTGGACTTTTTCTTACGTTTCAGATTCAGGTTGCAGTTACTTAACTGTCCTTTTTGAAGAAGGTCTCATACAGAGTCTAAACTATCCTGAAAACTACAGTGACAAGGCTAACTGTGACTGGATTTTTCAAGCCTCCAAACATCACCTAATTAAGGTATTGACTTTGGCTGTCCTTACGTAGCTATGGTAAATTCACAGAATAGCTAACATAAGCACCATGAGGTCAGAGGTTTTATCTGATTTATTCACTGCTGTGTTTTCAGTACCTAGAACCCAGCACCTGACACACAAAGCTGTCAATAAATACTTGCTGAATAATGGATCCGCCCAGTTTCCCCTGCAACTACACATTTTTTCCACTAGATGGCACTGTGCTCCTTACTTTAAAAAAAAAAAAAAAAAAAAAAAGTGCCGCTTTAATCTTTGTATTGAATTAGCCGGGCGCGGTGGCGGGCGCCTGTAATCCCAGCTACTCGGGAGGCTGGAGAATTGCTTGAACCCGGGAGATGGAGGTTGCAATGAGCCGAGATCGCGCCACTGCACTCCAGCCTGGGCTACAAGAGCGAAACTCTCAAAACACAAAACAAAACAAAACAAAACAAAAACTTTGTGTTGGTGACTTTTAGTCCATTCCAGAAACAAGCATGTCTTCCTTATTTATTAAACTGCTCACAAAACACATTGTAAGTTATAGATAACAAAATCAAGGTCAATCAGGCCAAAATCATCAAGCCTTTCAAGCAGAGAGGACAGAGCAAGCCTAGAGGAACCAGCGCAGAACAGGCTCAGGGAATCGCTGGTTTAAGAGGGTCTTAAGGTGTCCTGGAGTGGACAGTGGAAGGCAAGGTGGAAGTCACTGTATGGAGGCCTTTGAACGCCTGGAAATGGAGTTTATTCCACATTTGATTAGCAGTGTGTGGTTAGTTGTTTGTTCATTAAACACTAATGGACCATCTGCAGAGAGATATCATCAGGGAGGTAGAAGTAGGACTGCAGTCAGGGTGAGATTGGAATGAGGCATTTTCTCATAGATCTTTCTTTTAAAATAATAATTGAAAACAAGACAGTGTACGATGGAGAGAAAAGAGAGCAGAAAATAAAGGGGAGAGGAGTGAGGGATGATGAGACACCAGCGTTCTCACTTAAGAGATGGAAAGAACTCTGAGATGTGGGAGGAGAACCAAATTGGTGTGTTTTTATGACAGCCTGGAGAATGCAGCCTTTAACTTAAAACACAAACAAAACCAAAGAAAAAGATGTGACCAATCATTTGGATACCACACTAAGTTAGAACTTAAAGAGATGAGAACTGAGGTGTCCAGTCCCCACCCCACACCTCCATAAAAAAGGGAGAATAATTAGATGGGAAATTGAACAATTGAGAGGAGTTGGGATTGGTGGTATCTGAAATATCACGTGAAGTCAGATGTTAATGGCAGAAACAAGATCACACAGGTTTTATGAATGAGTGGGAAAAGATGATACAGAGGCAGTTGGTATAGATTTCTTTCTAAAAGTTCATCAAACCTAAACAGATTTGGGGCAAAAATTTCAGCAGAATTAAGGAAAATTTGTTAGTGGTGGAGGATAAAATTTAGGTTGTGAGCATGTTTCCAGGTGGAGGAAGAAGAGGAAATTTAGTTGAAAATCTGAAAATGCCAGAGCCAGAAGTGATTGAAAAATATCTCTTCAATAAGTAAAGTTTGAGTGTCGTGCATCAGTGAAGCGATGCTCTCATACTCTGCCAGTGACAGCATCATTTTGCAGAACTCGTGTAAGATAGTAATTTGGAAACTGGTGTTAAAAGTCATAGGAATATGCTCACCATTTGACTTGGAGAGAAAAGGGCCCCTTCCCAGAAAGTATCCCAGTAAGGGTTTAATAAATGTTTGAATGAATCCTATTTCTGATACAGGTCCCCCTCCCCACGCCTACCTTTACCATTAGTAATTATTTGCCTCCAGTTTTGTTTTATCCACACAATCCTTTCTGTTTCTTGCTCAGAGTCTGGGTCCCATTGAATCCCCATCAACTGTGTGTTAAAATTAGAGTTCCTATTTCATCAGCCCTCTCTCCCACCACTCTTCACTTCAAATTCAATTGGCTAGTGCTCACCAAACTGCTCCAAGATCACTCTTTATTGTTTCTTTGTTTCTCCTTCACACTGTTCCTTCTATCTAGATAGTTCCCCTCCCTTTTCCTGAAACAAAACAAGTGCCCCATGCAGGGAATGATACAAGAGAAGAAAAAAAGTAAATGCCTAAAGATATTCACTGCCAAGTTTTTAAGATAGCAAAAAATACAGGTCTCAAGGATAGAGATAAATGAAATATTATGCTGCCAATAAGCATCACAATTATAGAAACTATGAGAAAAGGTTTGTCATGATTTATTCTTGGTGACCCTAGGTTGATTCCAGGTGATCAACTTTCTTTTCTAGGTCATTACTCATCATAGCTTAATAATCTACTCAAGAATTTTGCTGAGGTTTACATTTAAGCTTAGTATCCAAAATCAGCTCTCTCTAACTCATACAAGGATTTCCTTTTTCATGCACATTCATGAGGCTCACTACATTTGACTCCGAGCCCACTTATGCAAATGCTTTCAGTAGCTCAGATGATACTTTGTTTTATATCAGCAATTAGACTCACTTACATCTGTGCCTTCTCAGAATTTTGCAGTGAGGCATGGAAATATAGTGGCAACAGGACAAAGCAGGTGAGAAGAGGAGCCAGCTATATCCCGCTGGGTAGAAAGACACGGTCTCCAAGGGGCACAACAAATTTCAGTCTTGATTCAGGAGAACTAGAGGTTCAAGATGAAACATCAGGAACCAGGTGAACAACACTAAGATGTCCAGAGAAGCAGTTTTGTGTATATGCAATTAGTTGAGTTGAGTGCCTAGTTGCTTCCAAGGAAAAAAATCCCCATGCGGTAGCTCTCCTAATCTCTTAGAGATGTTAGGAAGCTAAAATATTTGCACAGTTTCCTGCCCTTTGATTCAGGCCATATTTGGTAGCTATTTCAAAAAGTTAGAGCCTGTGATATAGAATCCTTCCCTTGGTAATCTGACCCACTCCTGAATACCCCATTAACTTTCTTATCTAAGGTCTTACTCCAGAACAAGTTGAGCAATCCAAATTTCTCTGCTGAATCAAAGTCAGGTAATTCATTCAGATTGTTTACTCTGGATGTAACTTCGTGTCTTCTCAGCTTTCATTTCAGAGTCTGGAAATAGAAGAAAGTGGAGACTGCACTTCCGACTATGTGACAGTGCACAGCGATGTAGAAAGGAAGAAGGAAATAGGTTTGTGTCCTCTGAGCCTCAGCTCGCTCTGGTTTGTGTTTGGACCCAGTCTTGAGATGGGAACGAAAAGGAGACAGATCAATCTTCCTCCATCTTCCTGCACCACCTCCACCCCTCCCTGTGGTCTCACCATCACTCCTTTGTCTTCTTCATTAGGGGCAGGAAGAGAAAAAGGGAGAATCAAAGAACCACTGAAACAGAAATGCAAAAGGCCCATGAGGAAACTAGGAGTCAGAAAGGGAAAGTTCCATTGAAACAAGTCCTGAGGCTAGAACCAGTTCCCTTAACATCATTGTGTGTGGGAGTGTTCAGGAGAGAAAACCAAATTGAAATGTCATGGGGTTAATTAAGGAGTGAGCTGCCTTTATTTAGAAAATGAATTGTGAAAAGCGTATTTCTCAACAATTACCTGAAGGATGATTTTCTTTTTTTCTTCTCTCCAATGCCATGGCTATCTGCTGGGTGCTTGACAATGTCATGCCTGGGCTGGCCTTCAACAAGCTCGGCTGTGTGGCTATGATGTCCCCACCCCTGTGCTGAGCCCCTCCAGCATCATGCTCATCAGCTTCCAATCAGATGAAAACGGGACCTGCAGGGGCTTTCAGGCTACAGTCTCCTTCATTCCTAAAGCAGGTAAGAAGATAGAGTTACCAACTCTTTGGTTCCCAGTTCTAATCCTTGTGATGTGAATTAGAGGTCTTTAGAGCCCAACACAGAGACAGTCGATTCTCACTATCTGCAGTAATTACATCCTATCAAGTCACCATGGACACTGAATAAGAGAATACTCAGCCATCCCTCCTAGGAAATGTACAAGGTTAGGTGCCTTCAAGGTACATTTTCATCAGCTGATCAGTACATAAACTTGTTTTATGTGTGTTTCTGTTTAAAGATATGTTATTTAATATATATTGCTGGTTCATTACAATGAATTCACGGCCATTAAATTCATGGCCAACAGCACTATGACTCATGTCTGAACAAAGCTTATCTAACACGTGTGTTTTCTATGTGAGGCACACCACAGAGTTTTGCACTTAGGAACACTAGACGGCACTTCAGCACTATGCTTGGGGCCATTTTAAAGGTTGAGGTCACCAATAAAAAGAACAGAAATGAAAAAAAAGTGCCACTAAATAGACCATGAAAAGGACATTTGTTTATAGGATGACGGCTGAAGCAAGAAGGCAAAATATTGCCTTGTTTTACCTCGTGTGGAAACGTGTGTCTAACAACATGTATTTTTTGTCACTCTTCACATGCCTATGAATGATCCTGAGGACAACATGAGTATCACTTTTGGAGCTATAAATAATTTTTAGTGAGTAGGTGAATTCACGTATAGGGAGTTCACAAAGAACGAGTGACTGTATGTCTGAATCCTGATGGCCAATCATTACTAGATGTGTAATCTTAAGAGTCACCTCAGACTCATTTTTTTCAACCCTACTAAGGGAAAACAATGCATCCCTAATAAGAATGTAGTGAGGATTAAATCAGATAAGATACACTTGGCCACAAGCAAGTGTGCAGTACATAACAGAGACATAGAAACATGAAATATCTTCACCAGTTCCAGGCCCTGGACATTCGAACTACCTAACCAGCTTCCTTACACATTCTCATACCCATGATTCTTCTTTCCAAACCCCACAAAGCCAATTATCTGCTTTCCAAGTTGTTCATTCTTTTTAGGTATTAAGCAGCTGCAGATGGCAAAGCCAGGTTATAGTTAAAATGCCCCACTCCTCATTTGAAATACCTATAGAGTCTAGCTGGCTGAGGTGCCCCAGAATTCTAACAATAGCTTCATAAATCATTTTCTGATAAATCTCCAACCCTGGCTGTCTTTGTGGAAACTGAGTAATTGTATCATACTTATACCCAGTATACCCAGATTTAAACATCTCCATATCAGAGGATGAATCAATGTTTCTGGAGACATGAGATGTGCCAAATGGAGAAACCAATGTTTCTGGTAAGCTGTTTTGGGGACCAATTGATACACACAGAGTATAATCCAGGGTTCAACCGGAGAAGCAGGTGATATGGATTTAATTCCATCTTCCTCCAAAATATACTAGAGTCCTAACCTCCAGTACCCCAGAATGTGACCTTATTTAGAGATAGGGTTGTTACAGAGTTAATCAGTTAAAATGAGGTTATTAGCCTGGGCCCTAATCCAGTATGACTAGTGTCCTTATTAAAAGGAGAAAATTGGAAGCAGAGAGACATACACACACAGGGAGAATATCGTGTAATGATGAAGGCAGAGGTTGGGGCAATACATTATCTACAGGCCAAGGGGCACCAGTGACTGTCAGTAAACCACCAGAAGCTAGAGGAGAGGCTTGGGGCAGACTCCTCGTCACAGCCCTCAGACAGAGCCATCCCTGCTGACACGTTGATCTTGGACTTCTAGCCTCCAGAACTATGAGACAATAAATTTCTGTTGTTCTAAGCCACCTAGTTTGTGGTACTTTGTCATGGCAACCCTAGCAAACGGATACACCAGAATTGGCTTACACAATTGTGGGGGCTGACTAAGCAGGTAAATCTACAGGCCAGGTGCTCAGAAAGGGAAAATCATAGAAACACCGGAATCCACAGCATGGGCTGAAGTTGTTCCTCACAGGCAGAATTTCTTCTCTCTTTTGGGGAAGCCTCAGCCCTGCTTTTAAGGGCCTTCAAACTAATCAAGTCAGGTTCACCCAGATTATTCAAGATGATCTTCTTTACCTAGAGTCAAATGATTAGGAATTTTAATTACTGCTGCAAAATTTCTTTACAGCAACAATTAGATTAGTGTCTGATTTAATAACTGTGGATTGTCACCTAGCTAAGCTGACATATCAAAAAAGCCATCACATGGAGCTTCATGGGATGTGGTCACTGTTCCTTTTGCTCAAAGCAACACTGGAATATTTCCAGTCACCAGAATAAATTCTCATCTCGAGTGAATAATTCAGTGGCAATGACTACTTTCTGTGCCAAATTGTGGTCTCATTCACAAGATCCCACCTCTGAAAAATAGCAAGTATACTACTATGTTCTAGTGCCAATGAGCATTGAGAAGTTCTGGGCTTTCCCTGTTCCTTGTTTGTCCATGACATCCATTGGCATATATAAGTGACATCTTGTTCCATGTGGAAAATACAGTGGTGAGGAGAGCAGGCAGAAGATGAGGTGGGGAAACTTTTATAGTTTGCCATTTTGCCATTTTGATTTATCAGGAGAAAAGTCAAATCCTTTATTTTTTATTTTTATTTTTATAAATTTTCGGACACATAGGACACAGAATAATAGAGAGAGTCGGGAATGAAAATTCATTTTCATAAGAAGGGATGAAAGCAGTTGGGGTCTCTTTGTTCTGGCTTCTTTGACAATGACCTCATGATGCAAAGAAGCCCCGGGTGGAAAAATTTTTGTAAAGTGTGGCTGCAGTGATTCCTTCTCTCGGCCACCAGGGGGTACATTCAGCAAAGCCATTGCCAAGCACAATATTTCCAAAGACCAAAAAAGAGAATATCATAGCAGTAGCACATTTGAGGAGGGTGTGAGAGGTTGAAGATGAATTTAATGTGTGCCTGTCAATTTACCTGTGGGATATCCAGCTGCAGATGTCCAGGAATTAAGAATCAAGCCTGGGATGGGGTGGTCTGGGAGGTAGCAGATAAAGGTGAGAGTTGCAACCCAAAAGAAGCCTATTTTTAGAGGAAAAAGAGAAAAGGGAAGACCAAAGAAAAAGGCTGAAAGGAGCCAGGCATAAGGGGAGGAGGAGAACCAGGACAGACATGGGAGCTGTGGAGAGAGAGATTAGGTTTTGCTGTGGACTGAATGTTTGCGCTCCCACCAAATTCATGTGTTGAAGCTTAATCTCCATTGTGATGATATTTGGAGTGGGTCCTTGGGGAGATAATTAGGTTCTGAGGGTGGAGCCCTCATCGATGGGATTAGTACCTTTATAAGAAGAGACGCACAAGAGCTTGCTTCCTCTCTTTCTACTCTCCCCTTTGTGAGGATAAAACAAGAAGACAGACATCTGCAAACCAGGAAGGGGGCCCTCACCAGACACTGGATCTGCCAATACCCTGATCTTGGACTTGGCAGTCTCCAGAACTTTGTGAAATAAATTTCTTGTTTAAATCACCCAGTCAATGGTATATTTGTTATATCAGCCCAAGCAAAGACAGGGGAAAGAGGTGTCAATGATGAAAAATGCTGGACAGAATCTAGTAACATAACAATGGGAAAAGAGGCCTTTGGATTTGGCCACTGGGATGTTGTAGGTAACCTCAGTGAGTCAGAATTCCACAGTCTGATTGCTAAAGATAGAGAGTGAATGGGAGGTGAGAAAGAGGCTCCCTGGAGGTAGATTTCACTTTCATAAAGAAAGGTCCCCAAGTGTTGTTCTGAGCCTCTGGCCTCTGTTGCCTGAAGCTCTCAGGCTTCAGGAGTCATAGAGTCATAGAAGCAGTTCCGATACACTAGCATAATCCCAGTAAGAATTTATTTCTCAGCCTTAGCCTTCAATTTTCTCAAAATTATGTCTTAGGCTTTATTATTATTATTATTATTATTATTATTATTATTTCCACAGCCATCACTTCTTATAAATAATGTTTTGGGTAACATCATATTTTTTTGACAATTTGCGCAGAAATATCACATACCTTTTAAGCTACATGGTGGAATCACCTTTCTTTTCATCTGTATGAATAACATGCCCTGAAATATATCCCCTGAAAATATATTCTTTTTTTTTGCGGGGTTGGGGTCCGGGGGTGGATCTTTATGAACTTAACAACAGAGATTCCTTGCCTTTAAGGTAGAAAGAAGTCCAAAAAACTATAGCAGCTTAGAATCCCCACCTTTGCATCAGAAGCATGCCAGGAGTATGGTATGTTTCTCTCCAGGAATTCTAAGGAGTGCAGCAGATGCGGGCAACGATTCCTGCTGGGTGAGCTCTCCAGCTGCCATCTTTCTGCTCTCCACAGGACACTTGGGGGCTGGGAGTGTCACTTTGTGGTTTGATGAAACAGCCTCTGGGTGAAGCTGCTGTGACAACTTATTTAAAATCTTCAGGATGCTCAGGGATACACTATAGACAATTTTAAGAACTTTCTTTTCAGAATTGAATGGTCTGTTCTAAAAAAAGCTTTCTGTGAATTTTCAGAAATGTTCTACTCTCTGATACGAAGTAAGGGAAAGGGCTCTCCTTTCTTAGTTTCAGGATTTTGATTTCCTTTCTTCCTGCAGATTCTTTATAGATTGGGATCAGGCTCAGTATAGACAAATTAATTTGTGAGAATGAGAATGAGTGCTTCTTTTTCTCTGTTGTTTTTAATAATTTTAAAAATGTGTATTTAACAACAAATGTCTGTCGTTTTTAATAATTTAAAATAGGTAGTACTTGCTTGTTCATCATGAGAGAATGGCAGCTAACATACATTAAGCGATAATTACTGTTATGGGTACTCTACACTCATTTTTAAATCAAAACTTATGTAAGATTGATAATAGCATTAATGTACAATCCATTATATGCTGGGCTTCATTCTAAACGTTGCATATGAATTAACTCATAAAATCATCTTATGACCCTAAGAGGTAAGAATCATCGTCATCATCATACCCATTTTAAAGATGGAGAAACCAAGACCTGGAAATGTTCAGTAATAGTCCCCAGCCAGATCATTTGTAAACTGGTGGAGCAGGACTTCATACCTCAGCAACCTTCTACCAGAGTTCGGCACAGTGCTGTGCTACCTCTCAGGTGGGTATATTCGGTGTAAGTATCTCCAATATACAAATGATAAATCTGAATATAAGACTGATTCAGCCACACAAAGAGGATCCACAGTTGAGCTCTATCTGAAAAATCCTGTTAGCAGGTAGATTTCAAATTCAGTTCAAGCCAGAGAATTTTTTTTTTCAATGACAACCTGGCCTTTGGATCTGTTTTCCGCTCCTAAAACACTAGAATCCAGCAAGATACCTGGGGTTTTCCTTCTTCATCCACACTGAGTATAATCTGAAAAACAGTTCTGGAAAGTAAAGAAGTAATCAACAAGTAATTACTGAACACCTGTGACATGCCTAGCTGAGCTAGATAGGTACAAGAGAAGGTAGAGATGTGCCCTTGCCTTCAAGGGCATCCCAGCTTCATTGAAGACACAAGATAAAGATATCCTGCAATAATTAGGGAATAGTGTAACATAGAGTATGGGCAAGGGCAGGAGCTGTGGCTGGACACCGACCGGGTGGGAGCTATTCAAGAGCAAGTGGAAACATCAAATTAGAGTTATCTGAGAAAGCTGCCTGGAGAGAGAAGGATTGGGTCTGGAAGACAACCTAAGGAAAATTTTCTAAAAATATGTTTGGTGGATGTATCTGTTAATATTTAAGAAACTCATTATGCAAGGTAAACACTTTTCCTAGGTGTGGAAGGTATCCTGAGTTTCCTGGGGCCTCCTCAGCAGGTGGGTAGAAATAGAATTGCCTTAATAACACCCAAGTTCCACTTATTCATGTGCCCACCTGTCATGAAGGGTCTCAGCTCTTGCAAAATGCCCTTCCAATGTCCTGTAGCCCTCATGGGTTATCTCACGTAGTTCGGTACAAGTCTGCTCCCATAGGCGGTGTGGTTTTTCTCCCTCCCATTCTGTGCCTACCAGGAGCAGCATGTCCCTGCTCAGCCTCCAGCCCTCCTGGGGGACCCTGCCACTCGACTTCTCTGTGTGCCCCCACTCTCCTACCAGCTCCTCCACCAAGTCACTGGAAACCCAGGGGTGTCAAGACTCTCATGTTTCTTGGTCAAGTGAGAAAGAATGCCTCTCTGCTTTGTGTTACCCTCCATGAGAATTTCTTGAGTCCCAGTGTTTAAAGCAGACTTTAATGAAACTATTTTTTCAGTTTTGACTTAAGGACCTCACTCTTGCTTTCCTTAAGATAAGTCTGGCAGGCTCAAGAGAGAGAGACAAATGCAAGAGACAGACACCACGATGTTCTCAGAATTTCCCCCTTAAGATGCTAAGATTTCATTGTCTTCCCAGACTCTCTGTGCCTGGATTACTGTTCCCTCAACCTAAGTTCCTCCTCAGGAAGCTCCTCAGCACTAGGCAAATAGACTTTCGCTGATTCCATCCCACCAGTTCATACATCACTGGATATGTCTGAAATCTGCTTAGACTAAAACTGAGACTGCCTATCACACAAGAGAATTAACTATATCTTATATATAGACCATACACCTCATTTGTTGGGGCTAATTTGTAGTTACACTTAAGATTCTAGGAACAAAACGAAAAAAATGTGCTCTAATATAGCTTACTGAAGCTGGATTTAAGAACCGTAATACACACACACACACACACACACACACACACACACACATATGTATGTATGTGTGTGTATATATATATATATATAGGTTTGAGGGCAGGCAGCTGGCATCCCAGGCAGAGAGTCCCAAGGTGCTTTTCAGGGTCCAGGTCCTCAGCTCTGTTGGCCCAGAAACTCAACTGTGTCAAGATGCTCACAGGGACGAGGCTCACAAGAAATGAGTTCCCGACTCAACAAGAGGCTATGCAAACACAAAGTCTGGTGTGTGAATGTGTGAGAAAGGCTATTGCTTTCCAGTGAATGGAATATATGTGGCATGAGATCCATACCTCCACTTCTAACTTCTGCTGACAAACTTTTTTGATGGTCAAGAAAGGTCAGGCATTATCCTCAAGGACATCTCATCCAGGTATCCAGGTATAGAACAGGTCTGCTGACAAAGGATTCTGCAGTAAGAAAAATAGACAACAGTCTAGTGGGGATGGGGAAGCAGATAATAAGCAAAGAAGTAATATATATAATATATATTTTAATATTTTATATACATATATATATATAAAATGCCAGATGGCAATAAATGATACTGAGAAAAATAAAGCAGGAATAGGGGATAGTGAATGCTGGTGAGCAGGGTATTGCAATTGTAAAAAAAAGTATGGTCAGAGAAGAGCTGATAAAGAGACATCTGAGAAAAGGCCTGAAGGAGTTGAAGGCAAAGGCTATGCAGATAATAAGGGTTAGAGAATTCCAGGCACAAGGAATGAAAGGCAAGTACGAAAGACCTGAGGTAAGAGCATGCCTGATATATACGAAAGCCAGCCAGGAGGTCAGTTATGTCTGGAGAGTCATGAGCATGGGGATATCAGAGAAGGTAGGTGGGAGGACAGCTTGTGTAGGATGTTATGGGCTAAGGTAAAAACATTGGCTTTTACTCTAAGTGGAATGGGATGACATCAAATGGAGTAACAGGACCTGAAATCATTGTAACAAGATCACTCTTTCTATTGTATTGAAATTAGACTGCAGGAGAGGGAAAGGGAGGAAGCAGAGAGATCAGTTAGGAGACTATTGCAATAATCAAGGTAAGATATTAAGATCTGAATGCTAGCAGTGGAAGTGGTAAGTCAGATTCTGGACGTATTTTCAAGAAAAAACCAACAGGATCCCCTGATATATTGGATATGAGGTGTGAAAGAGAGATGTCAAAGGTGACCATGGGGCTTTTGGCCTGATCAACTGGAAGTAAGATATAGACCAAGGTATCAGAATTTGGGGTCGGGGCGGGGAGCGGTAGATACCAGGAGTTAGTATTTGATCATGCCAAGTTTGATTTGCCTATTCATTTAAAAGGATATGTCAAGTGGGCAGTTGGATATATGAATGTGGAGTTCAGAGGACTGACCCAGCCTGGATATGAAAACTTCAAAACTATCAGCATATTGTTGATATATGAACCCAGGATGCAGGACAAAATCACCAAAGGAGGTGTCTGTGATTTGAGCCCTGGGGCACTCCAACATTTCCAGGGGTTGGAAATGAGGAGCATTGACTGAGAATTGACCATTACATTAAATTTAGCAATGTGAGGATATTGGTGATTGCAACATGGTGGTTTCAAAGGAGTGGTGAGAGTAAAAGCTTTTTGGAGTAGACTTTAGACAGAATGTGATGGGAAAAAATAGAGATTGCAAGTGTAGACAATTCTTTCAAGGAATCTTGTCGTAACTAGGAATGTGGAAGGGTGTTAGCACCTAGATGGGGATAAGGAAGTCAAGAGAAGGTATTTTGTCATTTAAAACATGGCAGAAATTACAGCACATATGTCTATTAATAGGAATTATCAAATGGAGAGAAGGAACTGATCATAAGGAGCAAAGAGAAAACTGCTGGGGCAATGTTCTTGAGCATTGGAGAGGAAAAGAGAGCTAGGACACAAAAGGAGCATTTAGTCAGGTGGGAACAGTAACTGGAGGAAATGCAGAGGAAAAATGTATGTTTTCTACATCTCTATACTTTCTCAATTTTCTTCCACTGGCTCTTAATCAAACTGCAGGCTGTGCAAAGCTGACAGCTCAATACCAATGACCCAGTCATAGCCCTTCCTCCAAAAGCATCACTTAACATCTCCAGGCCTCAGCTTTACCAGCTGAAAATGGGGAGCTTCTTTCAATTTGAAATCAGAAATTTAAATTTGCATGGCATTAAAACAAAAGTGTTATTTATGCATTTGCTGGCCCACAGGTTGCTGTGGTGTAGGGGAAGAACACTAGGCTGGATTTAGGAACATGGGCTTATGTCCCAGCTTTGCTACTGTCCAGCGATGTGATGTTGGAGAAGGCAGAGAATCTTTCCGAGATTTTTTCTTCTCCAAACTAAATTGTTTGTAAAAAGATTATAACAATTTCAGAATGATGTTTCATTGTAATGCTTTATAAACTATATAGCTCTATGAAAATGAAGGTTTTAGAATAACGCTCAGAATGGAGACTTTAGCCCAATTTGCTCTATTTTCACTTGTTTTGCTTTTTAAAACAGAAATTGTCATCACAAACAAAACTCTTCTCTGAAAAGCTCCTGTTTTTGCCCCCATAAAAGAAAAGGAAGCAGAGGCTGGGGCAAATTTGTGAAAAACCAAAGTCCTGGTCATGTTTAAGTAGGAGTCTGGAATGCGTCCCTTCATTTTTCTTTTTTTTTTTTTTTTTTTGGACATTTCCCCCTTCTCCCCGTCCTGGAAGCCAGCTTTTCTCCTATTACAAATCTGAAGCGCCCATCCCCAGGCTTGTCCATGCAGGTGGAATTCTCCACTGGAAACTGCCTCACTTACTCCTGGTTGTCTCCACAGCCCAAGCTGTGAACTCACAAGCAATTCCTTCTGGAGGCTCTAACCCAGCCCCTACCACAACAGATGCCGTTTATAAAGAGTTGAAGCAACTGCTGTAAATATTGGTGAAGTAATTGACTAGTATCATTAACACAGCTCTGTACACATAGCTGGGTGTGGAAGGTTCTACAGGAATAGGACCCTGCAAGCGGTTCTGTTGACTCTTCCCAACCACACTATTTCTAGCAAATTCTGACCACTCCAGGTGTCTCAAGACTCTTGCCTTTATACAGTCTATCATGCCCATGTTAGCCCCACGTTGCCAGGAGTGCACAAGGTTTTCCATGGGCACATTTATGTTGCATAAGTAATGGTTGAAGATATTCCAGAAAGCAAAATATTGCCATTGCTTTATACCTGTCTATAGTGCTTCTTAGAGAATTCTGAACAGGTAGCATTAACATATTTTAGTCTAAAATCCTTGAAAAGGGAAGCTAATGAAACTGATTTAAGAAATATTCTGCATTGGTCAGCATTGAGTGTCTGAGTGGGCTGGGTGCTCCATCAGTGGTCCCTAATGAAGCTCAGCCCAGTCAACTGTACTAGTCCTCCGAGCCTCTTTGTTCAGGATGACATTTTAGCAAAATGCACAAAGGATGGGCCAGCGCCAGGGTGAAGAGGAAGAGATGGAGTGGGTGGTCTGCTTACAAGCTCTGGCAGAGACAATGAGCTGAAGATGTGACTGGGTAGCAGGGGGCACATTGGAAAAGAGGCCCACAATCAAAGCAATGAGAACATCAGAACAGGGGGCTCCTCCCTTGGGGGACTTCTGAGCCAAGCCCTAGGAAATTTTTTAATAGAGTAAATTCAAGTATAAATAAATAAGCCCTCTGAGACAAAAACAATCATTCATTTATTGTATTAGTTTCCTATTGCTGCTGTAACAAATTACTACAAATTTAGTGGCTTAAAACAACACACATCTATTCTATTACAGTTCTGGAAGCAAGAAGTATGAAATAGTTTCACAGGGCTAAAGTCAATGTGTCAACAGGGCTGATTCTTTCTGGAGGCTCTGAGGGGAAAATCCATTTCTTTGCCTTTTAGCCTCTAGTGGTTGCCTGTATCCCTTGGCAGGTGGCCCCTCCCCCCATCTTCAAAGTTCATTCTGCCAATCAGTCGCTGCTTCTGTTATGGCACTGCCTTCTCTTCTGACTCTCTTCTACTGTGACTCTCTTATAAAGACCCTTGTGATCACATCAGGCCCACCCGGATAATTGAGGAGAGCCTCTCTGTCTCAAGATCTTTAAATTAATTGCAGTTTGAGAGTCAGAAAAAAAAAAGTGTTTGTCCTGTTCTTTCCCTCAATGATCAACACTTCTGTGACCCTAGATTTGTGGAAATTTTTCCCCACGCACCAGGTGAGCAATTCTCCAGTAGACACTGGCTGACTGTCCTCTAATTCAATTCATTTCTGACATTGTCTACTGGAAGTAGCCTAAGAGACCACACATTGAGGGCTCAGTCCCTAAGACTGCCACCCACCTCGGATGCCAGTCTCAAGGCTGGGCTTCCAGAATTTCTGACTGATTGGCTATGAAGTGGGGTTCCCATGACTCCCTCCTCAGATTAGATTAATTTGCTGGAGTTGCTCATATAATTCAGGGAATCATGTTAGTTATGTTGATCATTTTCTAATAAAGCATATTCCGAAGAACACAGTCGAACAGCCAGATGGAAGAGATTCACAGAGCAAGGCATATGGGAAGGGTCACGGAGCTCCCATGCCTTCTCCCGGCACACTGTGCCCTAGGGACCTCCACGTGTTCAGCTATCCAGAAGCTCCCTGAACTCAGCCCTTTGAGGTATTTATGGAAGCTTTGTTATGAGGCATAATTGATTAAATTATTGACCATTGGTGGGCAATTCATCTTTCAGTCCCTTTCCCCTCCCTGGAGGTTGGAGAGTGGGATGCTGAAGGTTCCATCCAACTTTCTGTATTAGTCTATTTTCATACTGCTACAAAGAACATCCCTGAGACTGACTGGATAATTTATAAAGGAAAGAGGTTTAATTGACTCACAGTTTTGCATGTCTGGGGAGGCCTCAGGAAACTTACAATCATGTCAGAGGGTGAAGGGGAAGCAAGCACCTTCTTCATAAGGCACCAGGAGAGAGAGAATGAGGGAGGAACTTCCAAACACCTATGAAACCATCAGATCTGGTGAGAACTCACTCACTATTATGAGAACAGCATGGGGAAACTGCCCCCCAATCCAATCACCAACCTCCCTGTTTCCCTCTACACATGGGGATTATAATTCAAGATGAAATTTGGGTGGGGATACAGACCTAAACCATATCACCCTCTAAACATGGGGTTGGTTTCCTTGGCAACCAGCACCCATCAGGAGGCTATTCAGGAGCCCCCAACAATCAGTCAACTCATTATCATACAAAAAGATCCATATCACTTGGGAGATTCCAAGGATTTTAGTTGTTGTATGCCAGGAAACTGGGAGGAAGACCAAATATATATTTCACAATATCATGCACAGCTACAAAGTCCCTTTTGTCATAAAAGGTAGCATTCATAGGTTGTGGGCATATCTGGGGTGCCATTATTCAGTCTACCCCAATTTAGGCTTAACAGCTAGGACCTAAGAAATGGTCATTTATATAGAGGATAAAATGGAAATAAATTATTTTCAAGATTAAACACTTAATGAAAAGTTCACAGCTGCCTGGAAACTGTTTTGAGAGCAAACATTCATTTAAAAAAAATGTTTGCCTTTTATTTTAGATCCAGAGGGTGCATGCACAGGTTTGTTCCATGCATATTACTGCACGATGCTGAGGTTTGGAGTACAAATGATCGCGTGACCCAGGTAATGAGAATATTAGCCAATAAGTAGTTTTTCAGTCCATGCCTCCTTCCCTTCCTCTCCCTTCTAGCAGTCCCCAGTGGCTACTGCTCCCATCTTTATGTCCATGTGTGCTCAATGCTTAGCTCCCACTTATAAGTGAGAACATGCGGCATTAAGTTTTCTGTTTCTGTGTTAATTCACTTAGGATAATGGCCTCCAGCTGCACCCACATTGCTGCAAAGAATATGATTTTGGTTTCTTATGGCTATGTAGTATTCCATGGTGTATCTGTACCACATTTTCTTTTTCCATTCCACCACTGATGGGCACCTAAGTGGATTCCATGTCTTTGCTATTCCGAACAGTGCTTTGATGAACATGTAAGTGCATGTGTTTTTTTGGTAGAGTGATTTATTTGCCTTTGGGGATATATCCAGTAATGGGATTGCTGGGTCAAATTGTAGTTCTGTTTTCAGTTCTTTGAGAAATCTCCAAACTGCTCTCCACAGTGGCTGAGCTAATTTACATTCCCACCAACAGAGTATAAGCGTTCTCTTTTATCCACAGCCTCACCAACATCTGTTATTTTTTGACTTTTTAATAATAGCCATTCTGATTGGTGCAAGACGGTATCTCATTGTGGTTTTTATTTGCATTCCTCTGATGATTAGTGATGTGGAGCATTTTTCCATATGGCAAACACTCATTGACCAATGACTTGGGCAGGACATCAGTTCCCTCCAGAGGTACTCAGCAATGAAGGAGGCCTCGTTCCTGCACAGGAAGAGCTGAATCTTGTGGGGTGGAGTCTCACAGATGTTCAAACAGTGACAACAGAGGTTCATCTTGTTTTGTTTTTTTTTCCTCAGCAAACGCTTGTTGAGAGCCTACCCTTGCCAGGCCCTATTATCAAGCTGGGGATTTACAGACATGAGACTTGTGCTCATGGTTTATTTCAGGGGATTAGTAGAAAATGAGCCAAAATCCAGGCAGCACATGAGCATGTGAGGGACACATTTACAGTGTTTACGAGTTAGGAGAAGAGAGGCGAATCACTGCCCTTTCAAGATTACTGGGAGCCCAGAAAAATGCCTTTTATCCTGCTCCAAGAATGAATAAAGAGAATGTGCTTGCTATCTGCCTCTCTAATAACACAGAGGGAACAGGCAGAGAAAATGAGAGGGAAGAATGAAGGGTAGAAACAAACTACTAAGAAAACCACAGGAAAAGGTGAGGTGCCTCCGGATTTCAAAGCTACAAGTAAAAGCTTTTGACAGAGTCCAAGGGGGAAAACAATGTTTGTTCATTCATTCATACATACATGCAATAAGTATTTATTGAGCATCTACCAATTGCCAGACACTGTTCTAGGGATATAGCAGTAGTTAAAACAGACAAAGTAACTCCTATCCTCATGAAGCTTACGATACGGTTTGGCTGTGTCCTCATCCGAATTTCAACTTGAATTGTAGTTCCCATAATCTCCATATATTGTGGGAGGGACCCAGTGGGAGGTGGTTGAATCATGAATCATGAGGGCAATTCCCCTCAGGCTGTTGTGATAGTGAGTGAGCTCTTACAAGATCTGATGGTTTTATAAGGGGCTTTTCCCCTTTTGCTCAGCACTTCTCTTTCCTGCTGCCATGTGAAGAAGGATGTGTTCACTTCCCCTTTCGCCATGATTTTATAAGTTTCCTGAGGCCTCCCCAGCCAAGCTGAACTGTGAGTCAATTAAATCTTTTTCCTCTGTAAATTAGCCAGTCTCGGGTATGTCCTTATAGCAGCATGAGAATGGATTAATACACTTACATTCTATGTAACAAATAAGTAAAATATGTTGTATAGGTAAAAAAATATATCATCTGGTGCTATGTCTTATGGAGACAAATTAAGCAAGGAAGGGGGACAGAGTGCGATGGAAAGGATTATTCCTCTCCTAGGTGAAGAAGTATTTATGGAGTGTCTATCATGTGTGCTAAATGCACACATAAGGCAGAGATGAATTCATTCATTTGTTCATTAAATATTTATTGCATGCTTTCTTTGTGACAGTCAGTGTGCTAAACCCTAGGAAAACAAGGTGTCTGCCATAAAGGAACTTCCAGACTAGTGTGAAAGTCAGTCATTCAATAACGCACTGTTCAAATGCACAATTACAAACGAAAGTAAAAGCTATGAATAGGGCCGTGTGTGGTAGCTCACACCTAAAATCTCAGGACTTTGGGAGGCCAAGGAGGAAAGATCCCTTGAGGCTAGGAGTTCCAGGCTGTACTGTGCAATGATCATACTTCTGAATAGCCATTGCTCTCCACCCTGGGCAACAAAGTGAGACCCTTATCTCTACAAAAAATACAAAAATTACCCAGGCATGATGGCAACAGTCCTTGCTACTCAGAGGCTGAGGCTGGAGGCTAGCTTGAGCCGGGGAGTTCAAGGTTGTAGTGATCTATGATCGTGCCATTGTACTCCAGCCTGGGCAACAGAGTGAGACTGTCTCTGAAAAAAGAAAAAAAAAGCTATGAATAGAATAGTTAAACGAAAAGAAAAACTAAATTTAACAGAGTTTAATTGAGCAAAAATCAAGTTATGAATCAGGCAACCCTAAGAACCAGAATAGGTTCAGAGCAACTCTGGGGCTGCCACGTGGTTGCATAATACTTATGGACAGAAACAGGAAAGTGATGTACAGAAAACATAAGTGAGGTACAGAAACAGCGGGATTGGTTACAGCTCATGATTTGCCTTACCTGAACACAGTCTGAACAGTTGGCTGCCTATAATGGGCTGAAACTTCCATGATTGATACAAGAGTAGGTTACAGTTCACTATGTACGAAGAAACTTTTAGGGTGAAACTAAAACATTAAGGAGGCAGCTTTAAGTTAAACTTAACAGATTATAATATGTACATGTACTTAAGTTGGGGGATCACAGCAGGCATCTCCAAGGGAGTGATATCTGACCTGAGATCTAAAGAATGTATAAGAATGAAAGACATAAACACTTGTTGTAAACTACCGTAACTAAAACAGTGTAGTATTGCGACAAGGTTGGGCAGCTAGATAATGTAAGAGAAATGGGAGGCCGGAGCTAGACTCACACACCTATGAAAACTGATATAGGCCAGGGGTAGCAGGTCAGTTGCAGGTCAGTGGCCAGATGTGAGCAATTCAATAAATGTTACTGAAAAACACACATTAGCCACATGGAAAAATGAAATTGTATCCCTGCCTCACATCCTACACAGAAATCAATTCCAAGTGGTTGAAAAACTTAAATGTGAAAGGAAAATCTTTAAATCTTGTTGGGGAAAATATAGAATATCTTTAAGGGCTTGGGTAGAAATAGACAAGTCACAAAAATCACTAACCATAACGGCAAAAAAATTGAAGATTGGTATATTTGGTTATACTGCAATTCAAATTTCTATTCATCAGACTACACCACAAAAAGGTGGGACAGAAAAGAAAGAAAGAAAAAAGAAAGAATAAGTTACAAATTACGAGAAAACATTACTAATTCATGTAACTGGCAAAGAAGGGATATCTAAAACATATAAAACCCCTAAAAATCAGTAAGAAAAAGACAACAGAAAAATGAGCAAAATTTATGAGCAGGCATTTTTTTTTTTCTGAAAAGGAAACTCCATGGGAAATAAATATATGAAAGGTGCTCAAACTTATTAGCAGTTATTAGGTAATGCAAATTGGATTCCTGATACATCATTTTACACTTATCGCATTGTCAAAAATTAAAATATCTGCCTATAATAACCAAGCACCTGCAGGTAAATCAAAAGTAAAGGCATTTGATTAAGTCAAAGAGAGAAAATTAAGTTTGTTTATTCATTCACACAGCAAGAATTTTTGAGCCTGTGGTGGTGTGTGTCTTGGGGAGAAGGGTTGGTAAAGTGTTATGGGTTATTGTTTTCACCCTGATTCTTATGTTGAAGCCCTAAGCCCCAGTACCTAAGGATATGACCTTATTTGAAGGTAGAGCCTTTACATAGGTAATCAAGTTAAAACAAGGTCATTAGGATGGACCCTAATTGAATATGACTGGTGTCTTCATAAAAGGGGAAATTTGGACACAGGGACACACACAGAGGGATGAAAATGTGGAGACATAGGAAGAAGATGCCCCTTCTCCTAGCCCCTCTCCTACAAACCTAGGAGAGGCATGGAACAGATCCTTCCCTCACAGCCCTCAGAAGGAACCCACTCTGCCCACACCTTGATTTTGGACTTCCAGCCCCCAGACCTGCGAGACAATAAATTTTTGTTGTTTAAGCCGCTCAGTCTGCGGCACTTTGTTACAGCAGCCCTAGCAGAGTCAAACAGGTGGGGATCTGCTTCTGGGCTTCTCTGTTTCACACAGGTCCTGAGGCAAGAATTTGCCTTTGCCTGTAATCAAGGGCGAGCCGGGCAGCCAAGGTTCCGAAACGCACCGTGAAGACCCTCTAACTGTGCCTACTATTCTGCTCCCCTCCGATCGGCGCGGGGCTCTTGTCCTTCCTCTCTCCACCCAGCGAATGAATGAACGCAGGAGCGCTCGGAGTACACGTCTTCAACTCGGCGACGCCCCTGCTTCGGCCCCACCCCGCAAACACCCGCCCCGGACCAGGCCCAGGGTAGGCGCCCATGAGGTATGTCGAATGAATATATTCGCGCGCTCTTTGCAGCTGCCTGAATTCTTCCTTCCCCAGCATCCCCCTCCGCCCGGTCACCCAGACGGCCTTCTCCAGCCTTGCCGAGCTTAAGTAAGCTGAGGGGCGCTCAGTGTGGCAGCTCTGCGTGTGCAGGGAAGGGGCCAGGATGCAGAGGGGCAGCGCAGGAGCGAGGACGCCACGGCTCAGCGCCCCGCCAGCCTCATGATGGAGCGCTGCCCTGGGGGCAGGGCTGACCCAGAGCCAGCGGCTCGTGAGTGAGAGCCCCCCGACCACGGCCCTTCTCGGGGAGCGGGCCAGCCGCCGGGGTCCCAGCCTGCGGGGTCCGCCCGCGCTTTTGTCCTCCCGGGCGTGCGTGTCCGGGTCTCGGCCGGTTCCCCGTCGGCCAGGCGGAGCTGCGGGGCGACGCCACGAGTCTGCGGGCCCGCGGCGGGGAGCGGCCCCCGGCCAACCCCAGTTCGACGACGTGTTGGGCGTCTCACTCCGGGTGGGTTCCGCGGCGGGGTGTATTTATGGAGTATTGAAGAAATATCTCCGTCGGGACGGCCGGAAGGAAAGAGGCCAGAGGCGCGGAGGCCGGCTAGAGCCGGGAACGAACGTCCGACCGGGAGGTTGGGGGCCGGAGCGGGAGGCGTGGGGAGAGGTCGTGGGCGGGACCGCGAAGGGCGGGGAGTGGGGCGGGCCGGCTCGGATTCCGGAAGGCTGAGACTCCAGTGACCCGGCGGGAGGAGAGGCAACTTTCCCTGTCGGGCTTGAGTTGGGAGAGGAGCAGGGCGGCCTTGTAGGGTAGGGACAGATGCGGGGAGGCTCCCGAGTCTCTGGCAGTTGAGTGCCCAGGCCCCCTTCGCCCTGTCCAGGAGACTGTTGGGGAGTCCCCAGGCCCTAAGTCACGGGGCACCTCTTAGAGCTACGCACCCTAGTTCTGTCTTTAGGGACTGGGCCCCTCATTCCGGATTGTGTGTTAGGGGTGATGTCCTCCCCCTTCACCTCAAGGAAGGGACTTCCAGTGTATGAACCTTTGGCTGTAGCCAGGAGGGGCCTAGTGACCTGAGCACCCCAGGCCATGTGTGCTGCCTGCTCCAGGGGCCTGAAACATCCTTCCTGTGTGACCTGCAGCTGACCCCTCCCTACCCTCTGGTCCACGACAGGCTCTCCCAGCCGCCTTCTGTGTCACTACTGTTCTCTTTGCCTATTTCCTGCAGGCAGAGCTCAGCTCCTGTGCCTTTGGTGTGGGGAGGGTGTTCTGCGCCTGAGAGCTGCCCTGTCCAGGGCGGGCAAGACCTGAGGTGCTCTGTTCACATTGTGTCTGCCAGGACCCGTCCCTGCTCCTGACCATCACCGTCACTGGGGTCACTGTGCTCGTGTTGGTCCTGAAGAGCATGAACTCCAGGAGGAGAGAGCCAATCACCTTACAGGACCCTGAAGCCAAGTACCCGCTGCCCTTGATTGAGAAAGAGGTAATGGGTCAGCCCTGTGGGTGGAAGGCAGTAAGTGGATGATGGCTGGGATGGCAGGGCATCCAGACAGTCATCTCATGGCCTCCAGTTCACTCCCCGCCGCCCTGTGTGTGTGTGTGTGTGTGCTGGAATAGCGCCAAACGGACCTCCTTTCCCAGGCATCTCAGCTGCCCAGCAAGGCTTCTAGAAAGCTGACAGAACCTGCCTATGTTTTGTTTTATCAGAAAATCAGCCACAACACCCGGAGGTTCCGCTTTGGACTGCCTTCGCCGGACCATGTCTTAGGGCTTCCTGTAGGTGAGCCGGGCTTGGGTCATCACCAGGACTGGGGCCTCTGGGGGCTAGGCCCTCCTCTCTTAACAGAAACACAGGTTTCCCACGTCCTGAGGTGTGGAAGATGCCCTCTTGCTCCTCCTGAGCCTGTGAGCTCAGGGAGATAGATAGGGGGATGGATGTGGGACAGAAAATTTCTTTTCTTCATTATTCCAATTGGGCTGACACGAGAGTGGTACCTCAGTGAGCATTGAAAAGAACTGAACCTAGAGCCAAAAGGCCTAAAATCTCATGGAAGGCTCCTTGCTGGGGAACTTAAGGGAAGTCCTTCAATCTCTCTGAGCCTCAGTCTATGAAATGGGATTTCCCAGGCCTGCCTGTCTACCTCACTTGGGTTGTTGTGAAAGTAGAGTGACTGATGGATATGAAAATTCAGAAACTACAAAGTATTGTGCACCTGGGAGGGATGGGAGGAACCAGTGGTCGGGGAAAGGCCCAGAATGTGCGGGTAGGCAGGAATGAGTCAGGTGTGCCCTGCCCCCAAGGTCACTTAGATTCTCTGCAGGGGCCTCAGACCCACATAAGGAGGGACCAGCCCTACGAGTTGCAGATTCCAGCCCTAGGAGTCCTAGAGTTGAGTTATCCCATTTCTAATCTGTAACACCACTAGATAGCTGAGTCAGTCTTAGTGCAGTAGAAAACTGCTAGAATCAGGGATTCAGAGCAGCTTTGTATAATCTGCTAGTGCTGCTTGCCTGCCTGGTGGATCCTACTCCGTGGCCTATTTGTCTTATATGCACAGGCCAAAACCTTGACCTCAGCTCTATCAGGTGGTGAGATTACACTCTAGCCAGCTCGCTGGGCCCCTGAGCCTCCTTGCTGTTCCCTCACTCCATCTCTATGCACGAGAGCTCAGTGTTGTGCGTGCCGTCTCTCAGCTCCCTGCTCGGCCTGTCAGGCAGGTCCTGTTGGCAGGAAGCCTAAAAGAATGAAAAACTTTGAGATAGAGAATTGCTTAGAAACTGCCTTGACCCACTATCTCCTCAGCCTTGGCCTAGGCCGTGCAAAGTTAGTGGGACAAGGTAATGTAGAGGCCTCTGGGAGAGTCTAATATGAGGCCTCAGAGTTCGCTGCTTCGTCCCAGCCCAGTGGAAGTGAAGCAAGTTAGAGATGGGGCTTGAAGGACCAGCCAGGGAGCCCCATTTGCCCTGGGGACACCCTCAGGCCAGGCCTAGGTGGCTGCATATGAAAGAGCCTTTCCAGGTTTCCAGTTTCAGGTTCTCAGAAGGAAGCTAGGTGTCTCACTTACTCCTGGCTATCCCTGGTGCCCAGAGGGACCATGACCAGAGTCATTGAGCCTGTTCTGAGCCCAGAGTGTTGGCACCTCAAAGACTTGGCTCATCCCCTTGAATCAGCTTCAGGGACCAGCCCCTCTAGTGCCTACTCTGCCTGCTTTTTTCTCCTCCTGCCTCCTCCTCCTCCCTGCACCTTAGGTCTTGGTTTCTATCCATCTCTCTGTTCCATCTTCCTTGTCTCGACTAATTTCCCGTATGTAGTCCACTCAGTTTCTGAGCGAGTAGAAACTGAGGGAGTAAACTGACTACATACATACAGGAAGTTAGTCAAGGGTTAGGGTTACAAAACTTTCTCTTGCCTCTAGCTCTTAGTATCTCTTGATTGCACTCCTGTCCCTGCCACTAATTGCCTTAGTAATTTGAGTCTCACATTTTGGATCCAACAGGTCGTAGCTGCCCAGTGTGTCATCTGACAGTGGGATGTAGTCATGATCCATAGGTCTCTGGCCACACCTGGTTTATTGAATTCTACCCAGGAAGGGCAGAGTTACATGGTTAAAAACTTCACTGCTACTCCTCACAAGGCCATAGGCCAGGAAGACATGATATTGTTGTTTCATTTGCTCCATGGGTACCCAAATCCTAGGGCCCTGTAGTATCTGTGAGCCCAGGCCTGCTCTGTGCCTAGTACCAGGATACAGATGGAGTAGTTGTAATTTATTCACAGATCTCAGTGATACATCCAGTTTAGGAAGAAAGGAGTTTGTGAAGGCCACATATTTTTCTTGAATAGACAAATATTCCTTTCTAATTTTTTTTTTTTTTTTGAGACAGGGTCTCATTCTGTCGTCCAGGCTGGAATGCAGTGGCACAGTCTCAGCTCACTGCAGCCTCGACCTCCTGGGCTCAGGTGATGCTCCCACCTCAGCCTCCCAAGTAGCTGAGACTGTGGGTGTGCACCACCACACCTGGCTAATTTTTTGTATTTTTTTGTAGAGATGGGGTTTCGCCATCTTGCCCAGGCTGGTCTCGAACTCCTGAGCTCAAGCAATCCACCCGCCTCTGGGCTGGGATTACAGGCGTGAGCTACCATGTCTGACCCCTTTCTGTAATTTTTAATACTCACTCTCCAACTTTAATGATCTTTTCCTGCTCCAAAAAGCAGTTACACTAAGATCACAGGTGGGCAGACATATCACCCCCATTTTACAGATGAAGAGACCAAAACCCAGAGAGGTGAAGTGACTTGCCTAGGGTAGCACAGGGAGGCAGGGCAGGCCTAGGATCCGGGCATCCCATATTTGGGTTCCTTCCCTGCTCTCTTCTTCCCACCCCTCTTAACATTGTGCCCCCAGTATTTGCTCCCTTCACTGAAGCTCAGTCCTTTATTCCTGGGCCTTATTTAAGCTAAATATGCTTTGACTCAGTGCTTGATGCCTTTTCTATAGGTAACTATGTCCAGCTCTTGGCAAAAATCGATAATGAATTGGTGGTCAGGGCTTACACCCCTGTCTCCAGTGATGATGACAGAGGCTTTGTGGACCTAATTATAAAGGTAAATAGTGCCCACCATATCTGGCTAGCTCGTGCTTCCAAGCCTACTGAGGGTGGTGGGGTGGAGGGGCAGTGCTTTTTCTCTGAGGGCACATATGCCCTAGGCAGGGCTTTCCAGCAGTGAAGCTACAGTTAACCTTGTGGCAGCTTCATCTTCAGGGATTGCGTACAACAATTCAGAGAGGAGAACACTTTCTCTGCAAAGCTTCCAGCAGTAAATGCATTTTCTAGTTGTACGTGGCTGTGGCATTGTGTCTGGGAATGTGAAAGCAGTGCTGCCTTGCTTTTCAGATCTACTTCAAAAATGTACACCCCCAATATCCTGAAGGTGGGAAGATGACTCAGTATTTGGAGAACATGAAAATCGGGGAGACCATCTTTTTTCGAGGGCCAAGGGGACGCTTGTTTTACCATGGGCCAGGTACTGGAGGGGTTAATACTTGGGCTCCCAGCTGGGAGGAAGATTCCTGCAATGGTTCCATTGTTCTCGTACACTCCTCAGATTTGAGTCACATGGGGTTGTCCTTAGTCTTCATTCATTCACACACAATGCATAATGATCACACTTGTTACACATTCACACACCCACTTCATGAGGTTGTCAGCTTTTGTAAGGTAGGGGAATGACTTGGTGTTTCCTCGTCATTGTATCAAAATCTCCAGCACAATGCCTGATACATAAATGGTGCCTGCTAATACTGAAAAATGGATGGAGGGAGTCCATGCTCCTTGGTTACTCACATAGCCATTGTTTACTCACTGGTTCACCTCCGTGAGTGAGAATGCTCTTTGAGTCTCTGTGTTAACTTCAGCTTGCCCCTCTTTTTCCTCAGAACAGAAGGCCCGGCGATTCCCCGACCAAGCCCAGGCTCTATTCCCACTTTGTGCACTGGAGCACCAGGGCTAGCTGAGGAGACTGCCCTGGCCTGCTTCTCCAGCTTAAAATGGTGCAGACAGTCCCTTAGCTGGACGTGCCTCCTGGGAGTCCTAAGGAATGTCAGTGATCTTTTGCAGTCTCTTTAGGCAAGAACTGCAGAGGTCATAAGCATTCTCTGTGTTTCCAGGGAATCTTGGAATCAGACCAGACCAGACGAGTGAGCCTAAAAAAACACTGGCCGATCACCTGGGAATGATTGCTGGGGGCACAGGTAAGAGGCTTCTAGGGGCTCCATCCAGAGAGTGAGCCCCGAGACCCATTCTGACTTGGGAGTCATTTGATCCTCTAAGGGACAACATGAGAGATTTCGCCTCCAGCTGTAGAAGGTGGGAACGATGAACCAGTGACAGGTCTTGAAACTGACCCTGTGTACCCTGCTTCCCCTAACCAATATGGTGGCTGCTCAGGAGCCTTGTGGGGACCTTTCAGGTCAGGCTTGGGGGCAAGCTGGGCAGGCCCACCCATGCTGTCCCAGGGGCTCCTAGATCCAGTTCAAGCCTGACTCTCCCCATCCCTTGAAAATGACTGCCTGAAGAAAGAGAGCAGTCTTTGAAGGAGACATACAATGTGCCAGGCACTGTAATAGGCATTCTTAAAACGATCACATTTACCCGTCATTGTTTGATGAATGAGGACACTGAAGAACTTAGAGTGTTCTTTCCATCTTGCCATATGAAAATGAGAAAGACTACCTGACTTACTGTTGCATTAGAAAGGAAAACCAAAATGAAGGGCTGTTTCCTGCTTTGAGTTTTGGGGACAGAAGTGAGAAAAGGATAACTTGGGCTGGGGGAAGGTATGAAGCTTGCTGCAGGTCAGGGACTGTGGGCTTCAGAGACAGGGAGAAAGCTGGCTGCTCGCTCACTGTGTTCCAGGCATCACACCCATGTTGCAGCTCATTCGCCACATCACCAAGGACCCCAGTGACAGGACCAGGATGTCCCTCATCTTTGCCAACCAGGTCAGTTCCTGCTGAGCTTGCAGTGGTAGGATGGAATGTTTGCTGAGCTGGGCTCTTGTTTTCATTTCTCCTGCATTGACTGAGCTCATGCTGCTTGGGTGCCTGCATCTGTGGGAGGGCTTAGTGGGATCAACAGGGCTGCTGGCAGCTGGAGAAGCTGAGTCCAGGCCTGCTTTTTGCATGTATTTAACTCTTTTGTGTCTCCTCAGCCAGCCCTAAGCACTAAGCATTCCTTTTTTCCTTAAGATGTACTGCTGTATTTTTGCTAAGTGTAAAATCACAGATGTCCTCAGTGGACACTTCAGAAAATACAGAATATAAATATTTACTTACTTTTTAAATCTTTTTTCTATATATGTTATATATTTGTAATTTATATATGCTTTTTTTTTTTCACTCAGCATTACCACAACAGGCATTTTCTTCTCTTTAAGATGCTTTATAAATATTTTCATCATAGTTTTTATCAAGTTGCACTATAATTTACTAACTTCCACATTCAGGCTGTTTTCAGTTCTAAATAATATGGTGATGAATAATTGTGCCTACGCTTGATTACTTTTAGATTATTTTCTAAAACAGAATCCCAGAAGTGGAATGACTGGGATGAGAATCATGAGGAGTTTTAAGATCCAGGTCTTCTGTGCAGTTATCTTTGAGGCTGTGACAGGTTATTTTTGGCTTTGGTTCCCTTTCCCCCAAATGGGGCTCCAGACTGTTTTCCTCTCCTTCACATATCCAGTGCTGTTCTATCACAGGACTTTCTGAGCCCATTACATTTCTTCCAGAAGATCCTGGGCCTGCACTGAGCTTGTTCCAGTTAGGTTTGCTGTGCTAGAGCTCAGTGTAGATGTAGGAGGCAGGGCTGGAGCTCCGAGTGAAGCCATCCTGGCCAGCGCTTGGCTAAGGTCCTTCTAGTTGGAGGCGGTCACTGCAGCTCCATGGGAACCTACATCCCATGGAGGTTCTTCATCCACATGGAGGAACTTCATCCACAAAACAAAGGGTTTGAGCTTCAGGAGCAGCAGCAGAACTCTTGTTTGCCGTGGGAGTTGGCAGCGAGCACTCCAGCTGGAGTGGTGGCAGCTTTGGCCAGGAGTATGCTGACCGGTGTAGTCAGTCCAGGGAACAAGAGGATGGCCCTGGAGGGGCTTTTTCAGTGTTGCTTCTTTTCTAGACAGAGGAGGATATCTTGGTCAGAAAAGAGCTTGAAGAAATTGCCAGGACTCACCCAGACCAGTTCAACCTGTGGTACACCCTGGACAGGCCTCCCATTGGTACGACATCCATTGCCCTCACTCACCATGGGTCAGCACCAACCCTTGACCACTTTGAGGACTGGTCTCTGTCTCTTTGTTTTGTTTTAGTTTTGTAGGACCAGATGTGGGGGTTAAGCCTGGGGCTCTGGCTCCAGATGGGAAATGTGAGAAATTGAGGGAGAAAGGATTTGGGATGGCCTGCTTTTAAGGGCAATCGAGAGCAGGTGTCTAATACATCAGCAGCACCTCACGCTGCACTGAACATCAAAAGGGACACTGCCCCTGTCCACTGTGAACACCCACCCATTCCACACAGCCATCACATACACATCTAATATGGGCACTGACCCCTTCACCACTCACCCTTCTGCTTACGGCCACCACACCCCTTACCGCCCACCTCACCTGGACATGCTGAGCCCCCAGACAGCTGCTGCAGCCCAGACAGCATCCCAGCAACCACTGTGCACAGAGCACCCCACAGGCGCGCCTCTCACACTGCTCCCGGCTGTACCTGCTTGTCATACAGGTCCCTGGTCGGCAGAGGGCGCTACCCTACTGAGCAATTCTGCGCAGTTCCACTAACACCAGGCCACACCCTGCCGGACAACTCCAGCTGGCTGTACTGATTCACACACCTCGGTATACCTCGTTGTGTTCTCCTTCCTCGTCAATGCTGACAGCTGACAGACAGCAGCAGGGCTTCAGGGTCCCTGCAGTGAGCCTGGGACCTGGGGTGATTGCTGCAGAGGGCTGTTTACTAGTTCTGAGGCTTTTTGCAGGGAGCAGTAGTACAGACTTCTAAGCCTTTGTAGAGCAGCTTGTCACCTCCTCCCTGGCTGAGGGTGGGTGTGCAGGCGGCCTGGGATCAGGAACTCCACCTGGCATCGCTCAGCTTGCTCCTGCATCTCCTTCATTTCAGGCTGGAAGTACAGCTCAGGCTTCGTTACTGCCGACATGATCAAGGAGCACCTTCCTCCTCCAGCGAAGTCCACGCTCATCCTGGTGTGTGGCCCGCCACCACTAATCCAGACGGCGGCTCACCCTAACCTGGAGAAGCTGGGTTATACCCAGGACATGATTTTCACCTACTAACACCTCCACGTGCTCAGCAATTTTGCATGTCCCTTTTCATCTGTTTCAGAGTAAGTTCAATTTCACCACGGTAAACTGGGATGTTTTCAAAAGTGCCTTGCCATGTACCTTCGCGCACACACTGGTTCTCCTCTTTTGGGTGTGGGCCTAACAAAAAGGGCTCAAGGGGCTGGAGACTGGCTGCTGGGGCCTCCTTGCTTGGAGGCTGGAAAGAGCTCCATTTCAGTATCTTTCTCCGTGGTTTTGTGAAATAAACTCAAGTACAAAGCAGACAGCCCATGAAGTGTGGCTCTGTGGGGGACGTGCTAGGCAGTCAGGAGGCCGTGGCCTGGCCTGTGAGTTGGCTTCTGCATGCCCATGGGGGTCACAACTGGCAAGTGTCGGGGCAGTTCCTAAAAAACTCCAAGTGGGGTCACATCAACTCTCAAGAATCTCTCCATGGCACTAGGGGTCATGGTAGGAGTGGTTACACACAGAAACTTCTCAACTTTCAAAGTCAGGTTCCAGAAACTGCCTTAAATCCTTTGTATCATGAAACCCAAACGAGGGTCTGTCGGGGTGGGGGGGAGGGACAGCCAACCTCACCCATCCCCCTGTTCACTGTCTCCTTGGGGATCCTTCACTGCTTTCAAGGGAGACCCCACTCTGGCCACCCCCATCTCTCCAGGACACACTCCAGGGCCTGGCTCCCAAGGCCCTTCTTGGTTTGCTCCTGCCGACTTTATCAGATTTTTCTTTCCCTGGGCCCCCAACTCCGACCCCATTCTCTCACCTACTGGTTCTCAACTGAGGGTGATTTTGCTGCTCAGGGAACAGATAACAAAGTCCAAAGACATGTTGGTTGTCAGCTACAGAAGGGGTGCATCTACCCTCTATTAGCATTTAGAGGGTAGAGACCAAGGATGCTGCTAAACATCTTAAAACCCACAGGAGAGCCTCCATCACAGAGTATTTCCATCACAGAGTATTACGCAGCCCAAAGTGACAGCAGCACAGAGGCCAGGAAACCCTGCTCTAGCCTACCAACTTTTGGCAATCCCTAGGTTGTACTGGGCTGTTTCAAGTCTGTCTACCTGGAATGCCCTTCCTCTCCGGCATACCTGGGAAAATATGATTCATGTTTCCAAATTCAAGTGTCATCTCTTCCATGGAACCTATTCAGACTCCTTCCCCAAACCCCCATTAAGAATGACAACATGCAAGGGAGGAGCCAAGACGGCCGAATAGGAACAGCTCCGGTCTACAGCTCCCAGCGTGAGCGACGCAGAAGACGGTGATTTCTGCATTTCCATCTGAGGTACCGGGTTCATCTCACTAGGGAGTGCCAGACAGTGGGTGTAGGTCAGTGGGTGCGCGCACCGTGTGCGAGCCGAAGCAGGGCAAGGCATTGCCTCACTTGGGAAGCACAAGGGGTCAGGGAGTTCCCTTTCCGAGTCAAAGAAAGGGGTGACGGACGCACCTGGAAAATCGGGTCACTCCCACCAGAATACTGCGCTTTTCCGACGGGCTTAAAAAACGGCGCACCATGAGATTATATCCCGCACCTGGCTGGGAGGGTCATACGCCCAGGGAGTCTCGCTGATTGCTAGCACAGCAGTCTGAGATCAAACTGCAAGGCAGCAGCGAGGCTGGGGGAGGGGCGCCCGCCATTACCCAGGCTTGCTTAGGTAAACAAAGCAGCCGGGAAGCTCGAACTGGGTGGAGCCCACCACAGCTCAAGGAGGCCTGCCTGCCTCTGTAGGCTCCACCTCTGGGGGCAGGGAACAGACAAACAAAAAGACAGAAGTAACTTCTACAGACTTAAATGTCCCTGTCTGACAGCTTTGAAGAGAGCAGTGGTTCTCCCAGCTCGCAGCTGCAGATCTGAGAACGGGCAGACTGCCTCCTCAAGTGGGTCCCTGACCACTGACCCCTGAGCAGCCTAACTGGGAGGCACCCCCCAGCAGGGGCACACCGACACCTCACACAGCAGGGTATTCCAACAGACCTGCAGCTGAGGGTCCTGTCTGTTAGAAGGAAAACTAACAAACAGAAAGGACATCCACACCAAAAACCCATCTGTACATCACCATCATCAAAGACCAAAAGTAGATAAAACCACAAAGATGGGGAAAAAACAGAACAGAAAAACTGGAAACTCTAAAAAGCAGAGCGCCTCTCCTCCTCCAAAGGAATGCAGCTCCTCACCAACAACAGAACAAAGCTGGATGGAGAATGACTTTGACGAGCTGAGAGAAGAAGGCTTCAGACGATCAAATTACTCTGAGCTACGGGAGGACATTCAAACCAAAGGCAAAGAAGTTGAAAACTTTGAAAAAAATTTAGAAGAATGTATAACTAGAATAACCAATACAGAGAAGTGCTTAAAGGAGCTGATGGAGCTGAAAACCAAGGCTTGAGAACTACGTGAAGAATGCAGAAGCCTCAGGAGCCGATGCGATCAACTGGAAGAAAGGGTATCAGTGATGGAAGATGAAATAAAAGAAATGAAGCGAGAAGGGAAGTTTAGAGAAAAAAGAATAAAAAGAAATGAACAAAGCCTCCAAGAAATATGGGACTATGTGAAAAGACCAAATCTATGTCTGATTGGTGGACCTGAATGTGATGGGGAGAATGGAACCAAGTTGGAGAACACTCTGCAGGATATTATCCAGGAGAACTTCCCCAATCTAGCAAGGCAGGCCAACGTTCAGATTCAGGAAATACAGAGAACGCCAGAAAGATACTCCTCGAGAAGAGCAACTCCAAGACACATAATTGTCAGATTCACCAAAGTTGAAACGAAGGAAAAAATGTTAAGGGCAGCCAGAGAGAAAGGTCGGGTTACCCTCAAAGGGAAGCCCATCAGACTAACAGCGGATCTCTCAGCAGAAACCCTACAAGCCAGAAGAGAGTGGGGGCCAATATTCAACATTCTTAAAGAAAAGAATTTTCAACCCAGAATTTCACATCCAGCCAAACTAAGCTTCATAAGTGAAGGAGAAATAAAACACTTTACAGACAAGCAAATGCTGAGAGATTTTGTCACCACTAGGCCTGCCCTAAAAGAGCTCCTGAAGGAAGTGCTAAACATGGAAAGGAACAACCGGTACCAGTCGCTGCAAAATCATGCCACAATGTAAAGACCATCAAGACTAGGAAGAAACTGCATCAACTAACGAGCAAAATAACCAGCTAACATCATAATGACAGGATCAAATTCACACATAACAATATTAACTTTAAATGTAAATGGACTAAATGCTCCAATTAAAAGACACAGACTGGCAAACTGGATAAAGAGTCAAGACCCATCAGTGTGCTGTATTCAGGAAACCCATCTCACGTGCAGAGACACACATAGGCTCAAAATAAAAGGATGGAGGAAGATCTACCAAGCAAATGGAAAACAAAAAAAGGCAGGGGTTGCAACCCTAGTCTCTGATAAAACAGACTTTAAACCAACAAAGATCAAAAGAGACAAAGAAGGCCATTACATAATGGTAAAGGGATCAATTCAACAAGAGGAGCTAACTATCCTAAATATATATGCACCCAATACAGGAGCACCCAGATTCATAAAGCAAGTCCTGAGTGACCTACAAAGAGACTTAGACTCCCACGCATTAATAATGGGAGACTTTAACACCCCACTGTCAACATTAGACAGATAAACGAGACAAAGTCAACAAAGGATACGCAGGAATTGAACTCAGCTCTGCACCAAGTGGACCTAATAGACATCTACAGAACTCTCCACCCCAAATCAAGAGAATATACATATTTTTCAGCACCACACCACACCTATTCCAAAATTGACCACATAGTTGGAAGTAAAGCTCTCCTCAGCAAATGTAAAAGAACAGAAATTATAACAAACTATCTCTCAGACCACAGTGCAATCAAACTAGAACTCAGGATTAAGAATCTCACTCAAAACCACCCGACTGCATGGAAACTGAACAACCTGCTCCTGAATGACTACTTGGAACATAACGAAATGAAGGCAGAAATAAAGATGTTCTTTGAAACCAACGAGAACAGAGACACAACATACCAGAATCTCTGGGACACATTCAAAGCAGTGTGTAGAGGGAAATTTATAGCACTAAATGCCCACAAGAGAAAGCAGGAAAGATCCAAAATTGACACCCTGACATCACAATTAAAAGAACTAGAAAAGCAAGAGCAAACATATTCAAAAGCTAGCAGAAGGCAAGAAATAACTAAAATCAGAGCAGAACTGAAGGAAATAGAGACACAAAAAACCCTTCAAAAAATTAATGAATCCAGGAGCTGGTTTTTTGAAAGGATTAACAAAATTGATAGACTGCTAGCAAAACTAATAAAGAAAAAAAGAGAGAAGAATCAAATAGACACAATAAAAAATGATACAGGGGATATCACCACCGATCCCACAGAAATACAAACTACCATCAGAGCATACTACAAACACCTCTACGCAAATAAACTAGAAAATCTAGAAGAAATGGATAAATTCCTCGACACATACACTCTCCCAACACTAAACCAGGAAGAAGTTGAATCTCTGAATGCACCAATAACAGGATCTGAAATTGTGGCAATAATCAATAGCTTACCAACCAAAAAGAGTCCAGGACCAGATGGATTCACAGCCGAATTCTACCAGAGGTACAAGGAGGAACTGGTACCATTCCTTCTGAAACTATTCCAATCAATAGAAAAAGAGGGAATCCTCCCTAACTCATTTTATGAGGCCAGCATCATTCTGATACCAAAACCTGGCAGAGACACAACAAAAAAAGAGAATTTTAGACCAATATCCTTGATGAACATTGATGCAAAAATCCTCAATAAAATACTGGCAAAACGAATCCAGCAGCACATCAAAAAGCTTATTCACCATGATCAAGTGGGCTTCATCCCTGGGATGCAAGGCTGGTTTAATAGACGCAAATCAATAAATGTAATCCAGCATATAAACAGAGCCAAGGACAAAAACCACGATTATCTCAATAGATGCAGAAAAAGCCTTTGACAAAATTCAACAACCCTTCATGCTAAAAACTCTCAATAAATTAGGTATTGATGGGACGTATTTCAAAATAATAAGAGCTATCTATGACAAACCCACAGCCAATATCATACTGAATGGGCAAAAACTGGAAGCATTCCCTTTGAAAACGGGCACAAGACAGGGATGCCCTCTCTCACCACTCCTATTCAACACAGTGTTGGAAGTTCTGGCCAGGGCAATTAGGCAGGAGAAGGAAATAAAAGGTATTCAATTAGGAAAAGAGGAAGTCAAATTGTCCCTGTTTGCAGATGACATGATTGTATATCTAGAAAACCCCATTGTCTCAGCCCAAAATCTCCTTCAGCTGATAAGCAACTTCAGCAAAGTCTCAGGATACAAAATCAATGTACAAAAATCACAAGCATTCTTATATACCAACAACAGACAAACAGAGAGCCAAATCATGAGTGAATTCCCATTCACAATTGCTTCAAAGAGAATAAAATACCTAGGAATCCAACTTACAAGGGATGTGAAGGACCTCTTCAAGGAGAACTACAAACCACTGCTCAAGGAAATAAAAGAGGATACAAACAAATGGAAGAACATTCCATGCTCATGGGTAGGAAGAATCAATATCGTCAAAATGGCCATACTGCCCAAGGTAATTTACAGATTCAATGCCATCCCCATCAAGCTACCAATGCCTTTCTTCACAGAATTGGAAAAAACTACTTTAAAGTTCATATGGAACCAAAAAAGAGCCCACATTGCCAAGTCAATCCTAAGCCAAAAGAACAAAGCTGGAGGCATCACACTACCTGACTTCAAACTATACTACAAGGCTACAGTAACCAAAACAGCATGGTACTGGTACCAAAACAGAGATATAGATCAATGGAACAGAACAACAGAGCCCTCAGAAATAACGCCACATATCTACAACTATCTGATCTTTGACAAACCTGAGAAAAACAAGCAATGGGGAAAGGATTCCCTATTTAATAAATGGTGCTGGGAAAACTGGCTAGCCATATGTAGAAAGCTGAAACTGGATCCCTTCCTTACACCTTATACAAAAATCAATTCAAGATGGATTAAAGACTTAAAGGTTAGACCTAAAACCATAAAAACCCTAGAAGAAAACCTAGGCATTACCATTCAGGACATAGGCATGGGCAAGGACTTCATGTCTAAAACACCAAAAGCAATGGCAACAAAAGACAAAATTGACAAATGGGATCTAATTAAACTAAAGAGCTTCTGCACAGCAAAAGGAAACTACCATCAGAGTGAACAGGCAACCTACAAAATGGGAGAAAATTTTCGCAACCTACTCATCTGACAAAGGGCTAATATCCAGAATCTACAATGAACTCCAACAAATTTACAAGAAAAAAACAACCCCATCAAAAAGTGGGCAAAGGACATGAACAGACACTTCTCAAAAGAAGACATTTATGCAGCCAAAAAACACATGAAAAAATGCTCATCATCACTGGCCATCAGAGAAATGCAAATCAAAACCACAATGAGATACCATCTCACACCAGTTAGAATGGCAATCATTAAAAAGTCAGGAAACAACAGGTGCTGGAGAGGATGTGGAGAAATAGGAACACTTTTACACTGTTGGTGGGACTGTAAACTAGTTCAACCATTGTGGAAGTCAGTGTGGCGATTCCTCAGGGATCTAGAACTGGAAATACCATTTGACCCAGCCATCCCATTACTGGGTATATACCCAAAGGACTATAAATCATGCTGCTATAAAGACACATGCACACGTATGTTTATTGCAGCATTATTCACAATAGCAAAGACTTGGAACCAACCCAAATGTCCATCAATGATAGACTGGATTAAGAAAATGTGGCACATATACACCATGGAATACTATGCAGCCATAAAAAATGATGAGTTCATGTCCTTTGTAGGGACATGGATGAAATTGGAAATCATCATTCTCAGTAAACTATCGCAAGAACAAAAAACCAAACACCGCATATTCTCACTCATAGGTGGGAATTGAACAATGAGATCACATGGACACAGGAAGGGGAATATCACACTCTGGGGACTGTTGTGGGGTGGGGGGAGGGGGGAGGGATAGCACCTGGAGATATACCTAATGCTAGATGACGAGTTAGTGGGTGCAGTGCACCAGCATGGCACATGTATACATATGTAACTAACCTGCACAATGTGCACATGTACCCTAAAACTTAAAGTATAATAAAAAAAAAATGACAACATGCTCTTTTAGGCTGCAGAAACTAATATTGGAGCATCTGTAACCTTTGGCAGAGTCTTGTTTGAAACTGGTCTGTACTCCACTACACTGTAAGCACCTTTAGGCAGGGACCTTGGCATTCATGCCTGTATCTCTAGCCCTGGCATGGAAGGTTCTTAACACACACATGCGAAGGAGTGGGTGGATGAGGAACTTAGGAGCACAGATCTCCTTGGCAACTGGAGGACTGTCTACAGGAGCCAGTGCAGAGCAGGTGCTCCAAGTTTGTGGTGAGGACGGGTATGGTAAGACGACAAGAAACTTCAAGGTGAGCTGTGCTCTGGCTCAAGGGCAGACACGGCACTGTGGGAGAGCTACCTGTAACTGGATCATGCGGGAAGGCTTCCTGAGAGATGGTCTCTTTGCCGTGCCTTGAGAGACAGGATTTTCCCTCATGAAGGGGACTAGGAGAAAAATGCATTCCCTAGTGAGGGAAGGGCCTGAGCAGACGCCTGGAGGGAGGAAGGACTAAAGAGTGGAGAGGAAACAGACATGTTTGGGAAGTTGGTGAGTTGGGGTGGAAACACGGAGCTTGAGGTGCTCAAGGGCCTTCCACTTGGGGGAGCTATTTAATCAGACATTACGCCTGAGCTGCTCCAAGGGCAAGGCCTGGGAGGAGGCTGTGTGTCAGCTTGGGTGGAGGCAGAAGGCAGGGTGTGCACGTGTTGGGGACGCCTCTGCTCCAAGCTGGGAGTCGCACAGATACCCCTTGCAGATGACGGGAGATAGAGTCAGGCAGTGCTGTGGGTAAGGAGCCTCGTTGCTTTACCCGCTCATACCCTAAACACCTGCCTTGCCCAGCCACAGTCCCAAGAATGGAAAAAGCACGTTCTGTGAAGCAGCCCCGGAGGGACCTCCTGGTGACCATTTCACAAAACACAGTCTCTACAGAACATTCAAAACAGTTTTTCGGAACTTTTTTTCCAGCAGGTTTTATGAACTAACAGCTCTTCCCCTCGAGTGTGAGAGCCTCCAGGCTGTCACCAGGAATATCACGAGCCATCGAGTCTGTGTGCTGATATGTCACTGCCCTCCCACAAAGTGGTCTGCAGTCCACGTATAAAAGTACAAAAGGTATGAAGCCTGCGGTGAAGAGCGCAGCATGGTTGAAGACACACATGGACCCTGGGGCCACCCCTGGACACCTGTCCCACAGCTCTGCTTCATGCCTGTCAGCAGCCTGTCTGAGACACCCTGCCAGCCCGGACTGGGCTTGCAGAGGGGGCTGTGTGCCCGCTCCCCACAGAAGCAAAGGCTCCGGGGCCCCCACACATGCCTCCCTACGCTCTCAGCCACGAAGAAAGTCATCTCCAGTCATCAGAGTTGGGGGCAGGCAGGCGAGAGTCATTCAGCAGCTGGTCCTGGCTCAGCATTGTCTGAAAAGGACACAGCCGAAGGGTCAGTTTAATAGAGTTTTGGTCCAGGCTGCCCTGCGGCAGCTGCACCGGAACTAGAGGGCACTGGGTGAGGGCTGCATCTGACACAGGTGCACTATAAGTTTATAGTGTCCCAAGAAACCCTGAGTATTGGGTCAGAATAAACAACACTATTAAGATAAAAATAAATTGTTCATCTTAGAAATAAATTTTCTATTTTCAGGCCACCAAAGGCCTAGATCATAAGGGCAAGTGTGGGCAGATTCCTTTCATGGGTGGGCCAATAAATAAAAACGTTGAGTAAAACTGATCCTGTTTGGAGTCAGGGAGACTTTCCTGTTTTGTCCTTGAAAACAAGGAGAGTCGTGTGTCCCTGTCCTTGTCCTGTCATCCCAATGGGCCTTGCTAGACAAGCAAGCAAAGTACAGGGACAGGGGCCTCGATGGGGACAGACACTATAGCCAATAGGCTCAGTGATGGAATGTCCAAGAACTAAAAGGCCTTGGGAGTGATGGATCCTCAAAAACAAATCCTGTGCTCTGTGGCTGGCCTTTTCCTGCCAGCTCTAGTCTGCCTATAAGCCTGGCAAGGAGGATGTCATTAGCCCTGCTTTACAGATAACTAAGCCAAAGCTCAGGAGAGAATGACATCCAAGGTCACAGAGCTAGTGAAGTCAGAGCAGGGACTTCAGCCTCACTCCAAAGCTGCTTTTCGAGGCCAAACTGCTTCCCCATGATATGGTTTGTCCTTTCGGGCGTGCCAGGATGTGCTCACAAGCCTGTCAACACTCTGTGATACCCACAAAGTCAGAGGCACGATAGGAAATGCATATGTCTCTGGGCAGAGGGTGGAAGTGTCCACTAGGACAGGATGCAGCCTGGGCTCTAGGCTGATGAGACAGGTGATCTAGAGTTGCTGAGCATCTTGGTTTCCTCATCTCTAAGCCTGGGAAGAGGACCTGAGATCTAGTGTGCTTTAGCTGGCTTTGGCTAACAGCCGATGAGCCTCCCCACTGCCCTTAGGGGCTCAAGGTCCAGTAACAGGCCAACAGAGAAGGCCCCTGGGCTGCTTTCTGCCTCGTGGCTGGCTCAGGCTCAGGCTGTGACCCCAGCACTAAGCACCATTCTTCGCCGTCCCCCAGGCCTTGTGCATACCACACCACACCACACCAAACTCACTGGGCCTCCCTGGCACCAGTCTGACTGTGGGGAGAGGGTCAGAGTCCTACCGTAAGGCGGTGAATGTCTTGGGAGAGGAGCCCTATCTGCGTCACGGTACCTTCCGAAGGTGCCATCTGTAAAATGGGCAGCAGCCTGGTCAGCACACATGGATGCAGCTTGTGATTCAGAGAGATGGCATGCAAGTCCTGTCGTGCTCAAGCCTGGCTTCTCCAGGGCATGCTTCTCTGGAGGGACAGGCAAGGAGTGGGCCAGGCCCTGAGGAGTGACAGGTGGGTGGAGCACATGCTGCTCCTGTTTCCTGGGGAAAGGCATCAATGTCCCACACTGCATGCATACCTCTCCTGGGGCCCCACTGGGAACTGGCATTCAGGGTACACAGAGGCAAGACACAAGCTTGTCAGAAGCAGCCCTTCTGCACGTGTTCAATGTTCCAGCTATTTCCAGGAGCAGAGAGCAGTAGGAATGAAGGCCTTCAGGATGCTAGACTCCTGCTACCAGGCAACAGGAGCTCAGACACCAATGCCCTGACATAGGTGGGCATCCTTCCTCACTACTCAAGAGCCTCCCTCCTGCCCCTCCTTCTCAGGTAATGCTGGTCTCTTCCTCCTTCCCTAAACCTACTTAGACACTGTAGATTTGGAAACATCCTCTGTAAATTTGGAGGGCACCAAGTGTAACCCCTCCCTTGTTTTATAGGTAGGAAAACAAGCCCACAAAGGGAACAGGACTTACTTGAGGGTGCAGAGAATCAGTGGCACAACAGTTCCATGCAGGTTTTGAAAACAGGCACATGCAGAGATCCCTGTACCGCAACATAAGAAACAAGGGACAAAGCCTGCCCTGACTGGCTCTACAACTCCAGTGGCCAGGCATCAGCCTGAATGAGCACTTGTCATCCAGTGGACCTGGGTACCAGGATCTATCAGCAGCATTGCCAGCTGGCAAGCTTGTCCCCACATCTCTCACCTCCCAGGAGGCAGTGGCCTGTGGCAACAGACCATGCCTGAGGCTGCTGGTAGTTTAAGAAGCAAATCTTAGCATAGCCTCCATCTGGTACAGAATCAGAGTGCTACAATGGAATGGAGTCATCAGGCCGTGCCCAGGCCATCAGACAGCGGTGACGTGGTGTTACTCTTCTGCGATGAGGCCCAGGGGATTGAGGGGAGCCAAGCACTGCCTGGGGGCAAACTAGAGTCTTCTGACCAGGAGTCCAGACTGGCAAGGCACATCTCTACCTCAGTCCCAGCCAGACAAGGCCCATCTGGAGGAGCCATTATCAGTCATTATCAGTCAGTCAGCCTCTAAATCAAGGGGACAGATCTCTTTCAGTTCTGCCAGCAGACAGACCAGCCCCCACCATGGTTATGAGCCTAGCTAAGTCAGTAATAGAGAAGCCAGCAAAACACATGAAAGAGAGTCTTTCCAGCAAGGTGCCTTCTTGTCTCCCCACCATCCCCTTCACTGGGGGGGCTCATGCCACTGAAAGCACTCAGCTTTGAGGTCTGCACGACAGATGGACCCTATGGTCAGGATGTGCATGAGACTTGAAGCCCCCTCGGCTTCACAGAGGGAAGCAAATTCTGAAGCAGTGCGGCCACGGACCTCCTCTGAAGGCTATGGGAGGGGGTCCCGCCTTGCTCTACCCCCCTGGTGAATCCTGAGCATGCACCTGGCTGAGGACTAGGCTCAGTGCCACCGGCTCTTCAGCTCTGCAATCCGTAGGACTCCATTTCCAGCTACCCTCAGCTCTTTTTCCCCAACAAAGTTAAAGATATGGTGAGCTGCTTGCTTTCCGCATAAATATTGCTTTTATTACAAGAAAGAAGAGACCACCTCTGAAGTAAGGCACAACACAATTCCATTGTCACTGTGGCAGAAGTCCCTGTTGCTCATCCCTTTGATCTCAGCCAAGACTGTGGTCCACGGGCCTAAGGCACTTGAGCTTTTCCCTCAACTGAAGTGTAGGGGGTGCCTGAGAGCTGAGCCTCGTGGGAGTGTCCATGGTCTCTGGACCTGCATCGAAGTTCATGTGTTTCCACTGGTGCTGAAGATGAACATCAAGAATTACTAGACATGTAAAAGTGTCTTTAAGTGTCTTTCCTCCTGAGTCCACCTTTGGCAATGGTCCCCAAAGCCTGGCCCCTTAGAGATGCAGCTCCAGATCCTGGCCACCCTCAGGGTTCAAAGAGACTGGCCCAGGGGTACACAATTGCTGGAATATTCTCTGCGAGTCATGCACACGTGCGGGGGTGAGGTGCAGTTATATGGTGACACACACAGTGTTACTGTGAGCTCTCAGGGTGCACAGAGGGCAGGTGACAAGGGCATCAGCTAATCTGTCCCACCTGGTCCAGCCCATCCAGTTCAGGGGCATCAAGGGGGCTGAGGCCCCGGTAGCCACTGTAGACCCTGTGACTATCACTGACACCGTCACTGGGCTCCATTGGGCAAATGTAGTCCGTCGATTCATCGAACTTCTTTTTTCTTATGTTTCCGAAGTGTGAAAATCCTAGTTTCCTTGGCTAAAACACAGAAAATGCAAGATTATGAGAAGGCAATCAAGGCAGTGTGCAGGTATGACTGACAATATACTTAAAATTTAAGAGCAGGCACTCAAGGAGAGGAATAATGTAAACTGCTCCTAGAAAGACTCTGAACAAAACAGAGCTCTTGGAAGCAATTTCTATGCTGCAGAAAGGCCAATAGGTAAATAATCTTGAACAATAAGAGCTGCCCCTCCAATACTATGCCTGAAACTCATGCCTGGCTGCCCCACCAAAGTGACTTTCTTATTTCCATAGATGAACTGGGAGTTCCTTTAGAATGTACTTGAGGTCTGCATTTGAGGCGAAGCACAGAGAACTTGCCTCAGCACAGCTGCTGGCACCCCAACCCTTTCCCATCTCAGCACCTGGCACCATCTAAAGGCGCGTAGGATAGCCCCAGGTTGCTCCCTGCCCTAGCGTCATCCAGCACTGTTTCTGCCTGACTCCCCCAGACATACTTCCTGTCTTGCTCCCCTGGGGAAGGAGGTCTGTGCCTGAGTTGTAGCTGGGCATGAAGCATCAACACTACCAGGGATAGGACCAGCCTGGCCTCCAGAGGTTGCCTGTTGGTCTGTAGTCTGGGAAGAATGTGGTCTGAGGATGCTGTGGCTCAGGCAGGTCTAAAGGGCTTTGTGGGATTCTGGGAGCCCCAGTGAGTAGTGTTGGTGCTTGAAAGACCTGGGGACCTCTGGGTATCTGTGTGCTGGCCACTTCACGAAACAAGACAAATGGAACCAGCTTCCATTGGAAGCACTTCCTATATCAGCAGGACAGCTTTGACCAAGATCCCACGGCATTGCGGCACGCAGGCAGGCCTGACCGAAGGAAAGCCAGACTCGGAGCGCTTCCGCTCTGCAAGGTGAGTCACAGCAGCAGTGGGGTAGAGGACGAGCTCTAAGCCACCTGAGGATAGGTGCTTCCTGCACATATTTTCTAGGTAAAGAAACCTGCACTGTCTTCCTTGGACTCCAAACTGGTGGAGAACTGGCTTAACAAAGACTGGCCTCACAGACCACAAGCCCACAGCAGAAGCTGAAAGATCCTCTTTGTCCAGGCTGCGCATGCTGCTCTGGCTGTGGGCATCGCGCCAGGTGCTGTGCTGCGTGAGGGCCAGGAGGCAGCCCAGGGCCCACCCAGAAAGGCTCTGCAACTCACCCGGACTTTGGCTGTGGTGGTCAGTGGTGTGTAAGCTGGTGAGGCCATTTTCTCTCGCTTCTCCTGTTCAGCCTCCGGACCAATCAAGGCATTGAACTTGGTGGTCAGGTGGCGCCTGAGGAGCGTCTTTTGTGGGGGGATGTTGAGAAGCATAGCCAGGGTGTCCCCAGTGAAGCGTGGCTCCAGGATCTAAGAAGGAACCAGAGACAAGCCTGGCCAGGAGCAAATACAAATGGCTCGAGGGGGAGGATGCTGAGAGACTGGCCTGTTGGGGCTGGGGGTGCCTCCAGAGGAGGGACAGGAGCTCAGTCACTTGTTCTGAGTCCCACTCCACTCACTGGCTGGCACAGGGCCTGGCTCTGAGCACATACTAGCACATGTGCTGACTGACCACCTTGTTTTCACAGACCAGCAGAGAACTGGGACCTCTTTGGTGAGGCTGTCTCTCAGGATCTTCTCTGGATGACATCCAAGCCACCACACTTCCTCATTTCCCCTCTGGCTTTGCCACTGACAGATCTGAGTAGTGATAGGGATCCTATTGCAGCAAGTGGGAAGCTGCATTTTTACGGCTTCCCCGTCCCTTCCTCAGCCCTGCTGTTCCCTCGCCTTGTAAGCGTTGGTCTCCATGCAACCCATCGACCTAGAATCCTCAAGTCTCATGCCAAGGAGGTGCTGCCAGAAGGCATCTTGCTTCCATGAGGTATATTAATTCTCAAGGACAAGTTATCAAAATACTTTGAGACATCAAATTATGCAAGACCTCCAGATGAAGTACCTATTTTTTTTCGTTAGCTTTTGTGCCTTGTCCTTAATAAATAAGTTTCTGAATATCCCATTTGCACCAAGGCAGGTGGGCTAGGCCAGAGAGCCACTCACAATGAGGCCTCCATGGACTCCACTCCCTCGAAGATTGGGTGCATACTCTGCCAGGTCCACAGATCGTAACCACTCCATCACCCTGTGGTTGGACCACTGTACAACTTCTGAAGGAGAAAGGTTACTCTGTCAGAGGGAGAAGGAGAGTGAGGAAGTTAGGCTTAATAGGTCCCACCATGGTCCTCTGTGGAGTCAGCCCCGGTAAGTAACCCTGCCCCAGACGCATCACAACAATAGAAGGCCCTCAAGCTTAGTGACCCACCCCATCTGCCAGAGCACCAGCCTCCCCAGTTTCTAGGAAATAGAGCTCCCACTGAATCTTTGAAGATCTTCCACACTGAGATATCTGAATCCAGAATTCTGTTACTCCATCATTTTCCAGCTAACTTTGAGACAAATAAATGAGGACATTATAGTTATTCTTTCAGTGATTCAACAGAACTTTAAAGATGACTGTCAATTTTACAATCCAAGTGGTTTATAGATGAAAGATCTCCCTGGTGTGGCCAATGATTTTAGGGGAGCACACCTTAAGGTACTTATTCCTAAGTGCTCTCACGTAGCACTGTGGTCTTAAAAATGCACAGCGCTGTGCCTGACATATACAAGACATTCAAAACATGTTGGTTGAATAAGGAGAAAATAGGAGATAGACAGCAAAGGTAGCAGCCCAGGAAGCTGAGTTAATTTTACAGCAAGGTTAGACCTAGTTCCCAGGAACAGAGGAGATAGGATGTGACTGACAATCTTCAGTTTGGGGGTCCACCAAGAACTCCGAAGTTCATGGAACATAATCAGTTATTTCTTCAAGACTTGGGGTGCTGTTATTTACGTATACTATTTCTTCTCTAGCAAGACTACTCATGGATCCCCTGTACCTGGGCCTGGAAGTCAGTTAATTTTGGATCTACAAGTAGGGATACCTATTCTGAAATGTCTAGCTTCTACGGGCTCCTCTTCCCCCTCCTCTGTCTCTTCTCTTCTCTTCTACTGTGACACCCATCTTTCCATTTTGTCTTTCCCTCCCCCTCTCCTTTGCACCATCTCCTCATCTCCTTTAATCACTATGATGACTTTATAGCATGTGTCTCCCCAGTGGAGGGTGGGAGCTTAGAGGTCTATGGCTACTGTGAGACACAAAGTGCAGGTAACGGATGTTTGGGGCAACAGGAAGCACAAGCAAACAAAAGAATCCCAGGCACCATGGTGCAAAAAACAGTGCTTTTATGATGTCATTCTTGTTTGCTCATGCTCGATGTTTCAGGGGTCCTGGCTCAGGGCTACCTGGAGAGATACTATTTGTGGTCTCACCTCATCAGCTGGCCGCCGGTGCAGGCAGTGGGGGTTGAACTTGTTGACATGCAGCACGTGAATGGCACATTTGATGCTGAGATGATGTAGTTGGCTGGTGACTTTTAAGAAGAGTAAATCGTTCTGAAAGAGGAAAGTTTGGTTTATAAACCAGAGTTTCCAAAGTGACAAAAGACCCCTGATGTCCCTCACCAGACCAAGCATAGACAAGTCAACCACATCTCAGGAAGGTGCACGTGGAGACACCAATAGCTTATCACAGTGGTTTGTACTCTGCTACTTGGGACCTCTTTTGTGACAAATGATACTATTTCAAGGCCTTAAGAATATATGGAATCAAGTTTAAAATAACCACCATGGGTACACGTGAGCTGAGTGCTCACAGGGACAACTGAAATATTTAAAGAAAAAGTCCTCACCACAGTTAGGTATTGCAGCATTCGTCTGTCAACTCTAGATTCATGAAACTGGTCTTTGTACTGGGGTAAGCCAATATCATCAAGCCACCCTACAAATACAAAAACCCCAGATGTGTCAGGATTCATGAGAATGAGAGAATGTAGACACCAAAAAAAGGGGAGCAAATTATATTTTGAGGTTCGTTTTATTCCCCCAAAAGTTTAGTAATTCCTCTGCTTTTTACAAGGAGACAGCTGTCCTTGAGGTACCCATTTAACAGGAAAATTCTTTCTACTCTTAGTTGCTGCCAGAGACATTCTTAATACATATATGCCTATCCTTACTTGTCACCCAAATGTGGTCTAGCAGTGCAGACTTCTCCTCCTGTTTGGTGTTGATGGCTTTCACTGCTAAAACAAGCTTCTTCCTGTGGAGTGGGTGCTTAATTCCTAGCTCCTGAAATTAAAAGATGAAGACCACATGTGAAATTTTGGCAGGCAATTTGGCCCTCAGAGAAAGCTGTGTCTGGGTGGAGATGCTCTGAGTATGGCAGTGTATCTCCACACCGTGCCCTGGGATGCCAACCTGCAGCTACAGAGGAACTCTCAGCCTCCTCCATCCATCCTCCTGTGTGTATGTGTGACAGGAGTGGCGGACCCTGGCCTCCCCATGCTTTGGGGAGAAATGGGAGCCTCCTCTCCCCAAGCTGAGCCCTTACCTTTTCCATGTCCTGAGGGGTGGCTGTCAATAAGGTGTGGCCAGAAGATACCCACTGCCTGGCAAAGATCACATACTGAGCCAGGCCAAAGTCCTCCAGCCATGCACACACACGCTCTGTGCTCCACTGGGCAAAGGGGGCATTGGCGTCACTGGGAAGCAGGAAAACAGCATATTCCTGTTAGTGGGAGAGCCTGAGGTTCTGAATCTAATCATGTCTCACAAACAAAAGAAAAGAAAAGAAAAAACAAAACAAAAAACCTGTTTTTTAACAAACAACCTCCATCATGGGATTCTGCTGAACAAAATTCCACTACAACACACTCATAGGAGGTAGACCCTAGAGTTTTCTTAATAACACAAGATCTGAATTTCAAATCTCAGGCTACTTAGAGAATGGGGCAGCCTGTATGGCCCTCCTGAGATCATGTTCACATGTCCTAGGTCCGCATACACACATATACATGCCACAAGTCCAGAGCTGTGGCCTCATTAGGCGGAATCATCTTTTTAGGAAAATGCTTAGAAAACTACTTTTCTTAGCATTTAAGAGGGTCAGTTCTCTTAACATTAAAAAGAAAAAAAACAAAACACCCAAAACTAAAAGCAAAAACTTGCCAATCAACAACAGCTAGCACATTACTTATTAACAAAACAGGAGGAACATTCACATTAAAGTCAATAAAAGGACAATATATTTTTCATCAGTACTAACAACACTGGTCTGAGAGTCATAGCCAGTATTAGAGATAAATAAGAACAAGAAGTATAGCTATTAGGCAGAAATAAAGCCATTCTTTACAGATGTCAGGACTGCCCATTTAGAAAACCCAAGAAAGCTCAGTGAGGTGGCCACTTACGAAATACACATATAAACATATGTAACGTATGTTACATACAAAGATCAATAATTTTCTAATACCATCAATGCACAGATACTAATGCTACTGTTAAAACAATTTAAAAATCCCACTCATAGCAACCAACATTATAAAACGTCTAGGAATTGCCTTAACAAGAGATGTTTGGCCTTGTGTGATTATGTGTGGGGATTGCGGGGGTGGGGAGAGGTATTGACTGCAGCAGTCAACTGAGCTAGATAAAAAAGGACATGAATAAATGAAAAGCTAGATTATGTTCCTAGACAGGATGACTGGGTTTTATAAAGCCATCAATTCTTAAAGACATCCATTTTTCATTTAAAGTGTGAATAGCACACTAAAAATCCCAATAGAGTCATTTTTTTAGGGGGGATTCGACAGAGCAACTTTATGTTCATAAATGAGGATTTATAGAATATCGTAGATATTCCTTCAAAGACCAGAAAGATTCCTTCAAAGTACCCCTAACATATTAGATTAAAACATATTTTTTTAAATGCCTGGTTGAGCTGTTGTTAAAGTGAGGGAATTCCTCAAAGGATAAGCATGATAAGAATGCCCCATTTTAGATCAAATGTTAGAGATAATGTATACCCTGGGGCAGGGACTGATCAATCATAATCTGGAACCTGGGCTTTCATGGGTCCTGAAAATATTTTACGAGGCCTGGAACTTACAAACTTTCTCTTCAAAATAGTATAAAATTTGAATATACAATTAGAAACAAAGGGAATATTTAGAATTAGAAAACAAGCCACAAAAAATTGCAAGTTTTGCAAAACTGAAAAAAAAATCACAAAATCTAGAAATATTTCATTATATAAAATCTTGATGTACCTCTATAGTTTGATTCTTTTTTGAGACAGGGTATTTGTTATTTCAGAGATGGGGTATTTATTTTAGAGACAGGGTGTTAGTAATTAATTATTTTTAGAGATGGGGTCTGGCTTTGCTGCCCAGGCTGGAGTGTAGTGATGTAATTACAGCTTATTACAGCCTTGAGCTCCTGGGCTCAAGCAATCCTCCTGCCTCAGCCTCCCAAGTAGCTGGGACTACAGGTCTGAGCTACTGTATCCAGCTATAGTACTTCTTTACTCTTGTATTTTGGGTGGATACTCTTTGACTGCTTCTTTGTATGTCCACAACTTTATAATATATTCTATGACAACAGACGGTTGATTTAGTCTTTCTTCTAGCATGACTGATCAATATTTATCTTCTATGACAATAGTTAAGAAGTTTTATCTTCACAATTTATAACTGGTATTGTCACGTACATTTTTAGAATCATTTAAATTTAGAAAGGCCTCTATCAAATGTCTTTTATATGTGAGTTGTAAAACTATAACGCATTCAAGTTTTCTAACGCTATGGCTAATCTTAAACATTCTTTGAATTGACAAAGTTCATTTAACTCATGTGTTGTCTATGTCCTTGCGGCAGTACATGAGTTTTATGTTATCTTTGTCACTGTCAGTACATCATGTAAACTCAGCAAGAAATTTCAACCTTTTCCCAATGGATTCATATCATTCATCTTATATGAACAACAATCTAGAGGGCTACTCACTCCTTTTGTTTAAACCTTACCTCTTGCTCTTAGCAAATTACTGCTTTTGGTGTGATCTGGATTTTTTGTTTATAATTTGTTTTTTAATGTAAGAAAGAATAATTTCTCTCAAATTTCAATGCTCATTTTATCACTTTTGTTTTATATTATATTTGGTTTTTATTTCATTTGTTTCCTTGTTTCTTGGAAGTGGGAAAAACAAACATATCTGAGGGACATTTCAGTTCTTTTTTAAATTTTTTAACTTTTATTTTTTGCCTAGTCTTTGTGAACCTAACATTTCAGCTCTAAAGGGGAAATAAGTGTTTTTGAGATCATAATTGGAAAACCTCTGTGCTATCGACCTTTTCAAAACCACCTAGAGCTCTGGGCATCATCTCCAGTAGTCTTCCCATTTTTTGTTTTGCGAATCCTCTCCTCCCTCCTAAGCCTTGAGGTGTTCACACAGAATCAGACCCAGCTTCTGCACCTCCTCCTCAGCTCCTCTCAGTGCCAGCATCTCCCATATCCTCAGCCAGGGCACCACTGAACACGCTGGGAAATAATTTGGAGATGACAGAGAAGATACCCTTCATATACAGCCAAACCATTTGTTTTGTTGACACATTCCAAAACATCCTTTCAAATTGCAGTTCAAATGATGTAGCTGAGATTTCTCAAATATGCTCTTCTCACAGTAGGGGGAGAGCACATGGCACATTTATAATTTACAGTTCATTAGTGAGTACAGAGCACTGAGCGAATCGGCACAATGGGAAGTAGAAGAAATCCTGGAAGCCATTTGTGCAGTAGGAAAGCTAGTGAATTAAACCTAACAAAACTAAACATGCAGTGACTGCAAACCACATGCACACACATACCCCCCTAAACCCAAACTACATGGATCCCCAGGTCAACTTCCCCTTAGCAAGTCCTCCAAAACCCCCACAGCTGCCCTAACACCATCTGTTACAAGGAAAAGTATAGACCAAGGGAAAGTTGCAGTAAAAATAGTCAGCAGTCTTAAAACTGGTTGTGTTTAAAATACCTTTTTTTTTTTTTTTTTTTTTTTTTTTTTTTTTGAGACGGAGTCTTGCTCTGTCGCCCAGGCTGGAGTGCAGTGGCGGGATCTCGGCTCACTGCAAGCTCCGCCTCCCGGGTTCACGCCATTCTCCTGCCTCAGCCTCCCGAGTAGCTGGGACTACAGGCGCCCGCCACCACGCCCGGCTAATTTTTTGTATTTTTAGTAGAGACGGGGTTTCACCGTTTTAGCCGGGATGGTCTCGATCTCCTGACCTCGTGATCCGCCCGCCTCGGCCTCCCAAAGTGCTGGGATTACAGGCGTGAGCCACCGCGCCCGGCCTAAAATACCTTTTTTAGGCAAAATTTTCAAAACACCTGGCCCTGTTAACACTATGATCAGACTTTCTCTGGACCCTGGAAGGGCTCCATACAAAGGAGGGTCCCTGAAGCTTAAGCATCTTTACATTCATGATGAATCTGACTCACCATGCGTGTAGGAAAAGGAAACAAAATGGGGCCCAGGGTAGGGGAGCAGTAGGATTGGGGACCTCTCCTAAAGCTGGAGTCCTGAAGGGCAATACAGTCAGTAGATCAACTCAGGAAAAAAACACTCCGCAAAGGTGGGATCCAGCCATGTGGCTCTAGAGCCTGTTTGCCTTAAACATTATACTTTACTGCCTTTTTCTCAAAAATAGTAACTCATAATAAACTCACAAACTATAATAATTCCTAAATGGATTATTCAAAGTTTTTAAAAATCACAGAAAAAAATTTAAAACAAAATGATGAAAGAATTCACAAAGTGGATGAACCTAATTCTATATAAACATAAAAATTCCATGTATCAAAGTATCAGAAGCAAAAGTAAAATTCTGCTACAAACCTAAAAATACTTTGTCACAATTACTAGACATGACTTAATATCTTAATAGAGAACAGTTAGAAATCTATAAGAAATACAATAATAATAATGAACAAAAATGCAGATAATTCACAAAAGAATTAAAAGGACAAACATGAAAACTAAATTACCAATAAAAAGGAAATTTGGAGGTTCATAAAAGTAGAAAACTTTGAAAAAGAAAAATTTAACTACTCAATGCTGACAAGGATGTGGGTGTAATAGGCGCACTCTGTCCAGCAGTGCTGACTGGAATGTAACTCTGTAAAACTTTACCTGGGAGAAGAAAGAAAATAAAATGTGTTCATCCATAATCTGAGAGAGAGTGCCTACACAATGTTATCAAATATCATATTTAAAAAAAAATCAATTGTTTTATTGAACAAAAAAAGGTTGGGGCTGGAGGCTTTCAGTATCAAAGTACTTTTCCTAAAGAATACTAGCAACAACAGTTTTAAAGCTACACCTAAATATTAATATCTAGAAATTATAAATATCACCAGAGGACATTAACATATATCAATTTCTAGTTAAGAGTCACAAGGCCTTTCTTTTCCACGAGCAAATTCATTTTGCACCATTACGATAAACATAACAATCTCATCAGGACTTCTTCATACGTCTTCCCTTTCTCATCCACTGTTACGGTTCATAAAGCACAAAGACATTTGAACAAAGCAGCCTGTGGCTGGAACTGCAGTTTTTTCCTTTGGCAAAGAAAGCTACTGACCCTGGTCACCCCATACCCTAAAGTGACTGTCAGAATACAGATAGCTCCCTAACCATGCTCTCCTACTCTAGGGACAATGCTGAGGGGTCTTAGGAAAGTTTTTATACCCTGACCCAATGATTCCCCTTCTAGAGTCAATCCTTCAAGAACTAGCCAGAATTAAAACAAAGATCAATCATTCAAGCTTACTATAGCTTGATTTTTTTTCAGCTCAGATAAATCAGAAACAACAGTAATGTCTACATTGAGAAAATTGCCAAGTAAATTAGAATATCTAATTATTGAATATACAGGTAAAGCTTTCCCTGGCTCACTTTCTAAGGGCTCTGAATTGGTCTCTGACTTACTTAGACTATGTCCTTAGATTCTCTAGCCTCTAAAAGCTAATGGTCTACACATTCTCATGCTTCTTTTCAAGCTTCCTGGAGTCTGGGGATACTCATCGAAGAATAAATGGATCTGGAAAGGTCCCAGGTCTCATGCACGAGGAGGACCTGGTAAGACTAGAAACCTGTTTGGCAAGCCAGGGAAGTGCAGTATCATATCCATGTGCAAAATAAGCTAAGACTCCCTTCCGCAGGGGATGCAGGTCTGCAAACAATATGATGCATTTAGGGAAATGCTTTTCTTCCTTAATTGGAATCTAGACTATATTATTTCTGAGAACGGACATCTGAATGATACATATCATAACCAGTAATTACCTGTACTCTGCATTGGTATATGGCAATCTTGAGGTGACTAAACTGAAGAGAGTTACAGCTTACTTTTTGCCTTTTGGTTAGATATAAAATGTCACATTCCAATCCTGTGGAAGACCTCCAGGAGTACTGATCTTGGCTGAGTAACTCAGAACTTAGGAGATATTGTGCTGGAAATGACGTACTGTAGGGACTGCTTGACTGGGGAAGAGAATATGGAAAGGGGTTTCCGCAAAACACAGGAGTAAAGATTCACCCATGCAGGTTTGAAGGGAGATACTTCTTTTTCAGAGCAGGGAGATCAAAGGAAAGTGGGTCAAGCCTTACCTTTTCTGTCCCTTGGAGTCCCTGGTCCTAGAGAGTCTTGGCCCTGCGGTTGCCCGGAGCCCACCTCGTCGAAACTCTGCCATCCCCAGCGTGTCAGTGTAGAAATTTCCTGACTGAGTTCTTCGGATTCTGCATGGAGAAGAATCCATGGAGACGGTCATGGAATAGTCAGAAAGCCTACAGTCACTGTGCTTCCTCTTTTGCAAGGCCATGCAGGCCAGCACAGGGACTCTCGGCAGCACTGCTTCTCCGTACCTTCCCAGAGATCAAGGATCACAACCTGTCGCAGCTCCTTGGCCAGACTCAAGCCTCAATTCGGATCCTGCCTCTGGGATTTGGTCACTTGCCATAGAAGTCAAAGCAAAGTTTGATGCCTTGTAGGAGGCCCCAGTTTCTGCCTCATGTCACAAAGTGGATCAGTTGGGCCAGCAAGTACTTGGCTTTCAAAGGTTTTTCAAAGATTTCTTAAAACAGACTGACTCCTAAGAAGGGAGAATACAGTCTCATCTGTGTCTGTGCCAGATCCAATGTAATATAAGCTGCAGAGATTATGTTCAGGGTGTGTGGAATGGGTGGGTGCTTAGGATGCATGACATGAAAGGCAACTGGATATATTCAATGGGTGTCTTTCATACTTCTCCTTCTCTTGGCCCTGGAAAATATCTCAGATTCTTCTCTTTGAACATGAACACTCTGTTTTGACTGCTGTTTCAGTGTCTATTGGACCAGGGGCTTACATAGACTCTTTGCCCAATCAAAAAGAAAAATTCTAAGCAATATAATTAGGATCAACGGCACCAACTTACTTTCCCCAGAACTTCTTAATGCCTTTGGGATTCCGTTTACCATCTGGTGTCAGAGGAGACTGAGGACCTGATTCAGTGCCCGATGATGTGGATGAGAGGTCATTGACCACAGCAGTGTCGTCCCAGCCACTTTCTGTGTCTCCTGAGATTGGAAGAAGGCAATGAATGTGAATGTAAGGATGTGACCCCTGGAACCCTTCTTCCCCAAGCCTGGGCCCTCCCCTTCAGTGGGAGTCCAGAGAATCTGCCCAGTTCTGCCTTCAGGGCAGAACTCCATACCAAGATCCCAGAGACTAGTGGGGACTCCAGGCTTCCTTGCTGAGAAATTAGTGTGCTCAATATTTCAAATCTAGGTGAGCTAATGTCTTTAATTTTAAGGATTTGGGGTCCAAAGTACTTGTGGATTATTCCAACAAGCAGCTTCTTTTTCCTCAGAGGGAGATGCAGGAACGCAGGCAGTAGTGGGTCCCTGGCTGAGTGCTGGTGAAGGGGAGGGTTAGGGTAGGGAAACAAAGGCATTCTCACTCTCCACCTCACCTGGAATGGGTACAGTACCTAATACGGGGGCACTGACACTCCGGCCACGATCTCCAGTGAACCAAGAAGCAGAGAAGCCACATGAAGAAACAAGAGAGGCCAAAGTCCAGCCCAACAGAGTTACGGGGAAGCAAAGAAATAAACAAAAGAGTGTCATCGAGCAAGAGAGAAAAACTCAAACAGAAAGAAAAATAATCCCATGGAGAAGGAGGGGGTGAGTGGTGACTGACACTGAGAAGAGGTTTCATGTGAGGGGACCAAGTGTTCCTGGGGCCCCTTTGTGACAGGCTGAGGTGTCCACACCCAGGGAAAGGAAGGGACAGCAGCAGGGGCTGAATACTCCAGGCCACAGGCAGCTCTTGTGCAGGTGCCTGGGCTCACTCAGCTCAGACTAGAACAATCTGAAGCCATAGTGAGTCCAGTTTGAGTGTCACTAGAACACACTCATTCAAGGGTTTATCTGAAGTTCCTGCAGCCAACGGCAGAGCTGGCCTTCACTAGGCCAATGCATGGGCCAGCTCAGGGAAGAGCTGAGGCTGAGGAGCCTCAGGAAGAACCCTGCCAGGACCAGAATGTTCCCTTCCGGGGCCATTGAATCTTTTGCTGCTGGTGGGGAAAGATGGCTTATTTTGAATGAAAAGCAGCAAAAGCCTCTGTGGTTTCAGGTCTTACGCACCGAAAGGATACCTGCAGACCGACACCCTTGCCCATTGGCCACTGACTTCATTTGCCTAAGGAAATGCTCCCACTTGGAGTGCATGATACCCTCCTACGGGGAATAGGGAAGCTGCAGAGAAGAAGGTGGAGACAGGAGAGAGAAGATCAGAATGACAGAGGAAGGAAGCACCAGGGGCAGGAAGGGTAGAAGGGGGTGTCTGAGAGGAGGGAAAACAATGCTAGGAAGGACAGGAAAGAGTTCGAGAGGAGGAAGAGAAGAAGAGAGGAAATAAGGGTGAAAAGCTGCAGCCGAAAAGAAGTAGGGGATACACACACCCTGGTTTGCTGAGACTGTAGAGTGCTGACCTTAGAAAACAGCTCGCCCAGGGGGAGCCTCTGGGGAGGTGGGACCACCCCAAGGTACAACTTGTTCCAGCCACCCACCCCACCATTCTCCAATTGTGGATTGTGGTGGTAGGTGCAGGGATCTTATACAATCATTGAAAGTGCCAAGGACACTGCTCAGAGGCCACCAGCACCAGGGCTGGACACTCACTCAGCCTCAGCAGGCTGCTCCCCGTGGCGTCAGGCTGGCAGATGGTGGGAGGAGATTTGGCAGCCTCTCCATTGGGCGTGGCTCCTGAAAGCTTCCCAGGTAAAGTGGGATATTTGTGCTCCGCCAAGAAAGGGCTGTCCTATTGGAAGGTGAGAGAAAGAGAGAGATACCGACTTAACTGTCAGCCTCAGTTAGGAAATCCTTGGATACAGAACAACTCCCTGTTTTGCAAGAGCCATTTTTCACATATGGTGACTTGAACACCCCTCAAAGATTATTTAGCTAGTCCGAGAAAGGGGACCAGAGTTCCAAGGAAGGAAGAAACTTTCCCAAGGCCACACAGTAAGACAGGGACAGAGTCAAGTGCAAATCTGGGGCTGACTGAAACTGACTCTAACAGGAAGTGAAGCTGTCTTGCAAAGCGGCCTTTGCTGTCTGGCCTAGTGCTCAGAGACTCAATGAATTAACAGCCGTGAATTACTCTGTAAGCTCTTTGGATATGAAAATTGGCATTCTAATAAAAGCTGCCTAGTGTTTTATCATACATACATACATATATATGTAAAATAACAATCCTGCAAGAGAGGAAACTGAGCTCAGTCTGGTCTGGGCTCCTCTGTTTCCCCCAGATTTGCTTTCCTGTGGTGAGGAGAGAGGTGCTTCTGCTAATTGGAACCCTTACTCAGACCAGAAAAGGGCAGATCTCTGTGAGGGCCTGACCAACTGCATAAATGATATGGATCTTGCCTGAGAGCGGCTATGGTACAGAAGGGAAATTATAGTTTAAATGTGGAGCAAAAGAAGAAAAAATCCCTATATTGTGATCATGGCTTCTTAAAAAACATCATGTTAAGGCAAGCATGAAGATACACACACACCCTTGGGGGAGCTGACAACAAGAAATGGGCCAGAGGACTACATGCCAACAAAGCTCCTTTGGGAACTTAGGATCATAGTCTGCACGAGGTAGAGCCTCAGTGCAGCCAGCTCCATGCTTGGACCCTGGCCATGGAAAGGTCCCAAAGAAACAAGTTGATTAAATGAGGAAGAAGATAGCACTTATTTGGTAAAGAGGCATACAATGGCCTCTCTTAATCTGCAAACCTGAGAGAAACACAGTGGAATGTGCTGTGAAAGTGAGAATAAAAGAAAAGAGAAATTGAAGCAATGTCACTAAAGGAATCAACTGTGGATCACCTGATTAGATCCTGAAGAAAGTAATATAAAAAACAAAACAGATTTCAAACTGGCAAGTCACAACAGTAATGGAAGGCTGCTGTGACTGAGACATCTTATGAAGTTCCATTTAGCTAAAGGCCAAATATCCAATATATTTCCAATTCAATTTGCTTATAAACATATGTCCTAGAAATTGTTTGAGATTCAGTTCATTCATTGAACATTGACTATTAACTCCCCATAAATAGTTCAGAAAGGAGAGATACAGTGAGAGGAAACTGAATTCTGAAAGAACTGGCTGGTGGAGTAGAAGTAACTAGAACCTTCAGAGAGGAAGGCTATGAGATTTTCAAGTTTGTGATGACCCATGAGGTGAAGATTAGACATGATCAGACATACGGTCAAGACCCACAGTTTCCAAGTGGTAGTTCATGTGCCGGCTGCTCTTCATAATTACCTGGAGCACTTGTAAAACAACATGAATTCCCAGTGCCCAGTCCCTGATTCAGTCCCTCTGGAAGCACACCCCAGATGTCTATATTTTTAACAAGGATCTCAGATTATCTCAGATTATACTAATGCAGTCAGACCCAGGAACCACTGACTGTGAGAAGGTAGTGTTCAAAGATGTTAGAGACCTGAAGGGCATGACTCCAAGCTCCCTATTATATACGACATATGGAGGGGGGAAGAGCTCTCAAAAACGTGTTTCTGGTTGCATCATCACGCATGCTCCCTCAAGGCAGGGCAGAGACAGCCAAGGAAGCAAGTGGGCCACCCGGGGAGCTCCCTGAGGAGCTGAGATGCAAGGAGAACACATACCTAACCCAAGGATGGGGTTTAAAAGGCAGCCCCGACCTGTAAGAAAGACAGCAAAAAGGAATCAAGGACAATGGAAAGGGCTCTCTGAGCTCTGCTCAGGCCAAGAATAAGGGCTGGGAAGAAATGACTCACTGATGTGGAAGGCAGTGCAATGTCAAGACGTGACGCAGAGGAAACAAGGATGCTCAACTCCAGTTCTGTTTCTCCTGTCTCCAAAAAGAACAATCCTCCTGGCTGTAGGGGAACAGAAGCCCCAGCCAAGGGAGTAGTGTAGAACTGATTATCCAGCTGCTTTAAATTACAACAGAGAAGCAGCATGCCAGAGTGGAAAGGGCCTAGGCTTTGAGTCAGACCAACTCAGACAGAGCTGTTTCTCTTCCACCTCTCAGGACCTCTGGTCATTTCTAAATGGAGAATAACAATTCCTACCTCAGGTTTGCCAGGAAATAACATATCCACAGGGCCTAGCACACAGCGGACAGTGGATAAGGAGAAGCACAGGAAATATCACATACCCAGGGCCTAAAGAAATAGCAATCTAGAAGAGGAGTCCTTAGACCACGGCAGGCACTGGTCAGACTACATCTAGAATATCACACTCCAAGTCTGGTCCAGGGCAGAACTTGAAGAATACATTGAGAAACTAGCGCTGAGCCTAAGAAGACTAAGTAGCAGCTTAAAAGGCTTGTGATCCATGCACATGAGAAGGTGATGTTCAGCCCAGAGAACAGAGCACTCAGAGAGGGCATGAGGGACTTAAATTCCAGAGCTGTCAGGAGTAGGGGAGATTGACTTTTTCCATGGGCTAGATGTGGAGGGAGAGGATCAGCAGATGCACATTTTAGAGAAGCTCACACAGCTGCAAAAGAATACAAAGGATGTCTTCCAATGAAATGAGCTCTCAGTCACAGAAAGCAAGAGCCAGTTTAAGCAAGGGCCAGACACTACAGTTAGGGATGCTGCAGAAAGATGACTGTGGAGCGGTTCTGCACCTGTGTAGCTATTCTGGGGAGGACGGTGGTGTATGTGGGTGAGAGGGGAGGGTGGTCATGTTGAATAACTGAGGTTGTATAAGATTGTGATTATGGCCAAAACCATGTAAGAATTAATCTTTTAATCTGGAGCATTTTTTTCTTTATAAATAGTTCTACGTTACTTATATTTCTTGGTAATCAAATTGGCGTCTTAAACCTTGAGCCTGTGAGCTGGGTGTGTTTCCAAAGGAGCAGGTGGTCACTTACAGGTGTGCTTTAGAAACACCTGCGAATGACCTCTGTGACGCTGAGGTGGGAGGGGGGACTGCTGAGCGATTTAACAGCTGACGCCATAGGAAGCCTTTCAGTTCACAAAGGGACCACACCAACCCCAGGCTCAAGGGACTGTGTTGCAGAGCACCTGGGCAGGGGAGCAGGCAGAAGACTTTTGCTATACAGTTCAGATGGCCCAAGGAATGGCTGCCCACTTGAAGAACCAACTGCTACAAATATGGAAGAGTAGAGAAGCCCCTTATATAGATGCAGACGTGCAGAAAAGATCTTTCTCTTACGCAGATGTGGAGGAGCAGAGATGCCCCATTTTACCGTGAAAATATAAAATGACCCTCTCAGGCAGAAGTCAGCAAGCAATGAGAAGCTCCATGTTTCATATGGACATGGAGGCAGGGGACAGAGAAGGGAAATGCCATCAGCCTCACAATACATTTTCCATATAATGTTATAAATGGTGGTTGGGTGTGGCTGAAATCATGCTAATTATATGAATCTTCATTTCTTTATGGGCTCAACATTTTGTGCACTGGCCTAAAAACTTAATCCTCTTCCACAACAGGCTTCCCTGGAGAAGATCAGTCCTAATGGAATTTTTATAACATAACTTGTTCATCAAAGCGGGACTGAGTGTACACTTGTGTTTTTTTAACCATGACATATCAGCACAGAAAGGATGAGAGCTGTCACGTTCTTCAGTGTGCTGAGATCGTAGCAATCCCCTTCCCAGTGATTAAATCTAGATTACTTTGTTAAAGATTAATTTCTCTGAGCCTATAAAATGGAGGTGATAATAATAAATCCTGTCCCACAGATAATGATAGCAAAAGCATATTAAATAGCTGAG